>NC_000002.12:203853254-204156284 GCF_000001405.40 Homo sapiens | reverse complement strand
CTCATTTGATTTTTTTTTTTTTTTCCTAGACAGTCTCACTCTGTCACCCAGGCTGGAGTGCAGTGGTGTGATCTCGGTTCACTGCAACCTCCACCTCCCAGGTTCAAGCAATTCTCCTTCCTCAGCCTCCTAAGTAGCTGGGAGTACAGATATACTCTACCACGCCCAGCTAATTTTTGTAATTTTAGTAGAGACTGGGTTTCATCATGTTGGCCAGGCTGGTCTCAAACTCCTGACCTCAAGTAATCCACCCGCCTCAGCCTTTCAAAATGCTGGGATTACAGGAATGAGCCACTGCACCTGGCTCTGCTCATTTGATTCTACTCTTGCCAAGTGAGTGATCTCTCTTACCTCTTTGAGTCATTACTTCTGAATTGTTCAGTTGGCCAAGCCAGGGCAGGGTCCAGAGAGAAGAGATGTCTTGCCTCTTTAACCTCTGAAGTGGGAGATGGAGTGCCCTGCACACCCCGGGACTCACTCTAGGGGAGTTGGGATCATTTGGATTTAATTTCTGCAAACATTCACTTTTCTTTTCATCCCAACGTGGGCTTGGCCATGCAATCTGCTTTGGCCAATGGCCTATCAACAGGAGTGACACAAGCAAAGGCTTAAAGTCAGCCTGCATGGTGGGCCTGGCTCTCTCTCTCCCTATCATTGCCACGAGAAGAATGGGTCATGAGAAGCGGCTGCTCCTTCAGCCTGGACCCCAGAATGAACCCCTGTGGATCAGAGCCACCCCAGCTGACTCAGTCCCACGGTCGAGACAGAGCTGCCCCAGCAGAACCACAGAATGGTGAGGGTGATGATAAATGTAAATGGCTGTATGTCACTGCATAGTTTGATTCAGTGGTCCTCCCCCACAAAGGAGAATGATAAGAAGATCTTCCAAAATGCTAGTTCTCCTGCTTTATCATATTTTCTATTTCCCAATCCCTTGCATGGAGCCTAATACAACACGCAACACAGCATATTCACTAAATACATATTTGTTAACTATCAAATGATAATACAGAGTTTCCTATTGTGATTTATAGAGAGAAGGATTTCAAAAAACACAGTCAGTTTTGACATTCTCTCGAGTCAACAGGGCCAGGAGCTTCCTAAGTTTATTAGTGTGAAATAAAAAATAATGAGTACACTCAAATAAGCAACTTCTTAAAGTGGTAGGCAGAATTCCATAGGCTTGGCAATGAGACCCCCAACTAGGGAGGTTTGACATGGGGGATGTAGTCACGTGATTTTTGCTAGCATGAATGAGACATTACCTGTTGTCTCACAACCAGCCAGCTGCCCCGTTCATCCCAGCCAGGGAATTTCACTGACATTACCCTGAGACTCAAGCTGACAATTAAGCAAGGGGGTGTACAGGAATTCAATATTCTTAAACATCATTTTTTAAAAATCCTCTTGCCCTTGTTCCAGTTCTACACCAGTCAGTCAACAAGTATTTATTGATCTTCATTTAGGTGCTCGGCACTAGGCTTGCTCCTAACTTTACTGGGTCTGCATCAAGAGTAGAAACAAAAGTCCATCTATCCTATGTCTAAATATTGCAAAGTTATAAATCAAGCCAACAAAGTACAAGATAACATATATTCTATCCTCCTACCTCCTACCTTGACCAACATACTTTCATGAAAACAAATAGAACAATGACAATAAAATGGAAAGATACATAGAAAGCTGTGGTTCTTTTATGATGAAAGTTTAATGACAGAATTTGAATATTTTGCTCATACCTGTGTGTTCTTCTGAAGGGCTTCTGATGAAGCAGTTACTTCATCCTGGAGCCAGGAGAATTTTTTTCATTTGGGGTGGTGGGCTCAGTATTGCTGAATCTTCTGATTTTTTCAGCAGATGCTAGAAATAAAAAAGATGTATTAAACTATGTAGTTTTTTTAAATGTTGAAGAGATTTTTGGAACACGTTGCGTAGGCCAACATTTTGCAGGTGAAACATCTCTATAGGCTTTATTGATCTAAAAAGCTACCTGTTTTCAACCTCTGCTGTCAGGTTAGACTAGCCTCCATTTCTTTTAAGGGTATAGATAAGACAAAGGAGAATAAAACTGGAAATACTTCTTGTCTGGAAAGTTTTTATGAGCTGTTCTATAACCAGAAACACCTGTATCTAGAGTAGCTCTAAAATATAGTGCGAGTCTTATATGTAACTGTAGATCTTCTAGCAGCTACTTTAAAATGTAAAAAGAAACCAGTAAAATTAACTTTAGTAATATATTTTATGTAGCACACTATAGCCAGAATATTATTATTTCAAATATAATGAATATAAACATTTTAAATGAGATATTTTGCACTGTTTCTAATATATATACTGATTTTGCAATCCAGTGTGTTTTATACTTACGGCACATCTCAGTGTGGATGTTCCTGGTGCTCAGTAGCCACATGTGACTGGTGGCTTCCATAGTAGCCAGTGCAGATCTGGAGTCTGTCCTTCGTGCCGCTTGGGGAAGGCACTAGACTAACAACTCAACTCTTAGGCATGATCTAATGCAGTATCTCGCTTTTTCTCTCATTTTTTGAGACACGGTCTCACTCTGTCACCCGGGCTGGAGTGCAGTGATATGATCATGGCTTACTGAAGCCTAGATCTCCTGGGCTCAAGCGCTCCTCCTGCCTCAGCCTCCCAAGTAGCTGGGACCACAGGTGCGTGCCACAACTCCCGGCTAGTTTTTAAAATGTTTTTTGTAGAGACGGGGTCTCATTTTGCTGTCCCGGCTGGTCTTGAACTACTGGGCTCAAGCGATGCTCCCGCCTCGACCGCTCAAAGTTCTAGGATTACGGGCGTGAGCCACCACACCTGGTTTGCAGTATCTCTCAAAGGATGGTTCGTGAACTTCCCACTTGTGAGTCATTTAGGGAGCTTGTTAGCAGTACAGATTTCTGGGACTTCGCTCTCAAATACTATGATCTAGAATCTCAGGGGTTAAGTCTATGGCATCTGCATTTTTAGTTGGCAGCCCCTGTTGACTCCAAAGCACAGTAAAATTTGAGAAGCGCTGCCTTAAATCCATGGAACAGACATTTTTATTTTTAATAATGTCTTTGTGGCCTGGATAATTTTATCAACTCAGAATAAACTAGGAGTTGATTGTTGCTATGGTGTTAAAAACACAGCTGCTGTCAGCCAGTAATTATTAAAAACTCTGCTCCACCTGTGTAATAGGAAGCAAATCACAGCAATTCTCCCTCCTGGCATAATTTCTCCATCTGAAACTAAAGCAGTGGCACTAATCTATGTCACTCTGCTCCTCCTGAGGACAAACCCTTTTTAAACGGAAGTTTAGAGTCTTTCTCTCTTGGCTCTTTGATTCATCACTGCGGTTTCTCAGTTCCAAATCCTGACCGTTGTTTCATTTGGATTGAAAATGGACAGGGTGGTATTTTAGTTGTCATGCCTAGCTTCCTGGTATATTCCTCCAAGTGAGTGGATGCTTTCAGCTTTGCTCAATGTGCTGGAAGGAAGTCAGAGTGACTGTGAGCTCATGTGTGCCACAAACCACTGAGGCTGAGTTCCCAGATTCACTTCACCCCTAATTCCCTGTTCACCTTTGTACCAGGGGCTTAAGGCTGAATTTCCAAACCTGCTGATGCAGTTTTTCCTCCAAGAAGCCCTGGGAGCTCCTTTATCCTGTGGTATTCAGAAGCTTTGAGGGCTATGCTTGAGCTGGGATACTCACACTTTTAAACCGTTATAGAAAGGTATCTTAAGCAATTTTTTAAGATGCCTTATTTGTCATTAATTCCTCCAAAGAGATGTTGCAGATGATTTTAAACATTTGACATATTAAAGGAAAAGAATCCCACCTGAGCTGAGGTTGATGCTGGAACAGAGAGCAGAAACATTGCAGACCGTGAAATGAGTGTTCTGGGTGGGTAGGGGGTGGGGGCAGCTGGGGATACTGGCCTGTTCCCTTTTACTTTCCTTCTGTTTCTCCTCCTCCTTTTCCTTTTGCCACTCCTACTTCCTGTTATTATGTATCTTCATGTCAGTTCCCATGTAGTTTCCCACCCCCTGCCCCAATAAGGTCACAGGAATTCTAAGCTCCTGAAAGACAATTCTATGATACTAATTACATGTCTGGAAAATGAAGCCCTGGATTGCAGGTGGTACCCGCCAGCAGCTATCACTATTACTATTATTATTGTTATCATTATATTATCACTTGGTATGGAGCCTTTAGCTTTCTGGGACTGAATAATCTTCCTTTGGTTTTGTTGCCACATGCTGGCTTTGTGAGCCTTCATTTGCTTTCTATATGGCATTTTTCTTATTCTTTTATGCATACTTTTTCCTTTATCCAGAGTTAAATGTAGCAAGAAAGAATTCTTAGATATATTAAGAAAGATGCTAAGAAAATAAAATCCCACTTTCAACCCAACCAATGTCAAATAGCAGAAATATTAATGAGGATGGAACATTTTCATAGCATTCACACAAATATTTGAGGGCTTTCACATGTCAGGCACCCCTCCAGGCTCTGAGATATGTGAATAAACAGGACTGAAAAAAATTTCTGTCCTTCTACTGCAGGAGGCAAACAATAAACAAATTATTACTAAAACGTGCATCGGTGGTCATGAATATGATGGGGAATAAAAGCACGCACGGGAGGGACGTGGGGCTGGTGGGCGGCTGCAATTTTAATTAAGGTGGTCTGGTAGATCTCACTAAGAAAGTGACCTTTGAACAAAGACTCAAAAGAATAAGACACACAAACTCCCTGGAACGTTCTTCCCACCAACAGGGTGAAAGCAGGTGCACCAGCCCTGAGACAAGAGTGAGCCTGGTATGCCTTCCAGAACCTCATCCATTTGGATTCACATTGGCTTATTACAGAGCTGAGAGAAGCAACATTGGGAAGAATGCATTTTGTTTGAATTGGCACCTTGGGAGATCTTTTTAAATACAACTTGACTCTATTTTTGCTTAATAAAGGTTAGGAAAAACATGATCATAGATGGACTGAGTCTTAATATCACATTGATAAATTAGGATAAGGTCCCCAAATACAAGCCTTCTAGAGATAGGAAGGGAAGAAAAGGGAACTTAGTATTCACTCAGCAATAGGCGTCTAAAAGGTTACAGGAAGGATCCCAAGCCTCAGCCGCTTGTGAATATAAATCAGATCCCATTAACCTAAGCGCTCTGGGCTCTCTGGTTCCTCGCCCCATCAGCATAGGTAGGATTTCCAGCTTACTTTCAAGGTCTCTTCCTCCTGCCAGGTATTGCAGGGAGGCCCCGGAAGGTGTCACCTGTGCACTCAGGCATCAGCCCTGCCGCAGCTTCCCTCTGCTGCCTCAGGCTGCCAACTGCTGCTGCCTGAATGCCCTTCTGGCTGCTGCTCCCTGAAGCACCCTGGCCTCTGCAGTGCCAGTCATCAGTCACCTCTACTGCTCCTGCCCACTGCTGCTAGGGACCTGCGGATGGACAGCGAGTGGCTGCAGCATCATCACTCTCTATCCTCAAGAGTCCCTGGCGGCTGCAGTCTAGCATGAAAGCAGATGGAAGACATCACCCTCTTGCCTGCATTAGCCTGATCGGGGGTCCTCTGCAAATGGCTGAGCCCCAAGCCCCTGAGTTGGTGAGCCTGCTCCTCTTTTTCTCCTGTATCCTTTCCTCCTAAGGATGCCCACATTGCTCTAGAGTGATTGGATCAGAGTGAATTCAAGAAACAGCTACGATGTTGCTGTTCTTAAAATTAGCAGATCCCTCTGACCCTCAGGTTCATTACAGATTCTGACTTTTTCTTCTCTTAAAATACACTTTATAGCAGGAGCTCCCAAAGCCCCCCACCCCATGCCCAGTCCCTGGCTTACAATTCGATCTCTGTCAACCTCTCATCCCATCCTTCCCTCCCAGTTGATCAGATGTGCTCATTACAACCTTTGTTGTGGAAACCACTCCATAGCTACTTGCCTTAGAGGCTTTTTTTTTTTTTTTTTTTTTTTTTTTTTTTTTTTTTGAGATGGAGTCTCGCTCTCTCGCCCAGGCTGGAGTGCAGTGGCGCAATCTCGGCTCACTGCAAGCTCCGCCTCCCGGGTTCATGCCATTCTCCTGCCTCAGCCTCCAGAGTAGCTGGGACTACAGGCGCCCGCCACCACGCCCGGCTAATTTTTTTGTATTTTTAGTAGAGACGGGGTTTCACCATGTTAGCCAGGATGGTCTGGATCTCCTGACCTCGTGATCCGCCCTCCTCGGCCTCCCAAAGTGCTGGGATTACAGGCGTGAGCCACCGCGCCCGCTCGCCTTAGAAGCTTTTTAGCAAGTACTACAGTTCATTCACTTTTAAATGAATTTTTTCTTAAGCTAATTTTCCCCATTTGAGCATTTTTAATGTTGGGATGTATCTTATAATCAATGAAATGCAGAGTTTAATTGGTAGGGTTGTTTTGTTTTTGTTTCGGTTTTCATTCTTGGTAATGCATAAAGCCATGTCATATCTTACAGCCCATGGTGTCTTAGAACTGATAAGCTATGGCCTCTACCTCAGTGGGTAGGTAAAGCTGAGGGGTTTTCTTCATGACAGTCTTGCTAAATCCGAGCCCCAGGTTTTTCCTAAATTCATGTTGCCCACGCTTTATTTGATTTCATCCTCATGCTGACTTTAAGGAGTAGGTACTATTCATTATTCCCATTCTAAATACGAGAAAATTGACCCAAAGAAGTGTAGTCATAGACTCAAGGTCACAGAACAGATAAGAAGCAGAAGCGGAAGCAGAAACGAAGCTTGTCTGATTTTCTGTCCTCAAAGCTCAGCACTTTTCCTTCTCCTCCATCCTGAACTTTCCACTCAAAAATGGCACAAAGATCCAAGGACTCATGTCAAAGCTGTGCAGAGTGCTGTGATCATGCAGCTCTTGGGATACCCTTAAAGTTAGGCATTAGTTAGCTTCTTGGCAATCTTAACAGTCAAAACCCCCAAGATGTGTTTAATGCTATCCTACTTGTCTATTTTTGCTTTTGTTGCCTGTGCTTTTGGGGTCATATCCAAAACATCATTGCCCAGACTAATATCAAGAAGCGTTTGCCCTATCTTTTCTTCTGGTCGTTTATTGTTTCAGGTCTTACATCTAAGTCTTTAATCAATTTTGAGTTGATTTTTCTATATGGTGTGAGATAAAGTTCCAGTTTTATTCTTCTTCATGGATATCCGATTTTCCCAACAACATTTATTGAAGAAACTATCATCTCCCTACTGTGTCTTATTGGTGTTCTTGTTGAAGATCAATTGGCCATAAATGCAGAGATTGATTTCTCGGCTCTCTATTTTCTTCTATTTGTCCATGAGTCTATTTTTATGCTGGTACCATGCCATTTTGCTTACTATAACTTTGTGGTATAATTTGAAATCAGGTATTGTGATGCTTCCCAGCTTTGTTCTTTTTGCTCAAGATTGCTTTGGCTCTTTGGGGGGTCTCTTTTAGTTCCATATGAATTTTAGGAAAATTTCTGTGAAAAATGCCATTGGAATTTTGATAGGGACAGCATTGAATCTGTAGATTGCTACGGATTGGGTAATGTGAACATTTTAACATTATTAGTTCTTTCAATCCATGAACACAGGATATCTTTCCATTTATTTGTGTCTTCTTCATTTCCTTCATTAATGTCTTATACTGGTCGGTGTACAGATCTTTTACCTCCTTGGTTAAATTTATTTCTGAATAGTTTTTATACTATTGCAAATGAGATTTTTTTTTAGATTTTCAGATCGTTCATTGATAGTATATGAAATGCTACTAATTTTTACATATTAATTTTGTATCCTGAAACTTAAAAAGCTTCTGCCCAGCAAGAGAAACAATCAACAGAGTAAAGAGGCAGCCTATGGAATGGGAAAGAGTATTTGAAAACCACGTATCTGATAAGGAGTTAATATCCACAATAGATAAGGAACTTAAATGACTGAAACAACCCTATTTTAAAATGTGTAAAGGACCTGAATAGACGTTTTTCTAAAGAAGATATACAAATGGTTAACACATATATGAAAAAATGCTCAATATCACTCATCATCAGAGAAATGCAAATTGATATGCAATGAGATATCATCTCAACACCAGGTAGAATGACTATTATCAAAAAGACAAAAGATAAGTGTTGGCACGGGAGTGGAGAAATGGGAAGCTCTGTACATTGTTGGCAGGACTGTAAATTCGTACAGCCATTGTGAAAAACAATATGGAAGGGCTCCTCAAAATTTTGAAAATGGAACTACCATATGATCTAGCAATTCCACTTCTGGGTATCAGTCTAAAGGAAACGAAATCAGTATTTCAAAGAGATGTGTCTGTAATCCCATGTTTATCTCAGTACTACTCACAATAGCCAAGGTATGGACTCAACCTAAGTGTCTATAAACAGATGAATGGATAAAGAAAATATGATACACACATGTGCACACACACAGTGGAATACTATTCAGCCTTATAAAAGAGGGAAATTCTGACATTTATAACAACATAGGTAAACCTGCAGGGTACTGTGCTAGGTGAAATAAGCCAGCACAGAAAGGAAAATATTGCAGGATCTCACTTATATGTGGCATCTAAAAAAGTCAAACGCATAGAAGCAGGGAGGTGGTTGCCAGGGGTTGGGAGGTGGGGAGGAAATGAGGAGTCATTGGTCAAAGGGTACAAAGTTTCAGTTAGGATAAAGAAGTTCTGGAGATCTGTCATACAGCATGGTGTCTATAGTTAATAATAATGTATACTAGGCCGGGCACAGTGGCTCAAGCCTGTAATCCTAGCACTTTGGGAGGTCAGGACAGGCGGATAACTTGAGGTCAGGAGTTCGAGACCAGCCTGGCCAAACTGGTAGAACCTCGTCTTTACTGAAAATACAAAAATTAGCCAGGTGTGACTGTGGGCGCCTATAATCTCAGCTACTAGGGAGGTTGAGGCAGGAGAATCACTTGAACCTGGGAGGCAGAGGTAGCAGTGAGCTGAGATTTTACCACTGCACTCCAGCCTGGGTGACAGAGCAAGACTGTGTCTCAAAAATAAATAAATAAATAAATAAATAAATAAAAAAAATAAAATTTCAGTTTAAAAATAATGTATACTTGAAAATTTCTAATAGATCTTAAATGTTCTTGCCACACACAAAAAATGGTAAGTATGCCAGGTGATGACTATGTTAATTAGTTTGATTGTGGTGATTATTAAACAATGTATACATATACCAAAACATCACCTTTATACTGTAAATATATATGTTTTTATTGTCAAGTATACCTCAATAAAGCTGGAAAAACATTTAATTCAAAAATAAGATAAACATGAAACCCTAAGATGCTTCCTTTTTTGTGTTTTTAGTCCCCAAATGCAATGAAATTCTGAGTTCTTAAAACCACTCTTTAGGGACTATGATAATTTCCTTATCGGTTCCATATGTTTTACTAGTGTGGTCTCAGAGGTTAGGAATCAACATTCCTCTGCCCCCAATTTCCCTTCCTTCCTAAAGTGCAGAGTCAACCAGAGATGAGTACGAGCATCCTGGTTTATAGGTTCCACCGGGTCTTTAGAGACCATCTCCTCACTGACTTTATTCGGGGGCTTTATCTTCCTGCTCGAATGCTTTTGTAGCAGCCCAGTGCCCTGAGAGTTGTTCTGGGAGGCACCAGATATTTATTTAAAAAAAACCATTGTTCTCTTATGGGTGCCACTTGATTACTCACTTGCCAACCCTAATCAACAGATGGAAACAATTTTGAGCACCTCAGTGAATGATTTTTTCTCTCCTTTTATATCAACCTATCATTCTGCTTGGTGTTGAAAGTGTGGAAGGGTGAGACACTCACCTTGTTTACCATCAAAGTGGGTATCAGAATGATATAACAGCAAGAGGCACCTGCGTTTCAATCCTGACTTTTATTTGTAATGTAACCTTGTGTAAGTGATTTAGCCTCTCTGACTCAGTGTCCTCATCTGTAAAATGAAATCAATTGCATCTAAGGCATAGGGTTGCTTAAAAGATTAAAGGAAATCACAGGCAATACCCTTAGCCAAAAGCCTTAGACAAAGTAGGCACTCAAAAAAATGTTATTTCTTTTTCCTTGGGGAGAAGAAAAAATACACATATGAAGCAATTAGTGAACGAGACAGCAGATACACAATGCTAAATTGCTGGTAGAGTCAGTAAGTGCTCAAGGAGCCGGAGGAAGGAGACTTCAAAGTAGGCTGGAATCTACAGGGAAGGGCTGGGGAGAAGGAAAAAAAGGGTCAGCCGCTGGAGGGTGGGTCAGAGGGAACCACTGGGGAGACGGGCCGGGGAGGGGCGGCAAGCTCACTCCTTTTACCTCTGGGTTTGAAACTGACTCCATAAGCCCTTTGGGAACAAAACTGTTTTGCCCCATTTGGACTTCCGGGTGTTTAAAAGTAGTGAGGGATACTAACCAAACAACCATAATAAAGGCGTAAAGTTTTGTTTCTTCTTTTGTTTTTTAACTAGCAAGGCCATAATGAAATTTGAAGCAGAAAGTGAAAATTTGCATCCATCTCTGCTGCAGGAACCCTGTTTTAAAATTTCCTCTTCTCAGATCTGTGTCCCTAGGAGGACGCAGCGCGTGATGAAATACAAAATTCTCCGTTGCTGATAGCAGAAGTGATTAGAAGGGGGGTGGGTGAGGCAGAAATCATCTTTTAGTTTAAACTGTTGTAAATCAGACCCGAAAACTAGGCTATACATTATGCTTTTGTTACTCTGAGAGTTAAATTATAAGGAAATGAACTGTGCATAATAATTCCCCACGTCACTGACTTGCCTCCTTCTCAGCTTAATGTGCTCTCCTATGAAGCAGGTTTAGCGCTTGGAGCCATGGCTGGGCGAAAGGCGCCCTCTAGTGGCTATCTTCTACAAGGCCGCCGGAGGGGCGGGAGAGACCGTGTCCCCACCTGGACAAAGAGAAGCCTCATCCTCACCTGCTTTTGGAGACACTGGGTCAGGAAGGTCAAAGGAAGTGGCTTCCAAGAGAACTGTGTGTCTCCAGTTGACTTTTCCAAGTTGTCAATAAAAATTGTGAATTCTTGTTTCAATATCAGTTATCTGATACCTGTGTCAGTACCTCCTCCAGCCAAGCAGGGAAATAGCAAACAGGAATTCCCGTTTAAATTTCGTGCATTTCACCCAATACTTGGTAAAAGCTGAATAGCATACAGCTGCCAACCCACTCCCGCCCTGGCCTGCCCTCAGTTCTTGTTGAGCTCCATTTTCTGAGAGAGAATGCCCTGGTATTCGAGAAGGCCGCCTAACCAAATTCCTTGCAGAACAGAAAGTTTCAGATAGTTCTGGGGCCCTGCGAAGCCTCTCACTAGAATGTATTATTTTTTTCCTTAGACCAAAGCAATTAAAAAAAAAAAAACTCAGAGTTTCAACTACAGAACTCATAAAGAGGCTTCCCACTGACTGGGTTTAAACAACAACTGAAAAAAAAGGTCTGGTTGAAGCAGGGTTTCTGCTCAGGATTTCTTCTCTCTTCAGGTGACCTAAGAAGGCTGACCAGAAAGAGTTCACCCTCTGTCACTTGCCTGTGCTCATGACTAATGACACCAAGAGTCATCCGTACCCTGAACACTCCCTGCCACATGCTTCCACCCTCTTTCTTAAGTGGATGGTGTGGAGAGGTCACAATAACACACAGCCTGAAATTGCTCTAACTGTAAACCCAGAAAAGCTGAGACTGGTCTCATTTAATTTACAAAGTTTACTTTGCTAAGGTTGAGGATGCGTGCCCTGTGAGCCCGTGACACAGCCTCAGGAAGTCCTGATGACATGTGCCCAAGGTGGTCGGGGAACCGCTTGGTTTTATACATTTTAGGGAGACATGAGACATCAGTCAACATATGTAAGTAGTACATCAGTTCTGTCCAGAAAGGCAGGGACAACTCAAAGCAGAGAGGGGGGCTTCCAGGTCACAGGTAGGTGAGAGACAAATGGTTGCATTCTTTTGAGTTTCTGATAAGCTTTTCCCAAAGACACCATTAGAATATGCAGCTATCTCAGTGACCAGAGGGATGACTTTGAATAGAATGGGAGGCAGGTTTGCCCAGAGCAGTTTCCATCTTGAATTTTCCTTTCAGCTTAGTGATTTGGGGGGTCCGAGATATTTCCTTTCATATAACTAAAGCCTTCTTGGTCCCCTCCTGGGACCCAGAACCAGAGTCCACCTCGTGATTCTGTCGCATTCTAAAACCTCATGTCTTGCTGGAAACACGGCAATGGGAATTCTCAATTTCTGCGTTACGCACAGGATTTCAGGTCCTGGGTTCTTGATTGGGCTGGAGTGAGTATGTGCTACAGCCAGCATTTGAGGAGGCAGAGGAGGGTTGGGGTGCAAACCCCAGCATGCAGATGCGGGCGCTGTATTTAAGCATTACATATGGACTTAGCCCCTGACAAGCTCACAGCAGAATTTATGGAGCGCCTCATTCAGTGTAACAGCAATAGGCTCCATTTTAATGAATCCCCTTGGTAGTATAATCATCATTCAGACAGAAACAACCGCTATATGGGGCTGTGCACCCTCTCACTGACCTTTGTACCTTCCCACTGAAACTGAATCCTTTCCATGCTTTTTTCCCATTGCACAAAAATTTCATTTTTAAAATGAATCAATATGTACTTAGGGAGTGCCGTGGGGTCGGGGGTGGGGAGAAGAGGGAACAGCAGTTTGAGCCCTGGGTCTAGTGAGGAAGGTGAATCGGTTTACTGGGAGGCGTGGTTCTCCTTCATAAACACCATGAAACAGAATTTCATGTTACAAATTAATGTGTGTGTGTGTGCGCAATTTTTTTTAAAGCATGTGCTTTGTTTCTGAGAGCGCATAGACACCACATGCTGCGGTTGCTATGGTAATTACTAGCCTCTGTTGAATAGGGACGCAAGGGGTTACATAGAAGAAAACCAACTGGCAAAAGTGCATGTTACAATGAATAAACCCACTTATTTCTAAAAGGTTGCAAGAGGCACTCAAACCAGAAAATAAAGGAACTGGAGGTAGGGGCACAATTTTTCAAAGACCTAACAAAACCATCGCCTATAGCAGTTTTCATCATATATCTGGAGTAAAAATTGTCCAAAGCCCTCGAGACATTTGCTCATGTGTTTCAATAGGCAGAAGACACAATCATATCTAAAAGCAGTACGATATTATGCAATAGTATTAATAACCATAGTAGCAATAGTAATAGTAATAATAATGATTATAATTTATTGAGTGAATGCAATATTTCCAGTAATTTTTCTATTTTATCTCATTTAATCCACACAAAACCCTGAAATATATTCATCAACTCATGTTTCCATTTAGTTTATATTTTTAAAGCAATTTCTATGAGGCAACTGAGCCGAGCCCTGAAGATGTCAAAATGTGGAAAACCTTGTTTCTCCCTCATGGAGCCCACGGCTAGTGGGAGAGACAAGAGGTAAATAGGCTCATGACAGTGCAAGGTGTTAAGGAAACTCACAGGAGAAAAACTCTCTCACGGATCTTGGGGGCAGCGGTGGGGAAGGTGGTAGGGAACCCCGAGGTAGTTCTTCTGAAGAAAGTGACATATCTGAGCAGGGTGTAAGAATGGTGAGACTTCAGCAGAGGATCAGGGAGGAGGGGTGTTCTAGACAGACAGAAATCTAGGCAAAGCCTCCATTTGGAAACAGAGTCTGACAGGTTCCCTGAAAAGGAGAATTCACTGTGGCTGAACCTGGAGTGAGTTGGGGTTGGTGAGAGAGCCAGGCAGAATAGGCAGGGCCAGATGGAGAAGGGCTTTCTGGTATGTATGAAGGGGCTTGGACTTGGTCCCAGGGTCATGACAATGGGTCTTTACCAAGTCAGTAAAGAATATGTAGTGGAGGAGAAGTAACACGATTCAGTTGTGTTTCAGCAAGCTCACTTTGACCACAATATGGAGGATGGATGGGGGAGGGCAAGAACTGAAGCAGAGATCAGAGGGAAGGCTGTGTGGTAATTCCAGTGAGAGAAAATGGTGGGCTGAATTCAGTAGAGCCAGGAAGGAATGGCAGCGGGGGGGCAGATGTGTGTCTATTGAGAGGGGCCTGATAAACAGGACTTGGTGTGGTGGCTGAGGTGGAGGAGGCCAGCAGGTACTATTACCCCTATTTGACCCCTATTTGACTTTAGACAGAACTGAGGCTAAGGAAAGCTTAGCAACCTGCCCAAGGTTCCTGCTATAAGTGGCAGGAACAGGATTTGAACCTGTGCCCATCTGGTTTCAGAGCCTCTTCTTTCCATTACACTGTGTCAATTCCCATGGCTGAAGAAGAGGCTCCCTACCAAAATCTGCCATAGGAGTGTTGCTTACAAAGGAAGAAAGGAGCGCTGTCTGATTTGGCTAACTAAGGAACACAATGTCCAAAGGCAGACTGGGAAATTTTATAGATGAACAAGAAGCTTTGGGGACAGCAAACAGAAATGATTTATACATTTTGTAGTTACCTTTATCTCTTAGCTTACCAAAATAAGGTAATATGCCATTTGCTTTTTAAAAGATTTGCTTTAAGAAGCATTTAATTTGAGAAACAATATTATATCTTCTACAAAACCAGAGCTAAAGATATTTTCTTCTTTGATGTTCCACAATGACTCTTCTGTAAGAAGCAACATGATTGACCAACTAATTACTCAAGTGCTTTACTTTATTCTAAGAAGAATTTAAGATAAAATACATGATGACATTTCTTTTTGAATTTAATAGCAGCTATTAGTTTAACTTTCCACCTTAAATGTGTCTTTCAAAGAAACATATAGAGATAGAGAGGAAGAAAAAATGAAAGCAACAACAAAAAAATTACATACAGAGAATTATATAACCTATCGGGTTTTCATTTGTCTAAAGCTGTGGAATTTCATACTCATTCTATTTCCTTTCAGAATCACCATTCGATATATCTTTCTTTTAAATTATTTATAAGCTCTCTTTCTTTTCAAAACTTCTACTCTCTATATCTTTAAATGAAGGCCACTTTCATTTGTTTTTGAAAATAGATAAAAATAAATATAACAGCAATGGGTCTGTGTTTGCACTGGTTTGTGTCTTTAAGTAGAATGTCTAAAAAACAAGGACTGGCATGTCCAAAATAGAACAGCTTGCCTGGGCACTCTCTGCTCTGTTTGGACATAGCTGCACCAGCGTCCACACCACCATCAGAAGGGGTGGCTTTGGAAATCAAGACATATTAGCTTGAAACCCTAAACACATGGAACCCTGCTATCAAGAGACCACAATGTACCAGTCTTAGGCACCATATAAGCATTTAATGATCTAGTTGAAGTGTTACAATAGTGGGTTTAAACAGGATTTGATATTTGCCGGAGGAAACCAAAGTAGATCTTTTTAGCTCTCCCCTTTCCCTTATTCCTCAACTCCTTCATCACACTCTCACTTTTACCCTTGACCTATTACTCAAACTCTTGGTGCTCCTAGCTTTGCGGGGAGGTGGGATATGGAGCAGGAATGAGAGTCCAAGTGCAGCAGAGAAAAGCTGGGAAAAGAAGGGTGAGAGCCTAGAGGAATCAAATCAGAATTGTCAATAGAGGGCTCCATACTTGGGTCTTATGGACTCCAAGCCACTTTGAGAGGCATGCCAATGGTGATTTTCTGCTCAGCAATTTGACATTTGTCATCCAAAGAAAAGTCAGCACTTCATACTTTAAGCTGAGAAATTCACAGTTCTTATGGGGGCTTCTTTTAATCATCACGCAACCCAGCTGTGAGGCCAGGAGGTGGTAAATGACACTATTCTCCTTTGAGAGAAGCTGAGACTGGGGCTTAGATCCACGGAGAACTGCCCAAGGACGCATAGCAGGGAGTGAGTCATTTGACAAAGCAGCCCAGAGCAACATCTCTCCAGGTTACCATTCATCCACCAGGCTACATGGCTTCAGTTTAGTTTAGGAGGCAATGTTTTCCACAGCTTTGATTGTTCTTTTGTATCCTGTTAGGACTGGATAAAAGTTAGCACCCTAATTACATTCAGATAGTGTTGGCTGTATTTTCTGGGAAAGTGAGGTCCCCTCTTCCCAGCTTCTGCCTCTCAAGATGAACAATGACTAACCTAAGTCTACCATAGAAGTCTTTTTCCCTTTCCAGTGACTGGTGTACTGGTGAACATGTGACCCAATTCCAGCCAATGAAACATGGGGGAAAGAGCTGTGGGAAATAGATTCTTGCTGTCTTCTTACCCTCCTTCTTCTTGCCTTAGGACATGATCACACGAAGACTTGGTGCTTAGGATTGAGATTCCAAGAGAATTAAAAAGAAGCCAAATGCATTCTAATTGATATAGTTAAGACGATCATTGTGTTGCTATAAAGAAATACCTGAGGCTGGGTAATTTATAAAGAGAAGAGGTTTATTTGGCTCATGCTTCTGCAGGCTGTTCAGGAAGCATGGTGCCAGCATCTGCTTCTGGTGAGGGCCTTAGGAAGCTTTTACTCATGGCAGGAGGCAGAGGGGGAGCAGGCATGTCACATAGCAAGAGAGGGAGCAAGAGAGAGACGAAGGAGGTCCCAGACTCTTTTTAACAATCAGATATCACAGTAACACATTACCGTGGGAAGGGCACCAAGCCTTCCGTGAGGGATCCGCTCCCATGTCTCAAACACCTCCCACCAGGCCCCACCTCCCACGTTGGGGATCACATGTCAACAAGAGATTTGGAGGGGACACACATGCATATCAGTCATGCATATTAAATTTTAACAAATTGTGTGGTGAGAGTTTATATGTTTCAGTGGCTATTTTTGGAGACTTAACATTGGTGGTACATCTCTACTTGCCCTTGTAAGGGAACTAGCACTTCTTCAGGTCACGAGGAATCAAAACCTTGGTTGGGTTTCCACATTGATATTTGAAGTCCAGATGGAAATAAGCATCATGGCATAGCCAGGAGCTGACATCCGGGCGTCTTCTCAGCACACGGGTCCTCTGGCATCAGCCCCGTGCATCTTCACAAGCCCTGGCTGATTATGTCAGCTTGTCTCTCACCCAGGCCAAAAGAGCTTCTGGTTCTATAGCCACATCTGTGCCTTCCAATTAGTAGGGCAATGAGTTACTAGTGCACCATCATCAGCCCAACCTGCTTTGCTATAACGGCTTTCAAATTCTGTTTTGACCTCATTGAATCACCCTTTGTTGAACAATTACAGCCTATATGGGCTATAATTACAATGGCAGTTTGTATCATTGAGCAGTGATACATTGGGAACAAATACGGCTTATTATGAAACAGACAGTATGCCCAAAGAGACTCATTCTGGACCTCTAAAAAAAATGTTTGATAAATCATTAGAGGGAAAGAAGTGCCTGTATTACGATTTAATAGAAAGGGTCTCCATTGTGCAAGGCAGGCGAGAACTCCTTTTGAATTGTTGAGAAACAATGTTTTAAAAAGGCAAATCCGAATCTGAGCTCTCAACTCTTATTGGTGGTTGACACATGCTTGTTAACTACCTAGTGGGAGACTTGTATGTACATGGAAATATTGTGGCACAAATGTACCTTCTTTTCACAAATTCTTGAATGAAATTTCTGTAAATCAAATCACATTTTAAGTGTCTGTTGAGTGATTCCACACTTAAAAAAAAATCATTTTAAAACCTGGGTAGTTTATGTGTATGAAAATACTGAATTTTTTGTTAGTTGAGGTTGTGGATTTTAGGCATGACATTTCTCATCCCAGGGGGAAAGTAGAAGACATCTATGTTGCTGAGATATTGCTCGTTGTTGTCCCGCACTTCATTCAAGGGCACTGGACATTGTATTATTTCTCTTTGATAGTAGTATTGGAAGACATTCCTAGAGCACACAATCTTGGCTTGTATACAATAAACAATCATTTACAGTAAAAAGTGAGTAGAAGGGGAATGAGAATGTACATGGGAAGGAACATTTCTGAGTGCATAAAACAAGCTGCTGGGAAAAATTATCCAGGGAAGAAGGGCCTTGGGGCCTGGGAATTTGGTATGAGCATGGGGCCACATTTGAGCACAGATTCCTCTTGCCATCATCACTGCTGTTATTTGTGCCCTACTCCAACCCAGAGCGAGAACCTCAGAAGCTTGGTCCCTTGTCCCTTTGAACACAAATGCTTCCAAGGGCAGCTTCTAGAAGCTGCACTGCAGCTCCCAGCACACTATGAGGACTTTGTAAATGTCAAAGAAGAGCAACAAACAAATTTTCCCAAAGCAAACTGTTTTCTCCATTTTCTAAGTGAGTGCAAATGTGATTGTGTGGGGAAGTTTAACAAGTTTTAAAGAACTTTGTAGCTGGACAAAAGGAGCATAAAATTGGTTTCAAGACACAAAGAATTCTTTGGAAAGTGGTTAACCTTTAAAGCAACTCCTAAGAAAGACAAAGATTTTGTATATTCAATGAGACCCTTGGAATAACAATTGCTTATGTTTCCACTGCCCAGGAGTGTAAAGAAGCAAACAAACCAATTTACATTTCCCTTAGCAGTAGCTTGTTTGTTGTTATTTTCTTTAAGAGTATCAGGGTCGGTGGCTGCAAATGGAATTTAAATATGTAGGGTAAAGAGGCAGTCAGACTAAAAATAAATGAGATTTTGAATAACCTCTGTAATATTTATAATCTTGTGCACTCTGAATTCCCGTCATTTCTTACTCATCCAAACAAACTCAAATGGGTTTTTGGCCCATGACCTTTTTTTTCCCCTGCTAAATACAACCAACACACACACACAGAACCACAATATGAAAATGATCTGAGCTAAGACATTTTGATGGTACAAGAGGATATATTTGGAAACCTGGAAAATCCCTCATGGTCAAAGCCTTGAGTGGCTTTCCAACCAAATGCTCCAAGTTCAAGCCTCCATCCACAAGTCATTCTGGAGTTCAACATATGGGTCTGGTCAAAAGTGAGAGGGGAAAGGGATTAGTGAGTAATCACACTGAGGCAAAACCAGGGAGGAAGAGCTCTGGGGAGCAAGAGTGAATCTGCCTGGGCAGGAACACAAATTTCCTAGTAATCTACCACCTCCAAAGTAGAGCTGGAAAATGTCAGGGGCCTCTAGAGGACACATAATTAACTCCTGGAATGGAATCAGCACACCTGCCTCCTTGAAGTGCACATGCTCTTCTGGGGACAGAGCATCTCCTGGCCCAGACCTCTCCTGGCCTCAGCAAGTAGGGTTGCAGGTTATGTGATGCTGGAGCCTCACCTTTGTCTAGTGCTTTTCAGCTGGCAAAGTGCTGTCACCTGCATTATCTCTTATCACTCTTCAAATAGTCCTGGGAAGGATGCAAGCTACATATCACAATCTCCATAAATAGGTTAAAGTCAAAAAGGTAGAAAAGGGTTAGATGTAAGCTATCCGATGAATAGCCAGGGCAGTTTTAGAAACGGATTACAGCACAAGAATGATAAAGAATGATGTTCCAGTTGACTTGGACTTTCCCTCCAATCTCATCAAGGAAGCCACCTTTTAAACGTTCTCAACCACTAGGTCCTGACTCCTGAACAATGTCCCAAGTCTGTTACCACAATTTCTTTTCTGAATTTTGCCCTAAGTTTATCCTTGTGGTATTGTTGCGACTGCCCTACAGTTTGTGGCTTGTCGGGATGGCTCTCATTCTAGGGCTTGGGCTCCATGTGTACCCCCAATCCCTTTTCAGTATTCCTACAAGCTACAGGTCTTCTGACGACCTATTAGTTGACTTATTAAAGTAAACTCACCTTCTAAGGACAAGCCTTGATTTTTTTTTTTCCTGCAGAGTACAGTCTAATCCATATGGAAGGGGAAAAAAGGAACAACATTTACCCAATTAATTAGCAAAGCACCTGTCTTGACCTTCCAGTCAATGGATCCCAATTGTCATGATGAGCAGCTTTCATTTGTTTTTGCCTATTCGGCCTGATGGTCCCAGCCCCATCTCCAGAAGACCCTGCACCAGTTTTTGACAGTTACTCTCTGTATTTCAAGAAGAGCTCCTGGCTTTATTTAAATCTAGCAATTACCACACCCCCACCAACCCCCATGAGGAGGGGATAGTCAATTTCTAGGTGGGACAGATGAAATGTTAGCCTGAGATGCTACAACTGGCTACGTAATTTGCAAGCCCTGTAAAAAATGAAAATATGAGGACCCTTTTACAAAAATGAACAAGGATTTCAAGATGGTAACAGGAGAACATTAAATCAAGAGTCCTTCCTGTGCGAACGCACAGGTTAAATGGCAATGAAGCCAGCCCTGCTTGGCTGGTTGCAACCCAGTGCATGCAAAGAACATAACCCTAACCACAGACACTGAATGACTGTCCTGAATTGGTGACTCTTGAAGCCCAGCAGAGCCAGTGAAACAGAGCAGTGCTAAATCAGTCACTGGGCCACAATGTGTGGGCTTAAAAGACATCAGGAGGTCCCAGGAGTCTTCAGACTAGCAGCCTCTGGGAACCTTCCCTAACTGCTAGGACCTCAGCTTTCTCCATCCTTCTCTTGCCACTCCCCAACTTTGCCCACTGGATGCTCAGACCACCTGCGATGGCTGTATGTGCTCAGTGAACCCCCTGCTTGCACTGAGACCTGCCCAACGCAGACCCTATGACGCATCACGGGAAGGTAGCCTGGTGACCTGGGCAGGTGGCTCTGGATCTTCCAATCAGTTCCCAGCTAGTTCAGGTGGAATGCATGCTCTGTGCCTCGCCTTCTAATCTTTTGGCCTTGAGTTCTGCAGACAAAAGTTGCTCCATAATGCCCATGGAAAGGGATCAAATGGCCTTTCCCTGATAGGTTCGGCTGTCTATTGATGAAGACAGGCAGTGGATGCTTGGTTGGGTCATGCTTGGATGCTGTGGATTGTAAAAGTGGTCTGTGGTCTCAAAGGAGCATCACATTTTAATTACCAGAATTAAACATAGGCAAGGGGTAGTTGAGTGGTGATTTACTTTTGCTTTTATACTGTAAATGGAATGTTTAGGCTATTGTTATCTATAACTGTTTATGTACCATGAGTTTTACATGCCAAAATCAGTGAGTTCCTTTTTACCTCTGGAAATGAAAAGTACATTTTAAACTTGGAGGGAGAATGAAGTAGATTTCTTTTGAATAACAGCTCTTTTTTCAAGAGTCAAATAGTGCTAGCAGAAAGCTATTTTCAAAGCCTAATTTCAGCTGCACTCCTCTTCCCATTATAAATAAGACTGTATTATCTCATAAGCTTGAATTTTCAGTCGGTGGGAAGGGGTAATTCTGCTACAAAGTTTTTCCTTGACCTGAAATTCTATTTTTCTACTTTGCAGCATCCTCTCAGATAAGTTGCTGGTTCCTTATTAGTCTAACATGTCTCCTTGAGGAAGCTGTAGAAGTCCCACCTCGGGGGACTCCAGTGGAAATTGATTTAATTGTCACAAGGCTCTCACACTAAGTACCTGAAAACTTTGGAGAATAAAAGGGGGAGACCCTTTTAAGTGATCATTTGCAGCTCTATGCTACTGAGAAATGAAAAAAAAATTGTTTTTACACGTGAAAGCCTGTCAGTCCTGATGGTTTTCTTTTTAAAGGTCAGGACACATCCTGTGGGATTCTTTTTTTCACTGGAGCTCTCTTATCCAGCTTGAAACTTGTTCTAGATTAATGGCCAGAAGGCCAATGTAATACATTACCAAAACAGAGCTATCAGGAGTGGGCCATAGGGGCTCCCACAGTCCAGGCTTCATGGCACGCCCAACTGAGCTTCTTGCTGAAATGTGGAAGGAGCGAGGGCTTCTGATACTAACTGTTTTCTTCTGTTGTATTCCTGAAGATCTGGAAAAATATACTTAGGTTGGCCATCCTCTCTCTCTCTCTCTCTTTTTTTTGTTTTTTTTTTTTTTGGAGATGGAGTTTCATTCTTGTTGCCCAGGCTGGAGTGCAGTGGCACAATCTCAGGTCACTGCAACCTCTGCCTCCTGGGTTCAAGTGATTCTCCTACCTCAGCCTCCCAAGTAGCTGGGATTACAGGCATGCGCCACCATGCCCAGCTAATTTTTGTATTTTTTTGTAGAGATGGGATTTCACCATGTTGGCCAGGCTGATCTTGAACTCCTGACCTCAAGTGATCCACCCGTCTCGGCCTCCCAAATTGCCGGGATTATAGGCTTGAGTCACCGCACCTGGCCATGGTTGGCCATCTTCTCAAGTCTCCCATTAGAGTTAAAATATCCACCAAACTTGCTGAAAGAACACTTTTCAATCCATTTCAACTTCTCTTCCTCAAATCATTCAGGAAAAAGGGCAAGATTAGGAAAAAGGGCAAGATCTGTAGGATGGACCTAATTTAATGCTTGATGATTATAAAGGGCCCAAACCTGTAGTCACAGGCATTCTGCCGACACCACTCCCGGACAGAGGGACCATTCCGTGGAAATGTGGAGCATGAACAGTTTCAGGATTAGGCATCAAAACATTTGCACTGATGCTTCTCAATTGCCAATTACAGCTGCTTGTACAACTGAGTTACCAAAAGCATTGTGGTCTGCCTTGATGAATAAACACTTACGACTAATTGGAAAATGTATTTCCAGAGTACCATGTTGCAGCCCTACATAGCTCCTTTATTACAGCATTCTGGCATCCTGCCCATCAAGCGGAGACCACTTTCCTTTGAATAAAGCTCAGATGTGATAGGCACAAGCTTTCCTTCCTCTACCCATTTCAACAACACAGCTGATTATTCAACCATTTTCTCTACCCTTTGCTGCCTTCTGTTCTTTTTTTGTTTCTTACCCATTCAAAAATTCTGGCTGTGAGAAGCTCCAAAATTACTAGTTCTCTGAAAATATGCCTTCAATGCTCACTTTGCATCCAGTATATAAAAATGTTTCTCTTTCGCACAATTAGGAGTAGTAGGGAAAACATGGAAATGTAATTTCAAGCAGTTTTCTCATTTGTTTGTATGAAGGTGAAGATTTAGTGAAATTAAAGGCTAAGTATATGCAAGTGTGTACATACATGCACACACAACACATGAGGAGATATGTTAAAGTTAGTGACTGATTCTAGATACCGTGATTTCAGTGGTTTTCTTCTGTATTTCATCATTTTTTTTATCTTGACCATGTATCACTGGCATAATCAGAAAAAAATACATGTAAATGACATGAAATACTGTTTTATTTACATAGGATTATTTTTCTTTGTTTGTTTGTTTGTTTGTTTTGAGACAGTCTCACTCTGTCACCCAGGCTGGAGTGCAGTGACAATGGAGCAATCACAGCTCACTACAACCTCCGCCTCCCGGGTTCAAGTGATTCTCTTGCCTCAGCCTCCCAAGTAGCTGGGATTACAGGTGCACACTGCCACACCCAGCTAATTTCTTGTATTTTAGTAAAGACAGTGTTTCCCCATGTTGGCCAGGCTAGTCTCAAACTCCTTGACCTCAAGGTATCCACCCACCTTGGCCTCCTAAAGCGCTGGGATTACAGGCATGAGTCATTGCGCTCAGCCATAGGATCATTTTTCTAGACAGAGACATCATCATGGAAATTAGAAGTCTTAACATTACTTTTTATTTCTGGTGGGATGAGTGAAGAATAGTAGGGAAGAGAGGCCCATAAGAAAGTAAATCCTCATTTACATTTCTGGAAGCATCTCCCAACTTGCTTTAGAGACTTTGCAAGGGTTGACTATTTCAACCTCATTTTCAAGGGTACAGACCAAGGTGGAGTGTGGAGGGGTTGCCTCTCTTTTCCCTCTCCATGCCTCCTTCTGTCTGCTGGCAAACTTGCACTCTCAAACAAAAGAGGCAAAAATGACTCCAGGGACATGAAATTTTCCCTGTGATGGTTACATCTGAATTTCCAGATGTGACACTGCTGCATGCTTTGCAGAGTCACCATTTAATTGCTTAAAAACAAGCAAACTAAAAATAATACGAGAAATAACTGCTTGAAAATACAGGAAGTGAAAAGATTCTGAATACTTAAAACGTGGCTTCTACTGAGGAGGTTAGAGAGAAGGAAAAACCAGTACAGAATAGTAACATATTTAAGTTGTAATGAAGTTTGCCAAAGCACGCTTTTCCATATACAAAGAGAAAAACTAGCATATTATAGATTTGGACAACAAAGGACTAATCTCACAAAACTCTGAACGTCTCTGCTATTCTCAAACAAGACTCATGAATCAGAATCATTTGTTTACCTGGGAACCGTGAGGTTTTAACAGGAGGGTAGAGCTGTATGGGTAAAAGTAATGTCAAAGTTTAACTTTATCGAAAAGGAACAAATAACTATGCTGGACAGAAACTTCTTCTAAAGGGAATTAAAATTTTCTTCTTATCTGAATCATTTATATTTTATAAGCTATCACAGAAATCTTTGCCAAATTTCACTATAGCATTATATACCTAGAAACAATAGGTACATTTATTGCTGGAAAATAACTAAAGTCAAGTATTTTCCCCCAAGGGAATAATGCTAAATCTCAGTCAATGGGCAGTGTTGTCATTTCAAGCAGTTTCTTATTATCATTTCCTGAGGTTTCTAAAGTGGCCCTAAGTCCTGCCAGATGTGACATTTTGTCTAAGAAGTGGGTTGAGATCCGGTTCATATCAAAATCCAGTGATGCAGTTTGGTGAACATTTATTTTTTATTGAGCACTAAATATATTAAAGCATTTTGATGAATACTATAGGGGATAGCAAAATAGGCAGAATACTGTTCCTCCCATCAAAATGCTAGATATGAAATAATATACACTACATCAGAAAATCACCCTAAGCAAGTGCAACTATAACAAATCTTTATCACAGAAAGAAGAGTCAGCATAATAAAAGATGGACATTTTTAAAATGTCACTGGAATAAGGACTAGAGAAGCTGAACTGTACAACTCTGCACATGCTCTATCCCAGGGGGCGACGTTGGTGGTGGGGGCTCATACCCCGTTTTCACTGATGCCTGGCAATAACCCTGAGATATGGGACTTATTGCTATGATACTCACTCTACAGATGGGGAAACTGAGGCTCAGGAGTGTAATGAGGACTTTGGAAAAAGAAACTAAGTTACTTTTTTTTTTTTTTTTTTGAGATGGAGTCTCTCTCCATTGCCCAGGCTGGAGTGCAGTGGCGTCATCTTGGTTCGCTGCAAGCTCCGCCTCCTGGGTTCAATCGCTAAGTTACACATTTTTGTGATTTTTCCCAGTCCTTTCCGCCCAACCCGAGGGGAAAGGGAGTCTTCCTTCCTCAGGCATCCAGGGTCTTCTGTGTCACAAAATGTGGGGAACGGGAATTGAGAAGCCACGTTACTCTACAAAATAAAGAGCTGAGTCCAAGAGAATAAAAGAAAGGAGAAGAGAGAATCTGTGTGGGCCGAGATGAAGGAAGAGTTCTGAGGAATGTGCGATGGGAAAAGATACCTGGTGTTGGAAATATTGAAAGAGAGAGAGAGAGAGAAAAGATGGGTGGTTCGTAAGGTGTGACTTATTAAGAGACTGTTCTCCCATCTACCCATTTAAGAGTCCATAGTAAATATTTAAATGTGTTTCAGTGACTTAAATGCTAGAATGACATTTCTGGGATTGTGGCACTGTGCTGAGCTGGCGACAGGAGGCAGTGGGGATTTACAAAGATTCCTGTCATTTGACCGTAAGTGACAGCATGAGGCTTTGAACCCTTTAGAATAAGAGAGGGCTTCATGGAGGCCACCCGAGGGAAGATGCAGTGTCCATCTGGATCCCTCTCTTTGGGATGGCACAGCGCCTGTTCTCCAGAGTGGGGCCAATGGAAGGAACATGGCATCTACTTTTCCAGCACAAGAGATGGGTTTAAAACTGTGGCAAGGCAAATCCAGAAGACAGGCAGAATATTTCAATCACGCAAAATGACAGAGATGTCCCTATCGCGTCAGGATGTGCAAAGCGACGCCACTCTTCCACTGTAATGGGTCTCACATTTTTCAAGGATTGGTTTGGCAATATTAGGTTGGAAATCCATTTAGTTTTGAGTCAGTACGACCACACAGATACAATTACAAATATCAGTTTTCATTATCGTATTTGCAGATTTCAGTGACATATTTACATCCTGTCTGCATAGAAACCTGATAAACAGTTTCCGCAAATTGGATTGGAACGCTGAGGAACAGAAGAGCCTTCCGTGACTTTCCATAGTCGGCGTCGGCATCTGGGCCCAGCAGCTCTCATTGGCCCTGTGTTCCTGCTGCGTTCCTTCAGCTGTTCTTGTTGACAGCAAAGAATGCTGACAGCCTAGCTGAATTCTCTAAACTCTGATTTTCTATGAGACCAAAAGATGACAAATGAGGTTTTCACTCCTGTTGATGAGCACATCACGAAAATGACATAATGGTGTAATTTTTCGCCCTGAGACAAGGAAAAAAATGTATTGGAAATCACTGTGTTTCATGTTTTTGTTCCCTTTCCACCTTCATCTGACCACAGTTGTCACTCAGCACTCTAAAGAGGAGCAGAAATGGATGCTGTTGTCAAGGGCTGCTTTGGTGTATGTCTATGACAAGGTCATACTCGTCACAGTGCCTAGGACATGCTTTTCTTATCCAGAGGGGTTATCCCAAGAACATTTTAAAGGCTGTCAACTGACATCTCTGAATTGGATGTGACACCCCAAATGCCATTTCTTGGGGAGAAGGCTTGACAGACGCCCATCTAGAGAAATAACTACTTCTATTTATGCACTATCTAAAACAATGCTGGAGCAGCATACATGCCTTCTCTTCAATCTTTGTAATATTGCTCTTGACTCATTTCTTGACAGTGAGCCCAAATTGACCTGTTAAGTTATTTAGGTTGAAGTTATTGGCAAGGTGAGCATCAGAACCATTTGTGTTTGGCTTTGGGTTTTTTATTAAATCTTGTAAAAGATCATCCAGTGTCACCCACTGAAACACTGCTCAGTCTGGGGCCACATTTCAAATTCAGCTTAAAGGAATTACTGGGCATGAAGGTCCTGGTGTTCACCTCCAAGGGCGGGGCAGGATTCACAGCTGTAGGAAAGAACTATGCCCAGTGCTGATCTGATGGAAGGCCCGTGACATGTCTGCAGTGTCTCCCAACTTCAATCCAAAAATTTGTTATCAGGGATGCTGGGTAGAATTGTATCTTCAACAAGATTCTAAAATCAGCAGGTGAGGCCAAAAGTGTTCATAATCAAACTTCTTATTCAAACATGGACAGACTTCCCCCTGCATTGGTATAAGTCACCATTTATTTGGTTCAGCATTTATTTGATTCAGTGGGCTTGTATTTTGCAGACTGCAGTTTTACACTCTGAGGGGAAAGGAGTATACTATCTCACACACACTCTGAGGTTTGCAAATCTCGTGGCATCACTGAAATCATTCTCACTCTTCCTATGCTTTCCATGGGCATTTGCTTTCTCAAATATTAAATGCATGAGTGATGTGACCTGATTGGTACCTAGTGGAAAACCTTGGAAAGCTTCGAAGAGTGCTTTAGAGAAAAATCTGAGGTTTGGGGTTCATTGAAAGAGTAATTTCTTTCATACTCACATACTCTCCTGCTTAAAGGCTGGCTGGCAATATTTATTTATTCTGTTCTGATCAACCAGGCTACCATCTCTTTTTGTTTATCAGTGACCAACCTCGAATCTGTAGTGCAACCTATTTGGCCACTTTTGTGAGAACCTAAGACTTATGATTTCCCTGTGGTAAACTGAATGTATTAATGGCTCTTTTTCATGGCTCCTATATCTGCACCCTTTGGAAGTGCCTTCACACACCGACTTTGGGCTAGACCATACAACTTGTTTTGGCCATTAGAACAATAACAAACTTGATGCAAGCACAGACTCGAAAATCCTGAAAAAGCTCTTGTGTTTTTTGCCCCCTCTTCTTACCTCGTGCCATCACTGTGAGAATATGACCAGGCTAGCCTGCTAGGGGAACATGAGAGATGCATGAAGGAGGGCCGAGTTGCCTAGCCAACAGCCAGCACATCTGGAGCTAAGTTCAAATGGGTGAGGCCCCAGTTGACTGCCATCCAAGTCCTGAGCACCACCCCGCCCTCCCAGCCCCCAGCCTAAATCACCCACATGCAGACACACAAGCAATAAATGCCTATTGTTGTATGCCACCAAGTTTTGTGGTTGTTACTGGCATTTTTGAGGCAATGGATCCCTGACGCTTCCCCTCATATCAGTGTTCGTTTTGGCACACGTGGCATCAAGAAATGTTTTGTGGACTGGGTGCAGTGGCTCACGCCTGTAATCCCAGCACTTTGGGGGGCCAAGGCAGGCAGATCACCTGAGGTCAGGAGTTCGAGACCAGCCTGGTCAACATGGTGAAACCCCGCCTCTAGTAAAAATACAAAAATTAGCCAGGCATGGTGGCGCATGCCAGTAATCCCAGCTACCCAGGAGGCTAAGGCAGGAGGATAGCTTGAACTCAGGAGGTGGAGGTTGCAGTGAGCCGAGATCACGCCACTGCCCTCCAGCTTGGGAGACAGAAAGAGAACCCATCTCAAAAAAAAAAAAAAAAAAAAAAAAATTTTGTGGAAAAGAATAACATAGAGTAGTATAAATGCATAACTTAAAAGGAGCTTTTAGCGGCTCTCTGCTTAACGGTAGTTTTCAAATCTTTTTAAAGCAGAGGGAATTTATAAAAGGAAGTTGTATCTGGACCTACAAAATACAAAATGAATTACATGTGGTTAGAGAAGGGTCAACAATGGAGCCTGCTCCAACTTACCACCTATTAGCCACAAAAGGGCACCTTCTCAGGGCTCTAGGCCTCTGTGAGCATAGTTTGAAACCACTTCATATTTCACAGACAAGGAAACCACGACCATAAAGGACTTAAGCACCTTGGACAAGGCCATATGGCAAATCAGAGGTGGGGCCAACACCAGAGAAACTGGACTTCGTTACAGGATATTAGAGTTATCAGAGGCTCAAGATAACTCCCACTGTGAACATTTCTTCATGATCTACCTGCAGTAAATATCTAATATTACCTCCCAAAGACTACACACCTAGGACCTGTCCTTTATACCTTTCAGACTTCACTGGCTGGCCACTGTTTTAGTTCGTTCTCACACAGCTAATGAAGATATACCTGAGACTGGGTAATTTATAAAGAAAAAGAGGTTTACTGGACTCACAGTTCCACATGGCCAGGGAGGCCTCACAATCATGGCAGAAGGCAAGGAGGAGCAAAGGCACATTTCACATGGAAGCAGGCAGGGGAGCATGTGCAGGGGAACTGCCCTTTATAAAGCCATCAGATCTCGTGAGACTTACTCACTATCATGAGAACAGCATGGGAAAGACCCACTGCCATGATTCAATTACCTCCCACCAGGTCTTCCCACGGCATGTGGGGATTATAGGGGCTACAATTCAAGATGAGACTTGCGTGGGGACACAGCCAAACCATATCAGCCACATGACACCTACTCTGGACACTATTTGGTAACAGAAAATAAACAAACAAGAAAACCACCTTACTATTGTGGGAAATGATCTTAAGGTATGCAAGCCATACCCAGCTGCACTATGGCCAATATTACAGTTCTATTGTTCCCTGTAATCTTCTTTTCCTTCAGTTAGCTTTTCTTTGCCTGTGGCCATAGCTCTCCGGTCAGCTCCCTTACATAATCCAGCCTCCTCACTTTTTTTGCTGGTCTGTATACTTTTTCCTTGAATCCTTAAACAAGTTCTCTTGCAGTTTTGTCTAATTTCTTCAAAACTATCTTACTTCTCATTATGCTGCCTTTTTGGTCTTCTTGCTTCTGGTATTATTTCAATTCAAGTTCACCCATCCTCTTCCTAGAACAAATATTAGCATGTCTAAAATCTATATTTAAAACTTTAGTACTTTTTCCTTAGAAAAAAATGTTATAATCCCCAGTCTACAGGGAATGTACCCTTCAACCGTTCCTTCCTTTCTTTAGAGACCTATTTAGAATTAAAGTCAGTTATTAACTTACAAAGCTTCTTTTTTAGTGTAGTCATTGTATCAGATATCATCTCTCAGCATATTTTACAGTTCTAAAATCGGAAGGTCAATTTAGCCACAAGGCCCACAGAAATTTTTTCTCGTTGTTTTGAATATCAATTAAAAAGTCTAAATAGTGCCACTTTGATCCAAAATCCTGCCACCTTGATCCAAAATCCTACCACCTTGATGATAATTTTCATACCTGCTGGAATTTTCTAGAATCATCTTCAGGGTGTTCTCTTGTTTATTAAGCATAAGATCACAGTTTCCAATTGAATGCAATTTCTTTGGAGGCAAAAATTAGAAATCCTATAGATGAAACCATCAGAGAAAGAAATTTTGAACCAATAACTACGAAGGACAAGATATTTTTCTCAGCCACCTTCAAACTATTCCAATACATCAGAAAAGAGAGAACTTTTGAAGAAGTTGGTACAGAATATATCTCCTAGAAGTTCTAAAGAGACCTGAATTAACAAGTGGCTTGGAACTGAATGAAAATTAAGATTTTGCAGAAACCTGATGTATAACTGATATTCGAGCATTGTCATTTCTTTCTTGCCTTCAGGATAAAGATGTTGTCATTCATTCTGTTCATAGATGTGTGCTTTTTCATTTCTATCTCATTTCTATTCATCAGGAAATAGTCATTTATGACCAGTTGTTCTGTTTTCTACAATTTCAATACAGGTCATTTTTCACACTCAAAAAATGCCTGTTATGAACAATTATATAAATATGTCCCATCAAAATGATCAGGAAATTTTTTTGGTACAAAACCAGTTTTGTCCCATTTCTGACATCCTGATTTTTAAGTCACCCTCTCAATTCCCAAGTGTGAGCCTGTGTTTGGAAACGGGTGTGTGGTGTAGGAGGGCATTTAGGTCTGAAGGCAGATTTGCTATAAAAATCCACCTCTTCATCTGCATACAAAAAGGCTAAGAAACTGCTTTCACAATCTGAAGACAGGTATTGCTATTTTGCATTATTATTATTCATCATCACAATGCATCATCATTTTGCTTATTTCTGCTTTTACGGCCTAGAGAGAGGCATGAATAAGGCAGGAACACCTCCACTTCTCCCTGAATGTAGAAAAATCAACCATATTTAAGCATCTACCATCACCCCCATATGTCACTTTCCAGAACCTTTAAATGCTGGATGTTCTCAGCAATATGCCAGCTAGAAGTTTACTTTTATAAAAGAAAAAAAATCAAGGTAATTACATACTGAATCTTCCAGGTCATTGTTCCAAATTTGGTTAAGAAATATTTAAAAGAGTATGAATATACTGTACTGATATTAAGGTATTATATGGTTGCCTTTAATGATGTCAGGATGTAAATTAGGAAGAAAACTTTACTGGATTTGAAGAACCAGACACTGCCTTGTCGTTTTTACTAATGAAAGGCAAATTTACCAAAATCTATATGCTTTCTTCATTTTGCCTTCCACCCTGTTGGATTTACTTTCTTCAACCTTAAAGAGTGGTAGGGGAAGTCCTCAGAGAATATAATTATAAGGTCTCTCACAGGCTGCTCTACACCCAGTTGCTCTGAGAAATAGACTTCCAGCAACCTTAACCTGGGCCAACCTCCACTTTCTCTGCAAAACAACAGGAATCATTTGAATATAAAAGATAATACTTGGCCCCTCTCTCTTTGCCCTCCTAAATCTGGATGCTCACTCAGTAGCAGACAGTAATTTCAGATGCACTCTCATCTCCTAAAATATATCCACCTAATGACTCTTGGCTCTCCTGTATCCAGGAACAAAGATTTTAATACCAACCATATGTCAAGTTGTTGGTTAAAGTAATACATTGACTGAAACTTACTTTCAATAAGTATTTTTGAATCAATGAATTTCCAGTAAAGTATAATCAGGTAATGAATCGATGAGTGTCAATTCTTCACAGTCTTAAAGTGTGGAGAAGGCATGAGGTATGCTAAGTTGGAGAGGAGGGGATTGCCACTGAGTCAGGGGTGCAGAAAGGTACTCAACAGAGAGCGGGGGAGCAAGTTGACTTGCAGTTTGGAGTAGAATCAGTACTTTTTTGCTTTGAGCTGAACAGAGGCAAAGATAAGCTCTTTCAGAAGGCATTTTTGTGCATTTAGTATACCGGCCCACTCCATTGTGTATGATTTATAAGGAGTTAATCTCATTTTTAATACGGGCATTTTATTATGAAAGAGCTTTGCTCTCAGGGGATCCGCTAATTGAGATGTCAGTGTATTCTCAATGGTTGTGAATCTTCATCCTTAGAGGATAGATGTAACCTTTTGGAGATAGCCAAAAGTCATTTAGAACCAAGCAGGGTGGGTGAAGCGGGAGATCCAGCTGGGTCATACAGTCTAAGGACAAATCAAAGAGAGACCATAAAGCAAGAAGAGTGATTCTTGTGTGTGGCCCATAAAGAGGTCTGGAAGCGGCTTGAGAGGACTCCAATATGTTTGGCGCAACATCTTTAGAATAAATACATCGGTATTATATTAAGACAAAACTCACAGTCTCATAAAATTTAACATGGAACTGATTGTATCCATATGTGTTTGGGGTACTTTTTTTTTTAGATAACACAGGCATCTTTTAATTACACTCAAAAAGATCTATTTTGTACCATCTATTGTATACTAAGTACTAAGGTAGGCAGATTCTAAACTTCTAGACGAAAGTATGTAAACATATTTAATTTATACATGTAAATTAATGTTGGCCAAGCATTTTCTAATGGGGGAAGCTGGATGAAGTGGCTCAGCTCCACAATAACAGCAAACAATACTATTCCCTGTCTCACTTAGTGGAAATTCCAGGCCATTTCAGTTTCCTACCAAATACTTCTAAAAGTATCCTTTCAAAAGTGTGTTGTTTCTCTTTAAGTGAAAAAAAATGTTTTGGTGAATAATAATCTCAAAAATGATATGGGTGCCAGATTTAGAAAATAAAAATATAAGACATGTTACTTTGACATACTTATACTAAAAAATTATTCATCATTTATCTAAAATTCAAGTTGAAATGGATGTCCTGTATTTTATCTGGAAATGCTACAAAGGAACAAAAAGAGCAGGGAGAGTCGGTGAGAGACCTGAGTGGGAAGTGGGGTCTTTGTGCTGCCTTCAGAGGGAATTGCAGGGTCTCCAGCATTCTTAGAACCGCACAGACAGGTGTGTTTTGGTGGCCCCAGGGAAAGAAGAAAGAGTCTGTGCAGGTGTTGTTTCTGGGAGTTACGGAGGCTGGAGGGTTGAGTGAGGGGTTCAGGGAAAGAGAAGCTCTGGAAACCCCGTGTATGGGGGGTTGTGTGTGTAAAAGAATTGAAAGGGAGAAGAAAGGGGATTTTCCCACATATTGCTGTAGATTATGAATTGGATCCCTTTTAATGTTCCTTGAGAGAACAAGTAAAGATTAAAATTGCTTTTTAAATTACTTTCAGTTAACTGGATTGTGTTTCTTTCAGTGATACTGCACTAAGATTAAGTCATAAATCCTTGGGGATTTATTTGAGTTGCAAACTGTAATTTTTCCTCTTCCCCTCGCCTTCGGTTCCCTGTGGTGGCAAATGCTGCCAGGCTGCCACCCGGGAGGCCACAGCCAGGAGGCTACTAGACAGCTGCCCAGACCAGATACACAACCTCCTCCACCTGCCCCAGGTCTGACTTAGGCTGGTCTCTCCAGCTCAGATCTGTCATGATCCAAGACAGCATCAGGTGAACTCGAGCTTTCCATGTCTAACAGATTCCTAATGAGCCCTGTGTAGCTCAGGTTTCCTGCTTCTAACAAGTATTCAAATTAGCAATATTCTATAAGACTGAACCCATTGAAGTAAGAGGAAAGAGACAAATAAAAGGGGAGAGAGGCTCAGCTGGAAGCTTAGAGCCCTTTAAATGACAAAAACAAAACAAAACAAAAAACAACAGCAAACTTCCTCCCATCCGGCTCAGTTGGTCTCCTGGTAAACTCTAACCAATGGCACTCTTTGGAATTGATTCACCTGCTGCCTTGACTGTCACCATTGACTTACTTGTGTGTCGCAGTATGTCTTGGCTTGTGTTTCTCTCCATGTGTTTCACCATAGTATCTAAATTATCTAGGTGATTGAATCTATGTGTTTTATTTCTCATTTGTTTTCAGAGATTTGTATTTCTTCCTGTTTCTACTACTCATGGCAGTTTGCACCAATTCCTTAGAAGAAATACCTGTCTCAGAGTATGATTAAAGTTCATTTTTAAATGCTAACGATGAATTTAAGAAAAGTTCTGACATACTCCTGAGAGTACATAGGTACTATTATTTTCCAATGGTTTTGCTCTCTTTAAGTTTTCTTTCCCCATTGATTTTTTCCTTTTTTCTTATAATAAATGTGTATTTGACATTTGCTGAAATTCCAGATATGAAACCAGAAATGCCAGATGCTCTTCTTGCCATTCAACAAACCTCTCACTCTTGCCTGAAAAGTTAACAGGGAACAATTATTGTGACAGAGTAATTTGCAACCATGATAGGACTTTGTGAATTGGCAAAGAATTTTCATCGACACCAGTAGGTGCTTAGGAAGGAGGCTATTTTAGTTTCTAAATTCACACCTTTTTTGTAAACTCAATTTTCAGCGGGAGAAAGTGATTCTTTCACTAGTTTATCTAATTTCTTAGAGCATTCTTAAACTGCATCTCTTTTTTCTTGATGAGAGTCAGCGTTTCATGGAGAAGATGCAGGTAGCTACCGACTCCATGTGATTTGAGGGGTGGCCAAACGGCAGGTTTATTTGGCAATATCTCTACCACAGACCTATCTTCCTTTAAAGAAAAGAAATCCTCACCAATAAAAATTCTTTAACATCTCCTTTATCTTTGTGTCCCAACAAGAGACACATAGACACAACTAGGCACTCATTGAATGCATGTTTGTAGAATGCCATTGAGTTACCTGTAGGCAAAGGACAATTGAATTAGTAAACAAACAAATATGCTTAAAAGCTGAGAATGAGGGCTTTGAAGATTTCTACAGGTTCTCTGTTTCTCTCATCCACCATGGCTTGTATAAACTAACATAAATGAATGAAGGAAAAATGAAAAGGCTCATCAAATTTGTGGATGACTGTTGAGGAATATGGAAAATGACTATATCTGGAGTCTAAATGTTTTTGACAGGTGATAGCAATAATGAGCTGACTAAACTGATCAGATTTAACAGGAACAAATAAAAGGTCTTGCAATTGTGCTAGCAAATCTAAATGTACATAGGCAAGGCAAGAGTGGCCTAGGCTTAGCAGTCTGTGTAGTCAATAGGAAGTTCAATATTTTCTAGATCTACCTTATGGAATGTAATATTCAAGGATGAGCTGAAAATAAAAACCAACAGGAGAACCAAAAGCAAAAGTCAGTGGCTACAGAGGCAGCCAGGACACAGTTTAAAGAACAGGTCAAGGAAAGCTACTTGATGCAAAATCTGTGAATGACAACTTGGTGCTTAGCTTTCTCTCAACTGGGTTCTCTAGAAGGTAAAGCTAGAGGCAAGAATTAAAGTACAAAAACCCAGGGTGTTTGGGAGTGAAGGAAAAAGGGATATAAGGAAAAGGAATACACAATGTTATGCATTTCTACATTGGCCCTGCTTCAGAAGTCAAACAGGACTTCTCCAGAAGAGAAGCAAGAAGGGAGAAGGGATGGGGAATTTATCTGGCTCTTTGCTTTCTCTTGTTTCCTACTGGGCAAGATTGAAATGAGGTCGCTCTCACTTTCAGGTTGCATTGTGCAGCCCCTTGGTGGCAACTCATGAAACCAGATACACCAGGGTGACTTTTCAACCAAGATTAGAAGTAAAGGAACAAGTCAGCATGGATTGGGGGCGCTGACCAAGAAAGACAAAGATAGAGGTAATCAAGGTGTCAGAGGCGTTTGAACAAGAGCAACTCCATCTTGAATTGGGCTGGGTAAAATAAGGCTGAGACCTGCTTGACTGCATTCCCAGGAGGTTAAGGCATTCTTAGTCACAGGATGAAATAGGAGGTTGACACAAGATACAGGTCATAAAGACCTTACTGGACGGGCACAATGGCTCATGCCTGTAATCCCAGCACTTTGGGAGGCCAAGGCTCGCAGATCACCTGAGGTCAGGAGTTCAAGACCAGCCTAGGCAACTTGGTGAAACCCCATCTCTACCAAAAATACAAAAATTAGCCAGGCGTGGTGGCATGTGCCTATAATCCCAGCTACCCAGGAGGCTGAGGCAGGAGAATCACTGGAACCCAGGAGGCAGAGGCTGCAGTGAGCTGAGATCATGCCACTGCACTCCAGCCTGGGCGACAGAGCAAGACTCTGTCTCAAAAAAAAAAAAAATGCTGATAAAACAGGTTGCAGTAAAGAAGCCAGCTAAAACCCACCAAATCCAAGATGTTGATGAGACTGGCCTCTGGTCATCCTCACTGCTACATTCCCAACAGTTCCATGACAGTTTACAAATGCCATGACAACATCAGGAATTTATCTTATATGATCTAAAAAGGGAAGGCATGAATAATCCACCCGTTGTTTAGCATATAATAAAGAAATAACCATAAAAATGGGCAACCAGCAGCCCTCAGGGCTGCTCTGCCTATGGAATAGCCATTCTTTTATTCCTTTTCTTTCTTAATAAACTTGCATTCACTTTATTCTATGGACTCGCCCCGAATTCTTTCTTGTGCAAGATCCAAGAACCCTCTTCTGGGGTCTGAATGGGGACCCCTTTCCAGTAGCAAAGAGAAGCTGAAAGACCCACGAAACTTTGTCCAATAGAGGACCCTTTTATCCAGTTTCCAGAATGAGGAAGATAGGCTGACAGGGCCACAGGAGGAAAAGGAAAGTCAATAATATGGCCTCCAAAAGAAGCAGTGGTCACCGTCTTAAGCCACACCATGGATGTAGTGGCTTTTCTGTCTCAGCCAAATAATGTGAAAGACTCAGTGTTATTTAGTCTCTTACCACACAGCACTTACAGCCTGTGTTCCTTTCAAAGGCTTATAAAAATGTTTTAAGACCTCAAAAGATTTACCGTTTCTAAAATATAAAACTGATAGATTGAAATTAATGTTTAATTAAACATCTACAAAATGTAACATGATGTCAACTTCATTATTTGTTATATTTAGTGTTCATAAAAATTTCATTACATTTGAAAACAATTTGTAGGTTAGATTTTCTCATTTTATAAGAATTTCTGAGTATGCACGATGCCTGCCAAGAAATCATTGCCAATCATAAATTAACTGAGTCACTCTTGATAAAATTTTTTTCAAAAGATTGTTTTAAAATCCTTTCAAAAATTTTATGATAAGAAATACATTTCATGTGGGATATCAATGTACTTTACTATATTTTATGTGATGTAGTGAAGTACCCAAAAGAAAGTGTTACCACTAAGAGCTATTTGCTTTCATATATAAGGGAGATGGTCTTCTCTACTATGAACAAGGTAGAGACAATGCACTATCTTCAATTCCAGTTGCTACCCCTTAAACACACACACACACATACACACACACACACAGTCTCAAACTGGAGGTTTGGGGGTCAACGTTTGTTCAGATAGCCCACCTAGCGCATACTAGCTGTGTGAACCAAGATCACTTACTTTATGAGCCACGCAGTTCCTCGTGGCTAATACAGGCCTTGCAGGATAGTTAGGACTAATACTCACCTAATACTAACCTTGCAGAATAGTTAGGATTATTATAGAACCCAGTCCAGGACCAAATTTGCAGTGGATCCTCAATAACTATCATTAGTAATAATATTTTCCTTGTGAAGTCTAGAGGAGGAGAACCAAATTACAGAAGTTTCTGTGTTTTGTAAAAAGTTGAGAGAACTGAGAGATTTTAGATTGAAGAAGAGACATGAACACAAATGGACTGAAGACTCCTTATGGGAAGATACAGGTCTATTCAACTTTGAATAAGACACTATAGACACTATAAGCTGCAAACTGAATAAATTCATAAGTTAAAGATAGCTGGATTTTAATACATAATATCTATAAGATAGAACAGGGATTGAACTTGTGTTTTTTGGTTCTAGGGGGCAGACCAGGACCAGTGGTTCAAAGTTACATAAGAAGCCAGTATCTCCTTATGATGGGAACAGGAGGCAGAGAAATTCTAGGCAGAAAAGGAAGGGGTCCCTGGTGAAGCCCCACCCTCAAGCCTAGAACCGTGGCCCAAAGTGAGAACATCCCCATTTTCCCACTCAAATGTTGCCTTTTCCAAAACCACCCTGGCCCACCCCGTCCCCCATCCCATACCCATAAAAACCCCAGGCTCCACTGGCAGAGGAGCAGCAGAGAAGGAGAGAAGAGAAGCAGCCAGACGTCAGAGAGAAGCAGCTTGACTTCAGAAGGATGGCTTGACGGTGGGACTTTGGAGAAGAGCCTGGTCAGGGATGGCCAGACTCCAGGGGAAGACCACCTGCCTGCTCCACCCCCTTTCCAGCTCCCCTTCCCACTGAAAGCCACTTTCATCAGCAATAAAATCCTCTGTATTCACTACTCTCCAATTCGTTCATGTGACCTGATTCTTCTTGGACACCAAACAAGAGCTTGGGAGCCACGGATGTGGGCAGTTGAGTTGTTTAACACTTAAGCTATCCATGGATGGCAAAGCTAAAAGAGCACTGTAACGTATGCCCTCTGGGGCTCCAGAAGCTGCTGTGAGGCTGCACAGAGTTCTGCTCCTGCCAGTGCCCAGAAACACTTGTCCTGGCTCCTGCACCCACTCACCTGAGTGCTCCCCCTCCCGTGAGGGGTTAACTGCAGCAGGCTGAGTAAGCGAGGTGCCCCAAGGGGTCACGGAAAATTTCCTGTTTCACTTATTTTAAAGAACAACTTTATCACAATTAGAAGTGGCCAAAACTAGAATGGGCTTCCTCACGGAAAAGTGCATTTCCTATAAATAGAGGTATGGAAGAGAGACTGGAAAGAATTGAGGGCTAGACCAAATGATACCTGCACCCCTTCCAACAACTTTGACCTTTCTATTACCATCTCAGCTTAGATCAAACAATAACCTGATTGTCAGTAGGTTCTCAATTATAATTCCCAACCTCACCATGCTAGCACTGAACAATCAGATGAGATCAGGCCTCTGGTACGGGCCCAAAGAGAAAAACTTGCTAGCCTGTTGTTGAACTCCCACCCAAATGGATATGAGATGCCAGGAAAAAGAATGTCCATTGAGAAGCTATTCTTGCTTGTCTTGGCTGCTTTCTGTTCAGTTATGAACATAAGTTTCACGGAAACCATAAGCATTTAATAAAATACCTTAGGTAAGAGTAAAAGAGAAGCTGCCCAAACTCTCTGCATTATGGTCAGGAATTCTTGGATTAAATAGAATTCAATCTAAGTGCTGGCTGAATTGTGTAGTGATGTATAAAAATCTTTTTGAACAATAGTTAATGTGTTCATGTTGTCAAAAGACAATATAGTTAAAATGAGGAGCAATCTCAGTTATGGTGCTTAAAATCTGCTTTATCTGGGAGAACATTGTAAAGTGTCTAAGGTTATGACTTAGTTGCTTGGCTCCACTTAATATCTGTAGACACTGGGTGCCTCTTTTTGACTGCTTTACATTTGATACTGACAAATTTTTAGTTATTTCTGTAAAGGATAAAGCCAATCTGGATAAACTAGGTCACCATTGTACAAACAGTCATGGCCTGAAATAAGCAATAATTAACCAAAAAGGGCCAGACAGACATGGAAGTTGTATGTGCTGTGCCTTCACTTGTGTATTTTAAAGTTTCCTTTCTCTGCTGTGCTCACTCTTTCCTCCCCCATCCTCATCAATGTGTCGCTGATTTTGGACTCATGAAATAGGGCCAGGGCCGTTTCAGGCAGCACTACAGGAGACTTCTCATTTGGGCCTGTTTATATTTTGCCAAGGAAAACTGCAGTTGAATTGTGACCACGTGTTTCTTTTTTTTTATTTTTGGCCCAGTCACGGAGAAGAAACAGGCTTTCTAGCTGGGCAAACACCCAGTACATCAATGCAGCTCAGAATGCCTTCATTTTTCCTCTTTGTGTTGGGAAAGCGGTAGCTCTGTGCCTATGGTAAGCTGTATCTAGTTCAATGAAAAGTCCGAGTGACTTGGGTCCAGCTCCTGAACCAATGCTCTCTCTCACTGCCTGCGTCTGGGTGAAAAAATATAACTTTACCTCTCTGGGTCTTTGATGCTAATCTGCAAAACTCCAGTAAAAATCCCTGTCACCATCATTTCATAAAGAAGGGAGGAGAATGGGTGTGAAAATGTGCTCCAAGGAAGCCCCATGTTTCAGCCTTAATACAACTTTTTCCAAAACATCTGTCCTGAATGTAGGAAGGTGATTCCACTGAGAAATGCCTTGAGTTGTTTTTCCAGCAGGGGAGGGGAATTTGTGCTGTGTCATTCTCACTCTCTCACCTGGTTTCCCCAGGGACAAGGCGGGCTGAGTTTGGGGTACAGTCCAAGTCTAGGAAACAGTCTTTTTTTTTCCCCATTGTATGAAGCTAATTGGCCCTTGCGGAAACTGGACCCATTCCCTTGGACTAATTAACACTATTGCCTATTAGCTCCAGCTGAACGAACTTCCTCAAACTTACATTCATTTTATTTAGTACATAGCAATTTGCATTTTTAAAAGATAACCTGCCCATAGCCTCTAGCCACTAAATATGCCTCAAATTCCATATGCACCCATATGCAGTACAGATTGAACTTCACACTCTGGCTCCGAAAGTGTTAGAAGCTATTTAAAACTTGTTAATTTGTCAGTGTGGCATAGGTGGGGGTGGGGTATGGGTGGAGCCCTGACTCTGCCACTAACTAAATGACCTTCCTGGAGTAAGTGATTAGCCTCCCAGGACCTGTTTCCTCTTCTTTAAAGTGAGGGAGTTGACTAAATGATCTCTAATGCCCATTCTAGGTTTAAAATTCTATGATCTTTACAATTAGATGTTTTGAGAGCATGCAGCTTCATTAATAAATGGTAGTATTCACTGCCAGTGGGAGAGTAACACTCAGTTAATAAGCGTGCCTCCTCCTCATGCTCCATACACATAATTCTTAGTGAAAGTTAATGGGAATTAGAAACATCACTAGCAAAACAATCAATGCCAGCCCTTTAACCAGTGACCTCCTGGTCTGTCATTTTGTTGCCTGTATCTGATCGTCCTTTCATAACTCGGGAGACCTGAACCCTGAGCAAAATGTGCTGAAGGAGATTGACATCAGGACACACTGACCTCTGTGAAGAAGTGTGTTCTTGTCAAAAGCCAAGTCCTCAAGGCAGAGCAGAAGCAGCCAAGATAGATGGAGGAAAGGTGCATGCATTGTACCCCATTCTTAATGGGGTCAGAAGTTCAGTTTCAACTGAGATGCACTGAAGGGAATCTGCTGGATGATCGCAAAGCGAGGTTTCATAATGTGCTCTTCTCATAAGGTGTTTTCCGTACCCCATTGCCACTACGCACAGTGTGATTTGCCACTTAGGTTATTAGATCAATAGGATCTGATAATGAATTTTACATAAATCTATGTTATCTAACCAATACCACATCATTTCAGTTAAATTTCCTGGCTTATTTATACACAGGAAATTGGCAAAACCACAGTCTCAGATAACGCCTCCCCTAAAGCCCTCGATTGTTCTCTAGCAGTTTGGATGGCTGAGTGTGCACCATGGTCACGCAAAATCTGCTGTGATTTTCTTTCCTGCAGGAACCAAAGACAGCAAACAGGAGGAGCACATGTGACAGAGCCTTTCCTGCCTAGCCCCGGCTGGACACTATCTGGGATTTCTCACTGTTCCCTGCATTCTTACCCTTGACCCCTTGGTGCTATCCAGTTCCCCCTGTGTCAGGTCCCTCTGAAAGCTGCGATTTCCTCTCCTGACAGGCAGCAGGAAGGGGAGAAAGCTGCAGGCCAACCTTTGCTCTGAAAGAACTGAAAGGTTATTAACAAAGGGAGCATTGACAGGGTGTGCTCAGGAAATATTGATAAAGTGAGAGAGAGAATGAGGAGAGAGAGAGATGCCTTCCCAGCCTTCACCACTCCCACCATCTTTCTTTCTCTCTTTCCTCTCATCTCTCTCTCTCTCTCTCTGCAGCCTGAGATATTATGTACACTATTTTAAAGGCTGGCCCAAACAGACTTCTATAATACCTCTTAACCTTATTGCAGAATGATTCCCAGCTAAAAACTCTGACAGATGAAGTTATAGGTTCCTTGTCAATAAAATGGGAATAATATTAAAACCTACCCCATAGGAAGTAAATGAATCGATGTACAGTACAGGGCTTAGAATACAGCCTGACATAAAATAAGTACTTTAGAAGTGTGAGTTACTGTTAGTGTATCATTAATTATGAATTATCATGTGATCTTAGGAAAAGTAGCCACACCACAATAACAGACAATTTCCTGCCTTAATTTTGCTCACATGATGGACAAGAAGACCTGCAACTTTGAGGAGCTGCAACATAAATGTGCTCCCATAGCCCTTGCTCATTGCCTTTATATCTATTCTTGCTAACTCTAACTCTTTTCTGAAATCTTTGCCTGGATAGACACTGATCTATTCAACTTTTGCAGCTTGCACTTGTTTTTATTTTTAAAATATATTGAGGCCAGGCATGATGGCTCACAGTTATCATCCTAGCTCTCTGAGAGTCTGAGGCAGGAGGATCACTTGAGGCCAGGAGTTCAAGACCAGCCCGTGCAGCATAACAAGCCCCTGCCTCCATAAAAAATAAAAATTAAAAAAAAAAAAAAAACCTGCCTGGATGTGATGGTTCATGCCTGTAGTCCTGGCTACTTGGTAGACCGAATGGTGAGGACTGCTTGAGTCCAGGAGTTCAAGATTGCCGTGAGGTATGATCACACCACTGCATTCCAGCCTAGGCAACAGAGCAAGACCCTGTCTCTAAAAAATAAAGATAAAATTAAAATATATTGTATTTTTATATATATATGTGTGTGTGTGTGTGTGTGTGTGTGTGTGTGTATATATATATATATGGAGAGAGAGAGAGAGAGACAGAGAGAGCAAAAGCACAGGTACAAAGGCAGAAAAACTGGATCTAATCTCAACCCAGATATTTACCAGGTAATTAACCCTGGACAAGTCCTTTTGTATTTCTGACTGAGCTCCTCATTTGTAGAAGAGCATAATAATGTTTACCCTGACTGCCCCATAGCATTGTCATGATTCAATAGACACTATAATATGTAAAGACATTGGGAAGTATAAATCACTATATGGAAATATAAGCAGAGTCTAGACTCTTGAGTTAGTTTTTATGCAATGGTTATAGCTCAACACTTGTTACACGGTCTTTATTGATAATGAAGATTTGTCACCAGGCCTAAAAATCATTAAATTACATCTCATCATACCTGCGTCATATCCGTCACACTCAAAAACCTCCAGCTAGTCATGCAAAGAAAGCTTAGTTGTTCGATACCCTGCAACACCACCATTTACTAACTCTGATGTCAGCTTTTTCTTCCCCACTAAATTTTAGCACTATAATCATGCTGCAAACTCTGTCTGTTCAATGGAGGTTTTTACCCTTTGCCTTTAATGTAAAATGACAGCCAAATCTTCAGAAGGTTTGGTGTTAAGATTATGTCTTTTACATTCCTACAGTCTCTGTTGTTTAGTTCAGCTTGTCACGCTGTCAGATAAAGGCCCATGGAGCGTTCTACAGGAATTATTAATGAAGATTTGACCGGTTTTTCTTCTGGAAACAGATCACTTCACTTTTCATCTCACTGCTTTTTACATTAACAAACTAAAAATAGCCATGAGTATTCCAGGGAAGAAATTACCAATATTTGGCAGTATATTTCTTGCTTTCCAGTTGTTAGATTTGGTTCTTTGCCTAGTTAGGACACAGATAAATGTGTAAATCTTAATAGCATAATCCCCAAATTAGTATCCCTGTATCTTTACTCAGAACATGAAGAGCTAAATCTGATTTCAAAACACCTTGTTTTAAGCATAGGCCTTACTTGGCTTGCCCTGGAAAACAGACATTTAAACACAAAGTTTGATGACGATGGCTTTAGGAAAGTGGCCCACACTGAATTCACCAGCCCAATTGCTGTCCTTCTGCAAACATCCATTCAGAACGACATTGACAAGTGAATCTCTGCCAACTACCGTCTTGTAATCCACACTGCTCTTGTTTATGTGTGCAAATTCACTGTGGTTTGTTGCAGTTCTCTGCTCTGTAGAATCCATTGTAGCCCATCTTCATCTGAGCTCCTCTTTAACAGAGAGAGCCACGTGTGTCAGAATATCATATGGATGAAGTTTGACATCTTTATTCGTCTTCTATTTATGGGATGAACGTACAGTTAAAAGGTGGCTTGAGACCATCAAACCCACATCTAGCTGTGATCTAAGTGGAATTTAACGTAGGTCTCCTGAGGTGAAGGGAGAAATGAAGGAAAGAAATGAAGTGCCTGTTTCAATTTAATACTTTAGGCCAATTTTTTTTTTTAAGAGAAAAAAAATCAAAGGGCTGGGACCTTCCTTGGCCCCCTGAAGTTTTAGGGTTTCAGATGCTCAGAGATACAATCTGCACAATTTCTTGGCATCTGTTTTTTCCAGACAGTATATTACCACTATAAAGTAGCCTGAACAGTGGGGTCCTCCCTACTGGGGGCCCACTTCAAAGGCAATGTTTGATGTCCCCTGATGCTGCCTGTGGGTGAAAGCGCAGATTGTTGTGTTTCATTTATTAATTACTTAAAACAGAAAAATAAAAGCCAATTTTCTTCTAAATTTCTCTCTGTCTACTTTGAGTTAACATCCTCCAATCTGGTTTTTGTCATACACGAGTAATTTTAGTTCCAAATACTGGTATGATGTCATTATTTAACACCTTTTTATCTAAGGATATTGGCGTGTCTTGCAAAAGAGTATGTTGCTGCTTTGTCCTCTATTTAGAAAACAAACATTGAGAAACTAAGAGAGACCACTCCACTATTCCAAAATCACACCATACACATAGTTGGAGATAGGAAGAAAGCCCGGATTTCTTATTCAATTTCATCAGAAAAGGAGACGTCTTCCCAGAACACTGGCAACTCTGGAATCCCCCTGAAACCCAAAGAAGAAAAATGTCCCCCTACTTCCTCATGAACCAAATGTTCCACCAAGCTTTACTTAGAATTAGTTATTTCACTCCAAACCCGGTCTGCTTTTTGCTGAATATTTTCTCAAAACTAAAGCCAGTCAACAGAGTTCTCTCTGGTGTGAAGCAAAACAAAAACAATCCAAAGTTTTTATGTTGTCACCAGACAAAAATTTGCTAAGAACAAGCAGAAATGAGGAGTTAATGGATCCCATATGTGGCCACTAACATAGGTTTATGAGATTTTCCAAGAGATTTCTGAAGATTCCTATAGCACAAAGGAAGATCAAACAGCCACTTTCCTGTCAAACAGGGCAAAAAATGCTCCATCCATAGTTCCCCCTGCATTTATTTTGGTAAACCTGGAAAGAAAAGGTGGCTGCAATATCTGCCTTACAGGGAGCTGACCACAACATGTGGTATACTGGAGCAGGAAAGAAGGTCCTTAAAGACGTCACCTGTGTCCTCACAGCACAAGCAGACCTGCCCTTAGAGCCCACTGCTTGGTATGAGATGTAGCCTCTGGGGGAGGGCTGAGCAACGGAGAGGGAGAGCTGGACAATTTTCTTCATCCGGGAAAATTGCACACACACAAAAATAGCTGCTTTCTTCAAATGTCAATCAGCTCCTTCAAGTTTCAAGCTTCACTGAGGGGTCAGAAGAGGCATTTCCTCTACACATATTTCAGTATCACATCGGGACGTTCAGCCACACACAGCTTCCGGCACGGGGGCTGTGGTTGTGTTGGAGTTAACCACACAGGGCACAGGGTGAGGGAGTTGTCGTTGTTGTTCTTGTTTCTGTTGTTGTGATGGAGGCGGGGCAGCTGGTGGGGTTAAAACGGTTTCCATTATTATTATTTTCTTTCCCCCTTTGTGTGCTATGAACTCTGAACTAGACAAATGAGAACTATCTCCCCTGTTATTAGTAGAATGTCTTCTGTGAGCAAATTCCAACCACTAGAATGTCCGTGTGAACTGCAAAGGCAACCACAACAGTTTTGGAAACTGGGGATGATTGTGGGGCTCCTGGACCGCTGCCCTCCGCCCTGCAGCAGGGAAACAGAACACCCTAGACAGGTGGGGAAGGAGTGGATGGGGGTGAGTCTGCAGGAGAGGAAGCCTGGCCGAAATGTGCTTTTGGATAAAATGTCCCGATTAACCAAGAGCACACAAAATGTGCAGACTGGCAGCACAAGGCCTTAAGCACCCGCAAAGCACGCTGAGTCTTTGGGCTGCTCTGTGACAGGGAGATGTGTTTACCCCAGACAAGTTCACCAGTCCGACAGCCGCCTGAGGCCAGTTGGAGAGGAGGTTGAAATGTTCCACAGTGTGAAGAGTCAGCGCGATCTGTAGAGATAATGGAGCATTCGGTTTGACATCCAAAACTGGTGTATCCAGGAGGAGCGGGATTCTTGCTGGGAGGAGAGACAGTAATTGTTTTTAGCAAGACAGATAAGACATTCCGGTTTCTGTAGATTCCTCCCCAACCAGGAAACAACTGCCTCCAATGTCAGTGCTAAATATTGAAATCAAGGTGTGCAAATGCCTCAGCTTCTCTCCACCGCCTGCTGCATGATTACTTTCAAATAAGAATGTCCTTCCTTCTTAATTTTACACTTAGATAGGTAAAAACATCATCAATTTTAGCAGACTGTTTAGTTTTAATCTGATCAAAACAATCATTCACTAAGAACCTTCTAAGAGATTATAGGAAACATTAATTGTGTAGCTGGACTGGGATACGACTGGAGGGAGGCTTGTAAATAAATCCTAGGACTTGAGTCCAAGAAATATAAAAGGAGAGAGAACACAGAAGCTAGTGCAGATAGATGCCTGATGTCTCCTTTTAGGTGAGAGCATAGAAACATGTAGAGCTTGTTTCCTCTGAGGTTAGATACCGTTTAGTCCTTCCTTGGGTATTCCCATTTACGGCTGTGGTCAAGTGAATCAGCCACAGACGTTACTATTACTTAAAAAGAAAACCATTTTCTCTACATTGGTGCTAGTTCCAAATTGTGTCTGTGTGATCGTCCCTCCCTCAGCCATCTCATTTCCAGGGCTGACAAATATTTAGCCTACATAAATACACATTTGGGGAGATCCTACGCCATTTCTCCCTCCTCGTGACCCAACTCGTATTCTTCAAAACATCAAACAAAACAATTCGCAGAATAAAGTTGCCTTCCGAAAGAGGGATTTCCCCCTCCAGTTTCCCTCCCACTTCCACTAGGTCAGTCTGTCTTTCTTCCCTCCTACTCTCCTATACCCCTTCACCCTCCCCAGCAAACTCTGGAAAAACAGTAGTAACTAACATTTGTGCCTTTGGCAATAAAACCACAGGCCTCACAAACCCCAAATGGCAAAAAGACATTTCCATTCCAATCCCAGTTTTAAATTAAACTGTAATGAAAAATCAGCAGTGGCAGCTGGGACCAGAGACACTGATTGTCTCTAGGAACAAAAAGGAGGGGAACAGAGGGGGAGAGGAAAAAGAAAAGAGACTGCAAGGAAGCCTCGCTCTGGTAATAAAGCAGCTGGTAAACCTTCAAGTAAAAAGAAATTAGAAAAACAAATCTAGTGCAGAGACAAGCAAAGATGGCTGTTTTCCTCTACAATCACAGTGAGGCAGACCACAAATCACCCTCCACTTTATGAATGGACAGGAGGGGGTGGGGTGGGAGGGAAGATGAGTGGGCCTGTGCTGACACCTGGAGGAAGATTAGGGAAATTCTCGGGGGGTTGGTCCCACCCCCACATTCCGTGAATGAGTGGGGATTTTGGCTTTCTCAGTGGTCATAGTCAATACTGAGGCTACAAGGAAAAATAAGAAGACCTCATTGCCTTCTTAAAAAATATTTTTAATTGATAAATAATAATTGTACATATTTTTGGTGTACATGTGATACTTTCATACATGTATACAATGTGTAATGATCAAATCAGGGCATTTAGGATATCTAAACCTTAAATTTTTATCATTTCTTTGTGTTGAGAACATTTTAAAACTTCTTTTCTAGGTATTACAAAATATACACTATTTTATTCTTTATCAGAAAAAAAATGCATTGAAGAAACCATTTGACTTCAACATGAGGGTTAGAACAATTCATGTAGCTAAACTGAACCCAACTGCGCAGGCTTAACTTTGATTTTAAAAAATACATGGCACAGGTATCTTCATCAGACATGAGAAAAGAATACAGCATTTGAGTATTTCATTCTATAGTCTTTAAAGCTTGCAAGATTCTGCAGATCTTTCAGCATATAATTTATAAATATTTTCTGATTGGTGGTGATCAGAAATCTAGAAAAAAACCTGTACTAACCTATAAGGACCAAAGATGCTTCCAAGAGGGGAAGCAGTTAAGGATCAAGATAGTGAGTGGACTTAGAGGTAACAGGTAAGAATTAGAGACTGGAAAACCAATAATCCTAAACCTTATTTTGTTCCCAGACCTCTTTAAGAACCTGATAAAATTAGTAAACCCTCTTCTGAAAAAAAAAAAAAAAAAAAAAAAAGATGTACCTAGGAAGACTGCAATCCACCCTTGATGAAAACTATTCGGATCCCAACCCAAGAAGAAATTCAGAGAAAATATAAAATGTATGATGGCCTATTTAGAGGTCAAATGAGATTTCTTTATAAAAGGAAAATTGTTGTGATTAAAAATACACAAGATCTGTACCGAATAAACAGCCTCTTCAGAGTATGCCCTTGTGATTGTGACTTTGTCTGGAAACTTGGCAGATACTGGGGAGACTCTGAAGAGGGTCATCAGCACCAAATGGCAATGCCAAATGAATTTACTATTTAAGTAATAGCCAGGTACGGTGGCTCGTCTCTGTAATGACAGGACTTTGGGAGGCTGAGATGAGAGGATCACTTGAGGCCAGGAGTTCGAGAACAGCTGGGCAACATAGCGAGACCCAGTCTCTGATTAAATCTATAAGAAATTAAAATTATTTATTTTAACTAACCAGATGTTGTCTGTCAAGCACCTCGCATATAGAGCTGAGTGTGAGGACAGTAAGGCTCTGGATGACCCTTTGGATGGACAGTAAGTTCATTAACTCTGTCCTAGTCACTGTGAGCCTGGCTGACATTTATCGACTTTCCTAATAAGAGCTATTGATTTGTTACTAGTATTTTTTAAAAAAAATTTAGATTTGGCTGTTATATTCTGGTCCTTTTTGCTAAACTCTTTGTTTAGCAAAACAAACAAAACAAAACAAATGGCTTTGGAGGCCGGGCAGTGGCTCATGCCTGTAATGCCAGCACTTTGGGAGGCTGAGATGAGAGGATCATTTGAGGTCAGGAGTTCGAGACCAACCTGACCAACCTGGTGAAATCCCGTCTCTATTAAAAATACAAAAATTAGTGGGGTGTTGTGGTACATGCCTGTAATCCCAGCTACTCGGGAGGCCAAGGCACAAGAATCGCTTGAATCTGGGAGGTGGAGGTTATAGTGAGCTGAGATCGTGCCACTGAACTCCAGCCTGGGCAACAGAACAAGATTCTGTTTCAAAAAACAAACAAATAGCTTTGGAAGACTGGGTGAATGAAAGTGTCTTCAGCCCCACCCTTTTGATGTAGTTAATTAGTTCATTCTCGCATATTCTACTCATCTCCTACTTTCTCTTCTTACCTCCTTTTTACCACTTGAGTTTTGATCTCTATATTATCATTAGAAGATGATGAGGGAAAAACAGAGAGAAGAAATCCTCAACTTCCTTAGAAGGGTTGGTTGCAGAAGAAAGTTGTAAAACTTCACAGAAACAACTATAAGGCTTAAATCAGGAAAACTGAAAAAATAAAAAGAATAATTTATTTCATTGTGATGGCAATGCTGTGGGGTTTTTCCACACCAGATTTAGCCATGTGCTGTGATATATGTCAAAGCTTATTTCTACCTGTTTCACTGAATAGCATTCAAGTATGCTTTTGCATAATATAGCGTCTTCCTAGTAAATGAGTACTGTGCAGGATCAAGCACTTTTATTTATAACTTTTTCTTTATGGCTTTCTGAGCTGTAACTAAAAATACCTGAAGAATGTTTTAAGACCTTTGCTCCTCCCCAGTCTCTGATTTTTGTGGTTGTTTTTTTTTAAATTTAGGGTTTGAGCAACTAAACCAAAACATCACATGAATCAAAGGTTTCTCTTTACCTTTACATTTCCCAAACATTAAATAAATCCTAATTTTCTCAGCTCCCAGTCTGTGAGAAATTGTTTACACACACAGTATAAAGAATGCAATCAGGCCCTTTCGTGGTGGTAGAGATGGGGAAGGCATTTAAACCTACAGAAGATAAATCCTCTATTGCTGAAGCCACATGGTGGTAGATGAAATATGAATTAGGGAGTCAGGCAGAATTGTATTCTAATCTCTGATTTGCTGTATACAGGGCTTGAATTTTTGCTAAGTTCCTTAACTTCTTTGAGCTCGTGTTTCCTTATCAACTGGGGAGAATATTAACTTACCAAAATGTGCTCAGTATTTTATTAATATCTGTTTTCCTCCCTAGAATGTAAGTTTTCCGGGGCAGGGACATGTCTGACTAATTCACTGTTGGGCTCCACAATCTGGCCAGGGTAGGTGTTCCTCACGTATGTGTTGAATAAAGATTGCACATTTTGTGGCATTTAATGGCATATAGCAAATTTTACTTTAAGTTATAATTTAACCTTATTATAGCTAACATTCATAGAGCCATTTTCAATATTTTGGACACTCTGCTAAGGACTTGACATATATTTAGTTTTTCACCGAAATCCAATGAGTTACCACTTCCGTGTTATAGAGGAGGAACTGAAGATTTAAACCCACATGTCTGGCTCCAAAGTCTTTACCCATAACACTCCATTACTGTCATGGCGGCAGGCAGTGTGGGGGGCAGTGGGGAAGAAGGATTCATCAAAGTAAACGGTAAATGTTGGAGATGAAAAAGAATCAGAGCCCCTCACTGGTCTTTTCACAGCGTTAACGGAAGGCAGCCCTATAAACAGTCAGTCCTACTTGTTTCCCACCCAAAGCCCAGAGAAGGCTGAATGAAGACAAAGGCAAAATTGTGACACAGGGAATTTTCCTCTCAAGACCCTCCTCACTCCAGCAACCTCCAGCTCCAGCCTTGCCAAGGGTCTTCCTGTTCACTTTGAGTCAACTCCGAGAACCCTCTGGAACCACTGATCTCTGTTTCTGAGAGAGTATGACCCTACGCTGCTTTTGAAAGATGAATAATTTCCCCAAATGAATATCAACTTAGAAACAAAATCATTCTGAGAAATTAACCTCTGAAGGTTGTAACTTAGCTGCACTTTCTTTCATTTTCTCTTTTTTCCCCAAAAAATTTCCACTAGAGAAGAAGCACTGTTCTTAATTAAAGTTACTGTCAGAGACCACAAATGGCTTTTTATAATGGCTTCTAAACCTGAAACACCATGGGATACACCTTTATATTATTTCTGAATTATAGCAAAGGGACTGAAATCTTTTCTCATAGTGTGAAAGTTTAAATAATATTATGTTTACTAATGCACTGTGTCCAAAACCAATAGAGACCACAGTGGTTATGTAGAATTCAAACACATAAAATCCATACATCTGTGGGAAGTAGTAGCACATGCTGTACTTTAAAAATATAACCCTGTATGCATATGATAGTTCAGTCTTACATCAGTTCCCAGTGATCTTCCCCATAGAAGGATTTATTAGCAGTGTTTCTCAAGGTGTGTTCTGGGTCTGACCTGCATTAGAATTATCTGCACTGGAGTCACCTAAGTGCTGGTTAAACACACAGATTCCTGAGCCCCACTGAAATACAACAAAATTAGAAACTCTAGGGTAGGAACTTGGAATCCTCATATTTGAAAAATATCCTTCAATGACTTTTAATTCATGCCAAAAAGTCTGACAACCACTGATATATAGCATAGTGTACTTAAGAGCACAGACTTTGGAATCAGCCAGCTTTGGGTTTAAACCTCAGTTGCCTCATCTATCGAATGATGGGTATCATACCTACCTTCTCAGTCTGTTGTTGGGATTAAGCGAGAGAATACATGAGGGGCAGAGCCAAGCATGTGATGGTGTAAGTATGGGAGTGTCTCCTCTCTGCCTTCCTGAGAGGCTTCTGTATACTGCTGCTTGGCTCCGGGTTCAACTGAGTGAATTAAGGGCAAGGAGCTACATAGGGAGGAAAACAATACCCAAAAAGTGGGAGAAGATGTGAAAGACTAAGTAGTGGTCCCATAGGGACTGAAATTTGGGGGCGGGGAGTGGCATGGGTGCAATGGTGGAGACAGAGCGACTGAGGGAAAGTATGGAGCTTTAGGAAGAGAAATGGGTAAAGAAGAATTTTTTAGGAGTCTTTTCATTGTGTTATAAAATTTCCCCTTTGCAACGTTTTCAAAATGTTTGCAAAATAAGAGACATTTTTCCAAAGCAGTAGGAGTCAAATTTGAATTTTAGTTGCATTATCATCCAAAGACAAGCTCTAACCCTGGAAGGTCCAGATTAGAAGATGATAGATAGATAGATAGATAGATAGATAGATAGATAGATAGATAGATAACTTAATACAAAGCCTAACAGGTACCCACTCATCAAAATACTAGACTTATCTCTAACTGATGCAATTATTCTATGATGTCCTACTAATTTTATGCCCAACTTCTACTTTTCAAAAACTTGTTTCTATTCCAAGTTGTCCTAAATTTCCATTGTTTATGCTTCTCTTTATTTCCCTTAATATATCCTTGTGCTAATGTATCTTTTGCTTATTTTTTTCTTTCTTTTCCATGACTCATTCTTTTCTTGCCCTTTCTCGAGTATTTTTCTTTTATATCACCATCTTCTAGGGCAGCCTCACTCTGTAAACTTCTAGAATCCAGTTTAAAGCAGGATATCAAGGATGGTCCACGGCCTGGCTTTTCTCACTCCAGAGAACCCCAGCCCTGGAGTTGTGATAATGTAGGTCTCTGGTGGTTTTGCTTTCTTCCTTTCCTTCACCATGTTGCTTGTCTTTTCAGACTTGTGATTATGAGGTGGGACCTCTGTGTGCTGGAGGGGCTTGCTGCAGTGGTGAACCCCAAAGCCTGTTCTTTGATATTGGCCTCTGTGGGCCCTCTATAGATTCTTTCATTCTTCCAGAAACCACTGATTGTTGTTTCTTTCATTTTTCCCTTGGAGAACTGCTCTACCTCCATCCCGTGTGATGCTACGGGGGCCATTCATCACGTGCTTGATGGGACAAGTTTCAGGCCTAACCAATCATGACAGGTGATCCCTCTGTCCATGCTGATTGGTTCAAGGATATCCATATGACCCAACTAATGCCAAAGTATCTAATAAGTTTTAATACCTGGATACTGTCTTCTGGGATGAAGTCCTATAAGAATGATGCAAATTAGATCTACTTGCAGTTATCTTTTCTAACACTATGAAAGAGGTAACTGCAATGAGAGAGTTAATACCCCTGGAACACCTTGAAGTAATAAGAAATGGAAGTAGGTGGATAAATACCCTAGCTTTCTCACTACTCAGGGTACAGTTCTAAGACATGTTCCACACATTCGCTTAATGGTTCCCAGAAGATATGAACGCCAATTGCCCGCAACGGTAGCTTGTTCATAACACACCTTTTATTTGCTTTTCTTCCTTCCCTGTCTCACTTCTTAATTCCCTCGTAGTCCTTCCTGGGATCACATCTTAAATAAAATACAACCCAATCCTGGTTTAGTATGCAGAGTAATGCCCACCCTTCCTCCCCTAAAATAGTCTATATCCTAATCTTCAGAACCTGTGGACATGGTAGGTTATGTGGCAAAGGTGAATTAAGGTTGCAGAGGTACAGATGTAATAAAGGTTGTTAATCCACTGACCTCTAAATAAAGAGATTTTCCTGGATTATTAGGTGGGTCCAATGTAATCACAAGGGTCCCTGTAAAAGTAGAAGAGGGAATTGGAAGAGATGACCAGAGAGATGGCACTGTGAGAAGGTCTTGGCCTGATCTTGCCACCTTTGATGATAGAATAAGGGGCCATGAGCCAAGGAAGTGGACGACCTCTAGAGGCAGGAAAAGAGGCAGGGCTTGTCCTGGAATCTCCTAATGGCACCCTAATGACACCTTGATTCTAGCCCAATGAGATATATGGAGAACTTCTGATCTGTAGAAATGTGGAATAATAATGTGTGTGGTTTTAAGCCGAAGTTTGTGGCAATTCATCACAGCAGCAGTAAAAACAAATATAGGATACAAATTCAGGATACATTTGGATAATTTTTAAGATAATTTTTTTTTCTATTTAAGATAATTGCTTTTTCTTACTGTTCTTGGGGTGTTCATTCCCATTTTCCCTAATATACAATGGGGCAAATGCTTGATGGATATGACTGACAAAAAAATGTAGAAAATTGAACTAATTTGGAATGGATAATTACATTAAACCGCTGTCTCTTTGGCAGAGAAGGCCTTACCTTGGAGCGCCAGAGAAGTCTCACTAGGGTAACAGTTTTAATTAGTCCAGCTCTGTCTCATATCCAATGCTCAGCTCTGCATCTGTTGATATTTCTCATTTACAATATGTAATAATTGAAATATTCCAGTATTAAGAAATAATTATTACTAGAGACACTGATGGGTTCAGCTATTATCTGGATGCAAAGTTTCATATTTCACTGTAAAGAAAATAATCTCTATCTTAAGAAATAATGTAATATTTTTTCAGATCTCTTAAAGCAGTCATCCTTTAAAGTAAAAGCTCCAGAAATGAATGACCATAACCTTCTTATTTATTTATATTTTAAATCCTCAAAGTATTGGCCCATCTCATTTTCTTAGTCAAAGCTTGCTTCCTGGTTTTGCCCTGCTAATGACCTCAGCTCCTCTTGATACTTTAGGACCAAATGCTCTTTGATTAATCATTCTCTGTGTTAATATCAAATGGCCCTTGAATTCTTCAAACAGATTGCTGCTTCTGTTAAATAATGTCCTAAATATACAAAGCAGATAAATGATGACCATTGAGCCAATGGGAACAGAACTGAGCTCCAAGACTGCATTGCAATTATAATGAAAAGACACATAACTGATGAGCTCCATATCTGAACTTAAAATGATTTGTGAAGCAAAAGATCAAGAGAAGTACAGGCTGAGGTCTCAAGTTAGAGTTGCTGTGATGAAGTATAAACTGGCGCTAGAAAGCATTTTGAAATTGCTTGATATACATGTATGTGTGCGTGTCTCTCTGTGTGTGTGCATATATATTTTTTTTCTTTGAAATGGTTAAATGCTTCAAGGAATAGAGCCTCTTTGGGGGGCAAAGGCCCAGAACGATATGCATCAGGGTTTTATTTCATTTCAGTCTCTTGGTTATTTTAATTTATGAGGTGTGGAGAATATTAGTTTTTTAGATGATTTAATATTTTATGTTGTAAGTGATCTGCAGTCAGTTTGTTAATTAGATACTGCAGACAGGCTGTTTAATATTATGTGTTGACTCTGCAGGAAAAAAGAAGTATAGAATATTTCTGATAGGCAAAAAAAAAAAAAAATCGAAGGCACATGATCAAAGTTCTCTTAGAGACCATGTGTTAGAGGTGCTTTGCTGTAGAACGAATTGTATTTTGCCCTTATAAAGGCTCCCAGAGTGTGCTAGAGATAATTGGAGCCCTCTATTACTTTGCTCCCTTAGAAGTTTTCTGGAGTTAGGCAGGAAAAGAAGACAGGAAACTGAGCCTTTAATTTAAATAAGAAAGCCATGTCTGGGAAAATTAGAATACTTTTGGAAGTTGGGAATCCATGGAAATGGATTGTCCTATTTTGATTTCCTCAGAGGACCAGTTTGAAGTAGTGATTTTATGTGATTTCCTTCTGGTCCTGTCCTCAATACCAACATCTCCTGAATAAAGAAATGATATGGTATCCCAGTATATTAGTTATATATTTAGCTTTTTAGTTGGAGACTTAGGAATGGGGGAAAACTGACATTGAAAATATAGATGCAAGGCCGGGCTCGGTGGCTCATGCTGGTAATCCCAGCACTTTGGGAGGCCGAGGCAGGCGGCCCACCTGAGGTCATGAGTTCGAGACCAGCCTGGCCAAGATGGAAGAAACCCATCTCTACTGAAAATACAATTAGCTGGGCATGGTGGCACACGCCTGTAATTCCAGCTACTTGGGAGGCTAAGGCAGGAGAATCGCTTGAACCCGGGAAACAGAGGTTGCAGTGAGCTGAGATCGTGCCATTGCACTCCAGCCTGGGCAACAAGAGTGAAACTCCATCTCAGAACAACAACAACAACAACAAATCCGAAAATATAGATGCATTCTCTTCTACTCCTGCTATAAAGGGAGGCTATGGTATAGTTTCTCTGGTTGGTGTCTACTACATGGGTTGGTTTTGCTGACCAAAGCTTTGCAAGAGCAAAGAACCCACCAACAAGGGGCTCTCTCACACAGCTCCATTAGATGTGTCTTATTTTGCTTTGTATAAAGCAAGTGTGCCTAACTCCAGTGAGATTTTTTAGTGAATATTCAACATATATCATAAGGTCAAAACAGACATAAATTGGGTGATTCATTTTAACTTCAGGTATGTGAAATTGAAGACTAATATTTCTCTAAAATAAAAACCTTTGCAAGGTGTTCAACATTCATAAGCAACGCAATAGTGACACATTATTCTGCGGCATGTTGTAAGGCTTTGAAGAAGTTTTGAGTTGTGCTTTATAAGAACAAAATGGTGGTACATAGTATAAATAAGAGAGTTAAAAATAATTCTCCAGTATAACAAAAACGGCACAAAAATTTATAGCCACCAACATAACTAGTATGTTTTCATTCATTTCTTAGCCTTTTGTCTGTTTTATCCCATCTATAATATCAGAATATTCAACGTATTACCTTGCTTTCCTGGAGCTAATGTGACCAATATTAGCATATGGTAAATAAGAAACTATTTTTTCCCATCAAAATAGTATTTTCCAAAGGCAAAATAATCAACCATTGTTGTTGTTTCTATTTAAGTTTTATGTGCTTCATGTACCCATTATGAAGAAACAGTAGGAGCAAAATGGCAGAATAGAAGATGCTCAGTTTTAGTCCCCTTCACAGAAATATGACTAACAACTATCCACATACAAGAATGCCTTTGTGAAAATTTCAGAACCCAAGGATGAGGCCCAAAGCACCCTTTCGGAGTACAAAACAGAAAACCCACATTAAAAAAGTAAGAGTAACAGTCTCACCTTGAGCTAGCACCTTGTGCTAGTCTCTCAGGCTAGCACAGTGCCACGTCAACAGGTTCTCTTGGGCCTCTGGTTTCCCCAATGGGAAAAAGAGAGTCCAAGATAGATATTCAGCTTCTTCAACATTCAGAGGCACTTGCCAGGAGGCCCACTTCACCTTATGGAGAGCACTGCAGAAATTGGCAGGGATAGACCACCTGGGATTAGCTAGGGACAGAGAAGGAGGGCATGACTCGTAGTAACCAGTACATTGATCTTGGTGGTGGCACTGCATCCCAGCTGGTGACCTTGACTGACCAGAGAGCCCGCCCACCTGCAAAACCAAGCCAGTGACCCCATCTAGCCAGGGAGCATGGTCAGCAGTTCTGCCCAGCTGGGGTCCTGAGCCAGTGGTTCAGTTTGGCCACTAAGTGCAGCCAGAAGTCCCACGCAGTCAGGGAAATCAAGCCAACAGCCTCACCTGGCTGCAGAGCCCAACCTGTGGTTTTGCCTGCCCAGAGGGCCAAGGCAGAAGCTCCACCCAACTGTGATCCCAACCAACTGCTACGCACAGCGTGCAGCCCCACCCAATCACAGAGCACAGCCTGAGACCCCACCTCAATATGGAGCCAAGCCAGTGGCACCATTTGGCCGGGAAACATAGACTGAAGCACCACCTGACCAGGGGAAATTGAAGATGCAATCCAGTATCTCTCCCTGAGTCCTGCTCTAACATGAAGTCCATCTAATGGACCCATCTGACTGTGGGGCCCAGCCAGTAGTACCACCAGACCTCAAAGCATGGGACAGTTACTTTGCTCAACAAGCCTTCCCTACCTTCAGCAAGCTTTCCCTACCTTCAGACACTATCAGTTGGTTCATTCAGAACTCCAGGCTGGGCTGACTAGTGAAGGTCCTTCCCTGCTGAAGCAAACCTGTCAAGGCTGAAAGAGGTGACTGCTTCCTCGAATGCAGACACCCATGTAAGGATACACCAATTATGATGAATCAGGGAAACATGACACCACCAAAGGAAACTAATAAAGCTCCAATAACTGATGCTAAGTAAATGAAGATGCATGAACTGACTGACAAGGAATTCAGAATAATGCTCAGAAAGGAGTTCACTGAACTATAAGAAAACACAGATGAACAACTAGAAAGCATCAAAAAATCAAAAATAAATCCTAGAGCAATGACTAAAATTCAATAGAGAGCTTCAATAGACTTAATGAAGCAGAAGAAAGAGTCAGTGAAATTTAAGAAGTCATTGGAAATTATCCAGTCAGGAGAGCAAAAAGAAAATAATGAAAAGAAGTGAAGAAAGCCTACATAATTTATAGGACATCATCAAGTTAATATTATATGCATTTTGTTTTGTTTTGTTTTGTTTGGAGACTGAGTCTTGCTCTGTTGCCCAGGCTGGAGTGCAGTGGCATGATCTTGGCTCACTGCAACCTCTGCCTCCCAGGTTCAAATGATTCTCCTGCCTCAGCCTCCCAAGTAGCTAAGATTACAGGTACCCACACGACACCTGGCTAATCTTTGTATTTTAATGGAAACAGAGTTTCACCATGTTGACCAGGCTGGTCTAGAACTCCTGGCCTCAAGTGATCCGCCTGCCTCAGCCTCCCAAAGTGCTGGGATTACAGGCATGAGCCACTGCATCTGGCTATACATATTTTTGAGGTCCAGAAGGGGAAACTATAAAGGGACAGAAAGTCTATTTAAAGAAATAGTGACTGAAAACTTCGAAATTTGGAGAAAGAAATGGACATCCAGATCCATTAGGGCCGAAAGTTCCCAAATAGGTTAAAACTGAATAGGTCTACCGAAACTGACAAAAGTCAAATATAAAGGATTTGGAAAGCAGCCAGAGAAAAGCAACTCATCACATAATGAGGGAGCCTCCAAAAAACTATCAGTGGATTTCTCAACCCTGCAGGCCAGGAGAGAATTAAATGATAAATTCAAAATATTGAAAGAAAAAAAATTTTCGTCTAAGAATACTACAGCGAGAAAAAAATTGTCCTTCAAAAATCAAGAAGAAACTTCAGCAAACAAAATCGAGGGAGTTCATCACTACAATATCTGCCATACAAGAAATACTAAAGGGAGTTCTTCAAGCTGAAATGAAAGCACATTAATTAACAACATAAAAAGATGTAAATGTATAAACCTTATTGGTAAAAGTAAATATATAGTCAAATTTGGAATTATATTGTATTGGTGGCATAGAAACTATTTTCTATTTTATTTTTTTTAGACAGTTTCACTCTGTCATCCAGGCTGGAGGGCAGTGGTGCAACCTTTGCTTACTGCAACCTCTGCCTCCCAAGCGATCCTCCCACCTCAGCCTCCCATGAAGCTGGAATTATACCCAGCTAATTTTTTGTATTTTTTTTAGAGACAGGGTTTTGCTGTGTTGCCCAGGCTGGTCTCCAACTCCTGAGCACAAGTGATCTGTCTACCTCGTCCTGCCAAAGTGCTGCCAAATACCTGGCAATCATTTTCAACTCTACTATAATAGTTAAAAAATAAATAACTTAACAATAATTATAATTATAATAATTTGTTAGTGAACACAGACATAAAAATGTAAATTATAACATCAATAATCTATACTGTGAGGTGGGAAGTAAAAGTATAGTTTTTACATATACTCAAGTTATATCTGCTTAAAATATAATGTTATAACTATAAGATGTTTTATGTAAATCTCACGGTAATAGCAACACCTGTAGTGGATACACAGAAGACTAAGAGAAAAGAATCAGAGCATACCACCACAGAAAGTCATCAAATCATAAAGGAAGCTAGAAAGAGAGGAAAAAAGGAAAAAAATAACTAAAAAACAGTCACAAAACAATTCACAAAATGGCAATAAGTTTTTACCTATGAATAATTACTTTAAATGTAAATGGATTGAATTCCTCAATCAAAAGACTAAAATGACAGAGTGGAGAAAAAAAGATTCAATTTTATGCTGCCTACAGGGGACTCACTTCAGGTTTAAGAACACAGATAGGTTGAAAGTAAGGCATGGACAAATTCTATACTTATATTAGACAAAATAGATTTTAGGAAAAAAAACTGTTACAAGAAACACAAATGCCATATGATCTCATTTATTGTGAAATCTAAAAAAAGTTGAACTCATAGAATCAGGGAGTAGAATGGTAGGTACCAGGGGAAACTCTCTGGGAGGTGTTTGGGGAGATGTTGGTTAAAGGATACAAATCTTTAGTTAGACATGAGGATTAGGTTCAATAAATCTCTTGTACAACATGGTGACCATAGTTAGAAATATATTGTATTTTTGAAAATCATTAAGAGTATATTTAAAATGTTCTTGCATTTTAAAAGATAAGTATGTGAGGTAATGCATATGTTGATAAATCCTATCTAATCATTTTATAGTGTCTATCTACATACTTCAAAAATGTTGTAAACAATAAATATATACAATTTTTGTCAATTAAGGATAAGTAAATATTTTTAAACTGTTACAAGAGACAAAGAAGGTTACTATATAATGATAAAGGTGTTAATTCATCAAGAAAATATAACAATTGTAAATATTTATGCATTTAACTTTGGAGCACCTAATATATAAAGTGAATATTAACAGAACTGAGAGGAGAAATAAACAGCAATACAATAAGAGTAGAGACTTTGTCCATGCCTATACTTTCAACCTATCTGTGTTCTTAAACCCAAAGTGACTGAAATCATATCTAGTGTCATTTCTAAGCACTATGGTATGAAACCAGAAATCAATAAGGAAGAAAATTTGAAAATTTACAAATACATGGAAATTAAACTACATATTCCTGAACATCCCATGGGTCAAAGAAGAAATCAAAAGGGAAACAAAAAATATCTTGAGACATATGAAAATGAAAATACAACATACCAAAACTGTGGGGTGTGGCAAAAGTTATTGTAAGAGGGAAGATTATAGCAATAAATGCCTACATTAAGAAAAAAAGAAAGATCTCAAATAAACAACCAAACTTAAACCTCAAAAACCTAGAAAAAGAACAAACTAAGCCCAAAGTTAGTGGAAGAATGGAAATAATAAATATTAGAGCATAAATAAATAAAATAATAATGAATAGGAAACCAATAGAAAAGAGCAACAAAATTAAGAGTTAGTTTTTTGAAGAGATATATAAAATCAACAAAACTTCAGCTAGACTAAGATAAAAAGAGAAAAGTCTCAAATAAAATCAGAAGTAAAAGACGAGATATTACAACTGATACAGAACTACAAAGGGTCACACAGGACTACTAGGAACAATTATATACCAACAAATTGGACAATTCAGAAGAAATAGATAAATTCATAGACACATACACCTAGCAAGACTGAATCATGGAGAACTAGAAAATTTGGACAGTTCCATAACAAGTAAGGAGAATGAGTTAGTAACAAAAAGTATCCCATAAAAGAAAATCAAAGACCTGATGGCTTTTCTGCTAAATTTTACCCAACATTTAAATAATTAATGCCAATTCTTCTCAAACTCTTCCAAAAAAATTGAAGACGAGGGAACACTTCAAAACTCATTTTATGTAACCAGGTTTACCCTGATAACAAAGCCAGACAAGGACAGTACAAGAAAAGAATATTACAGGCCAATATCACTGAAAAACATAGATGAAACAATTTTCAACAAAATATTAGCAAGCCAAATGCAGCAGCACATTAAAAGCATAATTCGCCATGAGTAAGTGGACTTTATCCCTGGGATGCAAGGATGGCTTCACAAATCAATAGATGTGATATAACACATCAACAAAATGAAAGATAAAAATCATATTATCATCTCAATAGAGGTAGAAAAAGCATTTAACAACATTCAATCTTCTTTTATGATAAAAACTTTCAACAAATTGGGTATAGATGGAATACACCTCATCATAATAAAGGCTGCATATGACAAACCCACAGATCTCACCATATTATGGTGAAAAGTAAAAGCTTTTCCTTTGAGATTAGAAAGGGAGGAAGGAAGACAAGGATGCCACTCTTTGCACTTCTATTCAACAAGGTACCTTGGAGTCCTAGCCAGAGCAGTTAGGCAAGAAAAAGAAATAAAAGTCATCCAAATCAGAAAGGAAGAAGGGAAATTGTCCTTGTTTGCAGATGACATAATCTTATGTATTTTTTAAAACCCTAAAGATTACATCAAAAGTGTTCAAACTAATAAATTTAGTAAAGTTGCAGGATACAAAATCAACATACAAAGAATCCATTGCATTTCTCTACACTAACAACAAAATATCTGAATAAAGAAATAAAACAATTTCACTTACAATCACATCAAAAAATACTTAGAAATAAATTTAACCAAGGAGATGAAAGATCTATGTACTAAAAACTATAAAGCGCTAATGAAAGAAATTGAAGATGTCACAAATAAATGAAAAGGTGTCCTATGTTCATGGATTAGAAGAATCTATATTGTTAAAATGTTTACACATGCCAAAGCAATCCATAGATTCAATGTGATACCTATCAAAATTTCAATGGCATTTTTTCACAGAAATAGAAAAAACAGCACTAAAATTTATATGAAACAATAAAATACATGAAAAAGTCAAAGCAATCTTTGGAAAGAAGAACAGAGCTGGAAGCAACATGCTTCCTGATTTCAAACTATATTACAAAGCTTTAGTAATCAAAACAGTTTGACACTGGTGTAAAAGCAGACACATAGAACAAAGGAACAGAATTGAGAGCCTAGAACTATATCCATACATGTATGGTCAACAAATATTTGACAAGGGCACCAAGAATATGTAATTGAGAAAGAATAGTCTCTTCCATAATTAGTGTTGGGAAAAACAGGATATCCACATAAAAAAGAATGTAATTGGACCCCTGTCTTACACCACTTACAAAAATTAACTTGAACTGGATTAACGACTTAAATGTAATACCTGAATCCATAAAACTCCTGGAAGAAAACATAGGATAAAAGCTTCTTGACATTAATCTTGGCAATTATTTTTTTGGGTAAGTATGATACCAAAAGCAAAAGCACAGGCAACAAAAGCAAAAGTAAACAAGTGTGACTACATCAAACTAAAAAGCTACTGCACAGCAAAGGAAACAATAAAATAAAAAGGTAACCTATGGAATGGGATAAAATATTTGCAAACCTTATATATCTGATAAGAGGTTAATATCCAAAATATATAAGAAACTCATACAACTCAACAGCAAAAAATAAATAAAAAACTAACAATTCAATTAAAAAATGGGCAATGGAGGGCCGGGCACAGTGGCTCATGCCTGTAATCCCAGCACTTTGGGAGGCCGAGGTGGGCCTTGAATTAGTAATAATTTACTTGAGGTCAGGAATTCGAGACCAGCCTGACCAACATGGTGAAACCCCGTCTCTACTAAAACTATAAAAATTATCTGGGCATGGCAGCAGGCACCTGTAATCCCAGCTACTCAGGAGTCTGAGGCAGGAGAATTGCTTGAACCCGGGAAGCAGAGGTTGCAGTGAGCCAAGATTGCACCATTGCACTCCAGCCTGGGTGACAGAGGGAGACTCCATCTCAAAAAACAAAAACAAAAACAAATACAAAAACAAAAAACAGGGCAATGGACTTGAATAAACATTTTCCCAAAGAAGACATACAATGGCTAACAGACACATGAAAAGCTGCTCAACATCACTAATCCTCAGGTAAATGCAAATCAAAACCACAATGAGATATCACCTTATACATGTCAGAATTGCTATTATCAAAAAGACAAGAAATAACAAGTGTTGGTGAGGATGTGAAGTAAAGGGAACCCTTGTGTTCTGTTGGTAGAAATGTAAATTGGCAGAGCCATTATGGAAAACAATACGCAGGCTACTCAAAAGTTAAAAATAGAACCACTATATCATCCAGCAATGCCACTTCTCTTGAGATATATATCTGAAGGATATAAAATCAGCATCTCAAAGAAATATCTGCATTCCCCTGTTCATTGCAGTATTATTCAAAATAGTTAAGACATGAGAACAACCAAAATTTTTCAATTGATAAATGGGTAAAAGAAATGCAGTGTGTGTGTTTATACACACATATATGTCTATATATACATACGCACATATATAATGTATATACTCACACAATGGAAGGTAAAAAAATATGCACACACACAATAGAATATTACTTAGCCATAAAAAGAAGAAAATTCTGCCATTTGTGATAACATGGATAAACCTGAAGTGCATTATGCTAAGTGAAATAAACCAGGCAGAGAAAGACACATACTGCATGATTTCATTTATATATAAACTCTAAAACTGTTACTCTCATAAAAACAGAGAATAGAATGGTGATTTCCAGGGGCTGGAGAGTGGAGGAAATGGGGAGATGTTGCTCAAGGTATACTAGCTTTCAGTTAAAAGATAAATAAATTCTGAGCTGGGCATTGGGGCTTATGCATATAATCCCACCTACTTGAGAGGCTGAGGCGGGAGGATCGCTTGAGTCCAGGAGTTGGAGGCTGCAGTGAGTTATGATCCGCCACTGCACTCCAGCCTGGATGACAGAGTGAGATCCCACACCTAAAAAATAAATAAATAAAGGTAAATTCTGGGGATTTAATATAAAGCATCGTGACTATAGTTAATAATATTATATTTTATACTTGAAATGTGTTAAAAGAGTAGACTTTAAGTGTTCTCACTACACAGAAAAAAATGGTAGCTATGTGAGGTGACGGATGTGTTAACTAAATTGATCATGCTCATCATTTTACAATATATATGCATACCAAATCATCATGTTGTAAATCGTAAATATATACAATTATAGTTCACAAAAGCAGGAATAAAAAGAGTAAAAAGAGTAAGAACTGTGAAATGGATACATATATTATGTTTTGATATATACATCTCAGTTTTTTATATTCTCTCTCAAACAAAACAAAACAAAAACACTCCATTTCCCTTACTGGAAGTAATGGGTAAAATACAGACACTTAACTTCCAGAGTTGAATGCTGAATGCCATTTGGTACACAGTGGTTATTCAGTAAATGCTATTAACTGATGCTGCTACTGGAAACTTCATAGTGCACTCTTCAGCATCAATTGGTGCTTCACCTACAGAACATCTTTTACACATTTAACAGAGAGTCATACTATATGAATAAATCGTTGTCTTGATCCTTTAGAAGAAAGCATTTTGTTCTCTTAATGTGGGGATTTTTTGTGAACCTCAAGGTTCTGTCCCAATTAGTTACAATTTACTGATCTAATATCACTCTATGGAAATGTATCATGTACTTGAAATATATATTTAATAAGATAATACCATCAACCAGCACAGCTCTAAAGAAGGCATCTTTTTTTTTTCTTTTTGTATCTGCTGTTTAATTTCATTATGATTTCTAAAAATTCTCTGGTAGTGTACAGCTGCTCCACTGTTAATAGCCTTGAAATAGAAATGTGTTACTTTGCTTAGCAAGAGACATCTGCATAGTGTAGAAAAACAAAATCATTTGACGTGATTAATACAGGAAGATGGTTATTCGTATTTTTAATGCATATTGTTTAAACTCAAATATGTTTGCCTCCCAGCCATTCTTAGATATGTTATTCCAATCTATGATTTAAATCTGTGATGCTTTTAGCATCTACAAAAGAAAAAGAATGTTTGCCAGCCCATCCAACACCTCCTGCTGCTAGTTGGCTAGGTTTTTTTGAATGTCATAAACAGAGCTTTTGATATGGTACCCGTGGGGCTCTTTATCCAGGATGATGTAAATAACTACTCCCAACATTTTGTCCTTTCACCATCTTTGGTCATGTTATCTTGAAATTTGCCCTGGCAATGAGCAAGAGTCTTTGCTTTCACATTAGAAGAGTTCATACTATATTTGAAAATGTCAAAGTGTATAAGCCCTAGGAGGGCAATAGGACAGGTTCAAAAGTTTGCAGATAGATGATTACAGGCTTAGAAATTGCAATGAGAGTGCATACTTGCCTTCTCTCATTCCCTCATAGTCTTGCAAATCTCCTGCTACATCATAAATCTTTCTATATCTGTGCTCCCATTCTCTAGCCATTTCACAAGTGGTCAGTCTGCTTCTCAGATTTACACACAGAGCCCTGGCGCTGACCTCATTGGAGGGCACGATTTATGCAGTGGAGCCAGTAACTGAGTGTGGAATACAATCCAGCCCTCTTGACGTGAGGCTGAAATGTTCATATCAGACTGTTCTGCTTACCATTCACGGAATGTCAGCACTTACAGGGATCTTAGAGTGCACCTACTTCAGTTTCCTCCTTTTTCAGATAAAGAAAACACTTGGGCAAAGCAGTTTACCATCAAAGACAATTTTCTATTTCTATTTGTCTTAGTCCATTTTATTGTGCTGCCATCACAGAACACCAGAGACTAGGTAATTTATAATTAACAGAAAATTATTTGGTTCTTGCTTCTGGAGGCTGGGAAGTCCAAGATCAAGGAGCTGCATCTGGTAAGGGTCTTCTTGCTGCATCATAACATAGCAGAAGGCATCATTTTCAAATGTAGTATGAGCTCTTCTAATGTGAAAGCTAAGACTTGCTCATTGCTAGGGCAAATTTCATAATGACGTGAACAAAAATGATGAAAGGACCAAATGTCGGGAGTAGTTATTTATGTCATCCTGGGTGAGAGAGAGAGAAAAAGAGGTTGAACTTGCCCTTTCATAAGGAACCCAATCCTGCAATAATGAACCCTCTCTTGAAATAACAGCATTAATCCATTCATGAGGGCTCTACCCTCATGAGCTAATCACTTTTTATTGGAGATTACATTTCTCATTGGAGATTACATGAACTTTGGGGAACACATTTAAATCATAGCACATGAATCTAGAATGCCTGCTCCTGTAATCTCTTTGAGAATGTACAGCCTGTACTCCTGCCATAATCTGGAGTGCAAGAAGCATTGACTACAGAGACCTTAAACCCTCATAAGTTCATATGAAAGGAACTTTGCCTTTCTTGTCCATAGTTTTTGGAGCCAGAAGAGGGCCTACTGGAGATATGTAGCAAAGCTAGAAGACCCAGAAGTTCTTCCCTGTCCTATCAAAGCAGCCTCAGCAGTTTTCACGACAGGCAAGTAAAATGTTCAAGTAGGATGTTTGTCAATATCTGCTCAATTCAACAATCACCATTCCTAAATTTGGTGTACATTATGGCACCTCAAACCGGAGGGGAAACGATGGCCTATCTGATAAATGGTGTTGAGACAGAAGGGTAGGCACCTGGAAAAAATAAAGTTGGATCTTTACCTCCCATCCTATACAATGATAAATTCTAAATGGATCAAAAATTTAGATGGTATAAATAAAACCATAAAATTACTAAACAAACATGGTAGAATTTTAATCCTTGGAATGGAAATATTTTTAAAAATTGATTCAAAATTTAGAAGCCATGAAGGGAAATGTTGATAAACCCAAATACATAAAAATTAAAACTTCTATATGACAAACACACACACACACACTCATAAGCAAAAGCAAAAGATAGAAGACCCAACAAACTAAAAAAAAAATTTGCAAATCATGTATAAACAAATGGCTAATATCTATTTATAGATAAAAACTTTCAGCCAGGTACAGTGGCTCACACTTGTAATCCCAGCACTTTGGAAGGTTAAGGCAGGAGGACTGCTTGAGGCCAGGAGTTCAAGACCAGGCTGGGAAACATGGCAAGACCCTGCCTCTACAAAAATAATAAAAATAAATAAATGTTTCTACAAGTACAAAATTGAGAGCCTAGCAAGCTAATAGGAAAAACTAGGCAAAAGATATAAACACATAGTTCACACAAAATGAAATACAAATGGCTCTTAAACATTTGGAAAGATGCTCGACTTCACTCATAATAAAATGTATGCAAATTAGAACTATATTGAGATACCATTTTTCTCCTATCAGGTTGGCAAAAATCCCAAAGTCTGATAATACACTCCATTGACGAGGCTGTAAGAAACGCTCTCTCGTACATTGCTTGTGAGAGTATATGTTAGCATAACCCCATATGGAGAGCAATTTAGCAAAATCCATCAAAATTACAAATGCATACATCTTTCACCCCAGCACTTTTACTTTTGGAAATTTATGTTACATATGTACTTGCAAATGAATGAAAGGACATATGTTTAAGGTATTTACATCAGTATTGTTTGCAAGACCAAAAATTTGAAATAACCTACATTGTTCAATCCAGTACATTGCTAAAATAAACAGTTTACGTAAATTGTGATACATTGATACAACAGAATACTACAAAAGTTAAAAAAATAAAAGAGTGAGCTGCCTCCATAGCAATGAGGAAAGATACTCAAGAGATGTTGAATGAAAAAAGGCAAAATGCGGGCTGAGCGCGGTGGCCCACGCCTGTAATCCCAGCACTGTGGGAGGCCGAGTGGGGTGGATCACGAGGTCAGGAGTTCAAGACCAGCCTGGCCAACATAGCGAAACCCCGTCTCTACTAAAAATACAAAAAAAAAAAATAGCGGGGCATAATGGCAGGTGCCTGTAATCCCAGCTACTCGGGAGACTGAGGCAGGAGAATCACTTGAACCCAGGAGGCGGAGGTTGCAGTGAGCCAAGATCACATCACTGCACTCCAGCTTGGGCGACAGAGCAAAACTTTGTCTCAAAAAAAAAAAAAAAGAAAGAAAGAAAAAAGGCAAAATGCAGAACAATATGTCAAGTAAGCTACCTTTTACATAAAAAGAGGGAAAAGAAGAACATGAATTTATATTTCTTCTTATACCCATTTAAAAAACTGGAAGAATTTATAAGAAACTAAATACAGTGGTTACTAGTAAGAGATGGGCATCGGAACTGGGGGTATAGGGTACAGGAATCTAAGATATCTCACTTTACGTCTATATGCATATTTAGAATCATTTGACTATATAATCTTTTCAAAAATTGTATATATTTTTAATCAAAGAATAAATAATTGAGTCCCATGCTTGACTCTAAGGAGGCTAACAAGTTTATCTTAGGATAAAAGTGAAGGCTCCAGATTAACATGGGGCCACTCAAAGTCTTACTTTACTCATCTGTCCTTTTCTTCATTCATTTAACAAACATTTATTTACAGTGTTCTGTATAATAGGTGCTGTACTAAACTCTAGGGATACTTGGAGCACATGACCAACTAGATCTTTGCTTCACAGAGTCTACTTGCTAGTCCAGGGTCTCTTCTGGAGTCTGGGGTCTCCAAACAGCATGCAGGTACTCTAGGACCCATATTAACAAGTTTCACTCTCTTATGACACCATCTTAAGCGTGAGCATGTTAAATTTCCATTGGTATAGAGTTCAAAAGTTCAATATCCTTGATTTTTACGAGCAAACAAGATGTGTACAGGCTGGAGGCATTTTTGGTTTCTCTCAATGGCACCTCTTTGCAGAGTTTCACAATATCTTTTATTGTGTATAATACCTTATAATTTGAAACTCTATTTCAAATATGGCCCTTGTTTATACTTATCCAGGGGTTGTAATAATTTCCTGTGATTCATATTGATGTATTTTTATTAATGCTCTAGAATTATACAGTGTATCACTACTTTCCTTTCCTTTCTGCTTTTTTCCCTTAGTTTTATTAGTTTACATTCCATTCTGATGAAATTTTCCAGTCAAATATCTGTTCCTTGGTGTGCATGTCAGTCCCTCAAATAGTATTTCTTTCTTCCTCTATTCTGCTACCCCATTTCAGGCAGATGAAAGCTGACAGTAAAGCTATATCAGCTCAGCGTGGGTTTGTGCATGAATGCATGTGCACCTATAGCCACGTTGTCATGTTTCAAGAGTGAGCCATTCGGTTAATAAACAAAGCAGAGTATTTAGGATTATCTGATAGAACTTTCTGCAATGATGGAAATGTCCTATAGTTGTGTTGTCCAATAAGGCAGCTGCTAACCACTTGTGGCTATTGAGCACCTCAAATGTGGCTAGTGCAATGGAAGAATTGTATTTTTAATTTAATTTTATTTAAATTAATATCAATTTATAAATCCTGCAAGATGAGGACAATATGTGAAAGTAAGGAATGTGGCTCCAAAGAGAGTAGTCAGCCACCCAAACTGCAGTATCCACGAGTGAGAATGTCACGGTAGTGGGAATCTGTCAGCCTTAAGTATTCCAATCAGATGGTGAAGGTCCTGCTTTTTGAGGGATAGTCCACACAGATTGGAAAGGTTTTCCAGCTAGTTTCTGAGATCAGACAGAGCACAGTGCATTCCTCTCACACTCTATCATTAAGTCAGCAAGCATGAAGAAGGTTTGGTTAGAGCTCTAGGCAGGCTTAGTTGGGTTCAAGGCTGAATTCTAGTTCTTGAGTGTACATCAGTAACATGGGAGAAAATGCCATCTTGTGGACTGAGCACAAGCCCTAGGCATCATGAATTCCAGATTTACAAAAGTAAACCTAATTCTAGATCTCACTCACTGGAGGGAAAGAACTCCTAATATACAGCCCACCTGGGCTTATATTAGCCAGAGACTTAACAGCAGTTAGTTATGCTGGAGAACTGAAAGTCGTCAGTGTCTTTAGGTAGATGGATTCAGGCAAATAGAAATTGACGAGGTACAAGTCTATCCAGTTCAACCTCCTTCATTTCCCCCTCATTATTTACAGTCAGGTGCATAGACCCCACCAGAGCATTCAAGGCCCTCCACAATATGGAGCCCACTGTTTTGCCCAGGCTTTATCTCCACTAATCTCCCACACACATCTTACACTTCAGTCGAACTAGCCTGTGCATACTTCCCAAGCCCCAGCCTCTCCCGCATTCATGTCCTTGCTCATGCAGTTGCTAGAAATGCCCTCTTCCAGCATCTCCATCTGCCAAAACCCCATCTACCCTCACGGCTCATTTCAGGCGTTCCCTCCCTGAAGTTGTCTTCCCTGAAACCCACGGCTGTCTGTGCTCACTCCCTCCTTGGAGCCCCAGGGCACTTGGTCTGTGCTGCTGTCTTGGCACTTATTCCATTCCTCCTTATGTTGAGGGTATTAGTGAATTTGTCTAATCTTGCCTCCTAGTCTGTGAGCAGTTTGAGGATAGGGCCTGTGTCATTCACATTCTATATTCCCGACAGTGCCTGGCGTGTGGTTGGTCTCCAGGAATTACTGTTATTGAACTGGCTTAAGGACAATTCTACACATGGGGAGGATTTCAGCTACAATCAATGAAAAAGAGATCTTTTGCTCCAGAAAGGAGCCCATGCAGTCCTGAGCCTCTATCTGAAAAGTACATTATTGTGCCTTGAGACATTTTTCAAATCAAAGGTAGCAAACTGATGATCCAGAGATCCCACATGGCCTGCATACATGTTCTGTTTGACAAACAATCTTATTTTTAAAAAATTGTCAACAACATTTAACATTTGAGGGAGTTCACATAAAAATCCATATTTCTATATTTTCTTGAAAAACAGAAAGTCAGATCTCACATACTGGTCACTTATTCCTCTCTGATAATTTTCCACTTAACCACTCCCTGCTTAACCCACTGTACTCAGACCCTACAAGGACTGGGCTCACTTTATTTTTCCTCCCTCAAATCAGATGTGCATAGAGCCTGTGCACCTTCAACAATTACAATGATCCCACCTCTGCCATTTATGAAGCTCATATTGCCTATTTTTAGGTCATACAGATTTCAGTAACTCTAACAGTGATTGTTTTGCCCTGCTAGTTTCTGTACCATCTATCACACTCCCAAGAGTGCATCTGTGTTCAGAAAAAAAAAAAATGATTTAAACCATTTTTCAGGGGGTGTGATGGCAGCTCCAGGTCTATTGTCACTTTACCTGCAAGTGCAGTTTTCAGACATTAGAGAATTAGTTAAGGGACCCAGGGTGTCAGGGCAAGAGGCATATTGTGGAAAGTAGAGGAGGAGATCCTTGAAAAGGAGTAAAGAGAGTGAGAACTATCTGATACTGAATGCTAACATTTCATTTCACATCCATAGCGCCTTTTGTGTGAAGATTTCCAAGTAGATTTTAGGGAGTAATTGAGCATCACAGTACTTGATGAGAAGGGGAAGTGTTAAATTCATTTTCTGATACAGGAAACTGAGGCACTGTTTGTTCACAATTGTAAGAGAATTGGTAGTTTAACTTAATTATCCTCATTTCTGGCGTTTCCCTTAATCACTCATTCTTATGCTTTGGTTTCAAGGGTAATTTATGTTAGATCAATTTGGACTCATAGAATTTAATCAATACCATCTGCAACTCATAGACTCTCCTTGTCTAAAACTAAATTTTCAGAAAAATGTAAGGACTAACAGAGCATAAACAAAATATGGAATCAGATGGGCTACTCTTCGACTTGCAGGCAAATACCAGTACTTCAAAATCTCCATATTCCGTTTTTAATAGTCCCTCCCTGTTCTCTCAGATCACCTCCTCACACCTCCTCACACCAGTTAAAGACTAGTGTGAAAAGAGTTGCTTGGGTTCAGTATTTATTTTAAAGTCTCATACTTGAAACATCTGAAGGGAGACTTCTAACTTCTTTGACCCATGAGAAGTTTGAGTTAAAAAAAAAAAAGATTTTGTTAGCTAAATCAACATTTCAAGTGTCTGGCAAGTGCTTTCAATTTATAAAACACCACCACGCTGCCTTTTACTGTTAAACCCATTACTCTAATCCACTTTAAATGAAGCATTATGAGGCACCAATTTAGTATCATGTCTTAGCGAATACAGCAAGTCCTAACTGTAGGTATTTATGGTATTTTGAGTAGGATCTGGTCATTATATATTCTTTGTAATAATCATTAGTGATCAAAATCACCTCTCCTGAAACATTATCTCCCCAAGGCCATCCCCACTAACCAAGTAACTAAAAACAAGTGGAGAATGCAGGATTGAAATATTAAATCATAGGTTGCTTTACCAAGTACATGAGCCAACCTTTGACCCCTGAAAGATGGGATTAAATACCACTTGGATAAAGGTAATTGAAGAAACCTCTCCTATGCATTTTTGGAACTAAAGAAAAGAAAGTGAGTGCGTAGGCTTACCTAGAAATCATTGTTGTAGGGAGGAAAACATACAAACAATGTTTATTTGTCTATCAGGTCCCCTCCATAGGATCTTGATATCAGCAGATGTTTTCCCCAACTTTATTTAGATATTCGGATGCTCCAAGTCTGCTCTAGGTGAGCAAATCAAATTTGTACCACGTTAAGCCTGGGAAAATTGTTAGCCATCATCTCCCGTGGGGTGTGGATAAATGTTCTCCCACAGCCTCAGCACTTTCTGATTTGTCCCATTAGAGCTCTTGGCCTCTGCTTCTTACCCAGCACGTCGGCTTTTACCACCATTGGCTCACACCACAGGATCATCAGCTTGTTCTGTCTGTCAGCTCTTCTTGTAGCCAGGTGACCTGCCCTGGATCATTTCACGTTCTGTATTTTTCTAAATTACATTGTTCTCTGGAGTCTGTTGCCCAACTAAAAAAGTCACATTTTCGTTCTCTGTTAGTTACTCAAAGTATCAATCATTCTGTAACCACCTGTACTACCGTTAACCTTCTTCCTGTCTTCCAAATCAAAACCCATTTGTCACTTCCATATGTCAACACCAGCCACATGCATTGATTAAGTGTCTTTCATTTGTAAGCACATGCAGTCCTGGCTATCCTGCCTATGTCTGAATGCCTCCCATATGCTCCCGATGCAAGCCTAATTCTTCTGTTCCCTTCCTCTGGAAAGTCATTCTTCATTGTAATAAGTTGCCCAAAGTAAATGTATTCATCATCTTTTTCTCTGACAACCATGTTTCTCCACTACGGGAAATTAAACACTACAACATATGGCCTGAGCAGCAAACTTTAGTGCTTGCTCGCTCAATTGTTTTAACACATTGCCGCCTTTACATAATATTCTGTTTGCCACTAGCATGTCAGGCTTCCGCTTGACATATGCATTAGACATGTTAATGGCAAGACAGAAACCAACTGAAGCTGACAATATGACGAAAGAAGGGTAAGTGCCTATTAATTACTAAAATTCACTTTTTTCCTCTATTTAGCAAGAGAAAAAAAGCAAATTAATGCCTTCAGAACATGCCACCACATTAGCCTGCTGTGGTGCCATCTGAGAGATTTTTAAAATCCTAAGTACTATGAAGAGCTTTGTGTAGATTTAGCAAGGCCAGTATAAATGACACTGATGCTCTCTCCATTGTCATGGACCCCACTCGTCTGCTCTTTGTGATTCCCCCAATCACAACGCATTCAGTGGGCATGCTGTAGACGCTGAATTGCTTATGTAGTCATCCAATCCTGGTATATGTCCCAGGATTCTTCTATTAGTTAAGCACATAAACTGCTCTGAAAGTATATTCTAAATGCTACACATTGCTGGGTCTCGGCTGTAATCTTAGCACTTTGTGGGAGGATCGCTTGAGCCCAGGAGTGTGAGGTTACAATGAACCATAATCACACCACAGCAGGCTGGGGAATGCAGTGAGATCTTGTCTCTAAGAAATAAAATAAAATAAAAAATAAAATGAATGTTACCCATTTAGAACACAATTTTCTTCTGGGTTATGGCTTCAGAGATTAGATTATTTCATCAACTATAAATCTTTGGGCTTCTATTGTGAATCTACTGACTCTGAATTCATGTTTTAGCTAAGTAATCTTGATCTCAGAATCAGTAAAAGTAAGTTACCAAATTCTGTTTTTTTAGATCTTCATTTTTCTAATTAATCCCCTATAATTTTCAGTGCATCTACTTATGATTTGTGTATGTTCCTAAACAACAAAAAAAAGAAGTTTAAAAGTTATTCAGTGGATACTATATTGACTGTTCTTTTCTACACTGAATTTTTTTTACATAAATAGAGCTATATTTGAGTCACATGTTATATTTGATCCTGGAGGACATCCAACAGCAAGTTTTCTAGAATCCCTGAGTCTGATTCATCTCTATCTTTACAACATTTCCCGAGATCTCAGGAGTCCATGGCTCCCAAGGTCATTCCCCTTATGAATAACAGTATCACCTTGAACTCAGTGTCAGCCAATAGTTACCCAAAGCTTAATTGGAAGAAACAATTTATGGAAGTGTCCTGGTGTCCACTCATGCCTCTGACTCTTTAAAAATCTATCTTGAGATTAAGCTAGATGTCAGAAAGTTGTTCCCTAAGACCTCATCAAATTGGTCCTCTGTTGGATTGCTTTAACATTAAGTTCAATGTCACCAGCCTAAAAGGAGGGGCGTTATCAGAAGCAGACTTGTGAAGCTCATTGTATCATCTATGAGGATGTTGTTGAAGGTATTATCAACTAGATTGCACAATGTCTCCTCTTTGAGGACCTATGTGACTAGTTTCTTTCAGGCTTCAGTGCCAGGAATAGCTAGGCCACTCCTGATCACCTAGTTTTATCTTATAAAGTGTAGGAGGATTGAATTCCACTTTATACATTGCCTATTAAAGAGCTTGGAGCAAGTTAGTAGTACCTCATGACATATGTTTGTGCTCCAGCCTCTTTGATAGTGTTATCTTTTTCCCCCCAACTGCTCTTATTTTCTTATTTCTCTTATTTCCTCAACTATTTATTTCTAATTGAATTGCACATTATGATACATACACATAAATTACAAAGAAACAAATATAGACACAAAAACTAGACTTTAGAAAGTTTACACTTATGCATATTTATAGATGTATTTCTTTTTAAACACATTTCAAAATATACCATTCAGCAGGGAAAAAAAATACATGGTGTTTGGCACTACACAACACCAGTATGAAAATTTTCTGTATCTTACAGAGAAAATACAGTTTATCTCTCGAGTAGGAAGCTATAAAACAAATACAGGAATGTATGCATACTCTGCATTTACAGATCCACACAAACAATTGCATGTAAAAGCACTTAAGGGTTAGGAAGCCACTGAGAAAAAAGCCAGGAAACTAACTTTAGATCATCTTGTTCTACCAGTCTGCAAATGACTATAATAACACCGTTAATATTTCCAGAATAAAGAGTTATAATATCATGGAGTTTCGATATCATCAAAATCTATATTCATTCATTCATTCCATAAACATATATGAAACAATGCATTAGGCACAAGGGATACTTGGATGAATGAGACACAGCTTACTGCAATAGGAAATATGTAGGATATACATGAGAAGCATCCTTCAGTGTTCATTATGTCTTTGAAACATCCAGGTAGATATTGAAGTAGAACAGAATATTCTCAACATCATAGTTCAACCTAGTCTTTTATAGATACAAAAAGATGTTGGTTGTCTCAGGGCAGCTCATCTTGCTGGGTAAGGAACATGTTCCTGGGGTGAAGAATGGATACTGGAAACTGTGCTCCTTTTCAAGGCAGCACTGAATAGGTGAATTAATTCACTAAATGACATTCCTGTGGCTGCCAAAGCTAATGCTACCCAAACAGTAGTTTATCATCTTGAAACCATCGCTGTCATCGTTTTCTTCTCTTTTCATTTGCCTATATCTTTCAAGTAACTTTAAAGTAAGTCACCAAGTGAACATTTTCTGATATTGTAATAATTATGCGGACCTAAGAGACAGAAAAATTTTGCCCTGAGCCATGAGAATGCTCAGAAAATGTAGACTTCTGTTTGAGAATCGTGATTCCAAAGCCATTTACTTTGATTAAAGTACATCCTAAGGTTTCCAGGTAATATTGGCAGCCAAGGGTCCTTTGTTTATTTCAATATTTAAGTAGGACCAAGGAAGAAACTAGTCTATAAAATTAAGTGAGTTGAAAGATCAAAGTTATTGAGTTGAACTGCACCTGGATCAAGATGACAGTAAGTTTAGTCTTCAAACACAGATATAACAACCTTTATATGGCATGCCAATTAGGTTACGGTTCAACTGCATCCTGAATTATCAACTGCTGGATCAAGGGAGACCCTGATCACAAACATTGTAATAATTCAATTTTGAGGCCACTAAGGTTTGGGACTTTTCTGAGAAGTCTGATAAGAGTCTATTTGGTTTGTTTTTCTGCTGTACATAGTATGCTTTTTGGGGAAAGCTTGGTACAGTTACCCAATGAGTAGAAAAATGGATTTATAAGTCAGGAGGCCGCAAATATCTTCCCTTCACAAAGCTAATTAAAATATCTTCCCTTCACAAAGCTAACTAAAATATCTTCCCTTCACAAAGCTAACTAAAATATCTTCCCTTCACAAAGCTAACTGGCTCTCTAAAGGATTGAGCATTTACGATCTTAATGCCTGAAATCTAAGGAATGTGAAAAATAATGGACAGGTATGTGGAATGACTGCTGTCAAACCCGATTTCTACTAGAGCTTCTTGTTTCTGTTATTTTTATCTGGTTTCAGAAATGCAGTGTCGCCACTACATTCCTAGCATTGACCAGAAGTGGAGACTGCAGCACTTCACCAGGCTCATACATTACAAATGCTTCCTCCTTGTTTCTTTTCTTTGCCCCACCCTGACCTGTACCTGCTGTGGTGGACATGCCTACTCACTCACCAAGATTTATAATTTTCCTCTCCTCTGGGAGTATCTCATGACTTGTTTTGGCCAGTCAATGTAAACAAAAGTACTTAAGAATTGGTGTGCAATTGTCTAACTTCTCTCTTGTGGCCATGTTGATAGGCAGCTGTCTCAAAAGCAAAGTAGTCTGGAATGGTGAGCTGTCAATATGAAGGAGGAGAGCTTCCTGTAGAGTTGCCCAGACCCACAGCATACTTCGTGTGAGTCAGAAATGAACTTTTTCATTGTGTTAAGCCACTAGAAATGTTGGTGCTATTTGTTACCTCAGCAAAAACTGACTATTCTGTCTAATACATCCTATAATTTTCTGTTCATCTATTCCCTAACCAGTTCCCACACATGAGTCCCATAAAAGATTTAAGGACATTCCTCACGAGAAAGAAAACATAGAAATCAGACGTGGGGTCTTAACTTGCCCTTCTACTGATGGACATAAGCACCATGTCCTAGCACGATTGTCTGAATCACAAATCTTGAATGATATAAGCTCCAGGACAGAGCCATCTTTCTGAATACTATATTTAGTCCTTCAGATAGTCAGTCAACACATATTAATAAGAAACCACTACAAGGCAGGAACTGTACTAAATACTGACAACACAGAAATAAACAAAAAAGAAAAAAAACAAAGGCCATGCTTTCATCAAGCTTCTGATTTAGTAGTGGGATGTAGATCTAGCACACACACAGGCACATACCACACACACACACACCCCCCATAGAGAGACAGAACAAATGTGTTAACGCAGCGCTATAAAGAAAATGAAGAGGAAAATATGAGAGTAAATGATGGGAATGGAGGATACTGTTTTATGTAAGGCTTTTCTGAGGAAATTATAGGCAGGCAGATATCTAAATGACAAGGAAGTTAGCAATGCGAAAACTTGGGAGAAGAGGCTTCAGACGGAAGGAAGAAAAATGCAAAAGCTCTGAAATGGGAATAAGATTGGCATGTTAGAGAACCCAAAAAGAAGGCTGCTGTGGATATAACAGAGCAAGAATGAAAGTAGGTGCAAAAGCTGCAGTCAGAGGGGAACAAAGGAACCAAATCCTATAGCACCTTGAAGGCTTAATAAAGGGTTTTAAATTTACCGCAACAAAAATCCCTAGGATGTTTTAAACTGAGAGGTGACTTACTATGACCTATTTTAAAAATTCACTCTAGCATCCATGTAGAAAATGGATGATGGGTGGAAAGAGTGAAAAAACTGAGCAATCAGTTAGAAGGTACTGCAATTATTCAAGCAGTAGAGATGAAGAGGTACATGGTATAATGATTTGAGATATACGTCAATGGCTACCAAACTTATCTGCACATTACAATCAACTAGGGTGGAGATTTTGTAAATTTTCCAAAACCCAAGCCATACCCCAGACCAATAAAATCACAGTCACTGAGAGTGGGACACAGGTATCAATTTTTAAGGCTCCCCAGGTGATTTCAACATGCAGACAATTTTGGCAACCACTGATACATGGTATTTTGAAGACATATCTCACAGAACTTACTAACAGACTGAATGGGAGGAGGAGAGGTACGTGAAAAGAACTGATGAAGCTGCCTAGGTTTATGAAATGAGCAATTGAATGGACGTTGCACTAGTGACCAAAAGTGGGAAGACCTAGTGAGGTATAGGTTTGGGGTAGGGGACATTAGAATCAGGAGTCCAGTTTTAGATGAGGAAATTTTTGAGATGCTTGTTAGGCATTTTGTATTATATATTTTATATAAGTTGACATTATGCAGGCAAGGGAAAGATTATGGCTAGATACATAAATCTTGTAGATATCAGTATAGAGATAGCATTGAATCATGGAACAAGAGGAAACTACCTAGGGAGTGAGTACAGCCTGAAAAAAGAAGAGTGCTCAAAGGATCTAGAAGTTGGCAACAACCTGAAGTCTGAATCTGCTGATCACCTTCCTAGTCATGCCTTGATCCCTTGCTCTTGAAGGAGAAGAGTGACTTCCTTTCGGGGTCTCACACGTGGGCTTCACATTACCTCTTTCTTTACTCAGGCTACTGTAGCCAGGTCTCAAGATATGCCCTTCTGTCGTTGTTCCCTAAGGCCCTCTAGTCAGTCTTGAGATCTCTTGGGGTCTGGCTCTGCCACTTTCCAGTTATAAAGACCATAACGCCCACTTCCCAGAGTCGTATATAAAAGTGTCTAAATGAGAACATGCTGACACCAGGCACTATGCTGGGTAAGCTGAACAGTGCACAAGCCCAACTTTCTTAGTACATCACAGCTGCCTCTCTTTTGACACCTTGATGTGCAAAATAGATGATTCCAAGGCACACAAAATTATGTTGTCCCTGCCTTATTGTGCTATGTTCCTTTACAGGATTTATTTCTAGAGCTTCTATATAGTAAAGTTAGTGCTGCCATTTTATCCCTTTGAATCAATGAAGTCCTACTGCAGAGTAGTAAAAAGAAAGGTCCTGAAATCAACCTACCTGAATTTGAATCAGCTATGCACATGCCTATTATTAGCTCTGTGACCTTGGGAAAGTTCTTCACATCTTCTCCAAACCTCAGTTTTCTCGCTTGGAACAAAGGGATGACAACCAGTAATACCTAAATCTGAGAGTTATTTTAAGAATTAAACAGGCTGATGTAAAATGCCTGGACAAGGTACCGTGCATAGTATAAGCACTCCATAAATGTTTGCTGTGCTATGAGTGCATACTCAGCTCATCCATGGCCGCTGCCCTCTTTGGGCCCAGGAGAGCCTTGATTCTTGGGCTTGCTCTTAAACTGTTATTCGCTTCAGTCCCTCACATAGGTCCTTCTCTAGGCTTTTGACTCTGCTATTAATATTTTCTTAGTTTTCCTACTGAAGCTGCTGCACACAACCACTCTCCTCACCCCTGTGCTTGGCTACAAATGCAGAATTTGTCACAAAGCCTTCCATCCGCTGAAGTGACCACTGTTACCATTTTTCACTCGTTGGATTCAGCTTACCAGCTGCATCCATTTCCTACATTTAAACTAATGAATCCATCAGCTATAGTTTCCCCCAAGGTGACTTTTCAAGGTTACCTTATTACAACACAATATCTTTAATCATATTTAATCATACATTGAGATAGAAATACAAATAACTCCCACCTGACTAGAAAGGGATCTTTTTCCATATTATGCACAGCTGTTTAAGTGTCTTCCTCGAAAAGCAATAAACAGAGTATCCTTAGTAGCTTGAATACTGGTAGTATTATGGGATGTGAGTGTTTAGGGAACTTAGAGGTAAATCAAGAAGTTATTGATTTTCTTTAATTGGTTGAATGATTTAATAATCTATACTCTTGAGACCATGTTAGTGATCAAATTTTCTACTACAAAAAGTTCAGCTTGTTTAAGTGTTACTTCAACTTTTGAGGGGAGAGAGACAAAGTGAAAAAATATTTTTAAAATTCATTCAGAGGGAAAAGTTAGTGAACATATTTTATAGTTTCCTTTTGGAAACTGTTCCTCTCAGGACTGTGGAAGTACAAGAGGCTTTTTGAGGACGCACTGAGATCTTTGCAATTTTCCAGCAAAAAGTCCCTTATGATCCTCATCAATTACAGAGAAAATCCCAGTGTGGGCCAAATAATCTAAAACTGATCTTTACAATTCCACATTCACTGTGGATGTGGAAGGCTCAGAAGTCTTGCCCACATTCCAGCTTTCTCAAGCCCAGTCTATGAATCAGAGGACAGGAGATTAGCTACACATGTTCTCCATCAGCATAATCATGCTGGTGAGATGCCTGGACATCATCATATGAGATCTGGTTAATAAAAACTGGTGTGATAAAAATAAACAGTAAAGTGATATTTTGGTTTTCAGTCCAGCCTTTCAATCTGTATGTGGGAGAGAGCATCCACAGGGCTCTTTCTCCCCATAACATGCATGCATAACTTCCATTAGCATCAGTGAGAGGAACATGTGCACACGGAGGAAGATTCGAGACCCCACAGTGAGCCATAAGTGAACATAATTTCTGGCAACTTGTGAGATGAGAGCATGGGGCTATTCTGATTACCCAACTTGGAGAAAAATGATAGAATGAGGATCGCTTTGCAGGACTCATTCATATGTATGTATGTACTTACATGATAAGTGCCCAGGAAGACCTGCATGTAGTGCATGTAAAATAGAAGGGACAAAATGAATGTGCAATGAGGAAAGGAGGGGTGTGTGTGTGTGTGTGTGTGTGTGTGTGTGTGTGTTATGCATTAATACAGTGCAAGATTATGAGTTTATGTACAAAAAGCAAAGACAGAAATTAACATGTTCTAACCATAAAATTATTGGATTTGACCAAGCAAAGCTATTACTTGCAAGTCTCTTTTATCTGTTCCAGAAAGAGTATGTTGGGATCAGGACGCACTTTAGACTCAATAAAAACTGAGCCCGTGGATCCTCTGGTCAAGATTGGATCCAGTGGGTAAACAGCCACTGAAATGGTTATAGTCTGTAGGAGCCCTTTTCTTCTTGCATTTAATCATGGCAGGCACTTACAAAGTAACATTTTCATTTGTGTTTTCTCTACACGATCACGATGCTAACCAATAAGGCTACTAACAGTTACGAGGTCATGCTGTTATTTTCAAATTAGAAAACACTTCATGAGCAGCCTTGACAGCCATGCTCTATCAAGGGAAAGAAAAATCAGCTCCTGGTTTGAGGAAGACGCGTGCAGACCTCCATTGTTGGAGGCCCTGGCATGTGGCAGCATGCGGCTTCTTAGCTAATGACAAGAGTCTTTCTATGTCTGCAGCCCATGTTGTAAAATTGGTCTGCCTGCACATAGGAGCATTCCGCAGCATTGTGGAATATGGGTGACCTTTTGGAAGTGTTTTTGATCTTGGGCTCAATGATCAATTTTGACACAAGTCAAGAAAAAAAAATGTTATACCTATATGCTCAACAGTGACTTACTGTTTCCATGCAGGGTAATGTATTTCTGGTAGGGACACTCAGAAGCTGCCTCTTCAATAATGGTGTTCTCTAATTTGACAGTGTTGGAGATTATTTAAAGGAAACATCTTATCTGTTTTCCTTTGTGGTAGTTTGGGGAGAAGGCAATAGAAGTAAAAGAAAGTTTTCTGTGTATTTGCTATGTGCTGGGCTCTGCTAGGCACTTTATATACATTCTGTAACTCATCCTTAAAACAACCCTATGTGGTAAGTGCTGTATCACTAATCAACAGATGAGGAGATTGAGGTCTCAGGATATGAAGCAACTTGCCCAAGATCACACAGCTAGGAAGTGCCAGATTATGACCCAATGACTCTGCCACAAAACTCATGGTCTTCCAACCCTACTCTGCTGTTTCTGTAATAGAGGCAGGATTCTTCTTTGCTTGAGAGGAGAGAAAGTAAATGCAGCCGTGGGTAGTATGAACAGAATGTGAAATGCCCACATCAGGAGGAAATCCTTTTACTGTCCCAGCATTAGTGAGCATGGCAGGCGCTGTCCCCGATTGGCCCCTAACCCTTCAGGTGTCTTTCCATTTTTAAGTACACCAGCTCCCAATTGCCGGCACCTGCATCTCTTTGGGGGCTGCCCTTAGGCTGAATGAGCCTGCTTTGTGCACATGGACAGCTCAAAGTGCTTGGAAATTTATGTCCCCATTGGGGCAATCCTTAACCAATGACTGACAGGTCTGGAGATACAAATACCTGCTTGCTTCTCCCTGATCAGGACACCCTAGGGGTTACCCACACTGATGCGAGGGTGCCCCCTGCTGGATTGAGTCAAAATTATTCTCGCGAGGCTTTCTTTGGCCTCCTTGCCTTCGAGGTACCACCTATTTTCCTACATTCTGCCTTATATACTGAAGTATTGGGAATAATTTCACTGGTAGAAAAGGAGACTAATAGGTGGCTTAAATTCATGTAATTGAAAACAGTTGCTATGATCAGGAACACACTAAGTTTTCGCGATTCCAATTTCTATAGACTACCTATCAAAACAAATGAACCACATAGGGATGAAAATCACAACTAAATACAAGGAAGTCTTCTTGATTGTAAAGGTGTCTAAATACGAAGCTGCCTCTCCCATCCTTAAAGATATTTCAGAAGGAGGCAGGTGCGGTAGCTCATGCCTGTAATCCCAGTACTTTGGGAGGCCAAGGCAGGTGGATCACCTGAGGTCAGGAGTTAGAGACCAGCCTGGCCAACATGGCGAAACACCATCTCTACCAAAAAATACAAAATTAGCTGGGTGTGGTGGCATGCACCTGTAACCCCAGTTACACGGGAGGCTGAGGCAGGAGAATGGCTTGAATCTGGGAGGTTGCAGTGAGCCAAGATCGTGCCATTGCACCCTAGCCTGGGTGACAGAGCAAGACTTCATCTAAAAAAAAAAAAAAAAAGATATTTCAAAAGGAAATGGATAGCTATCTAGATTGCTACAAGGCAGTATTATACCATGATTGAGACAATGGGTTTTGCTTTCAGGTGAACCTGGGATTGAGTGCTACATTTTTCCATGAGCTGCCTGATAACCTCTCTATGCCTCAGTTTCTTCAGCTGTAAAATGGGGATACAGTGAGACTTATCTGTTGTTGAGAAGCTTCCATGAGATTTAATGCAGTTAGGTTTCCTATCATATAGGAAGGTAGCCATTATTATTGTCTTTTATATTTCTAGAAGCAGAATGGTCTCTTGAGATTCTTTTCATGTCTGTCATTATATGCCTCTTCCTATCTTTATTAAAAGCCTGACACTGAAAGTGGGATCCTGGATGCATAGTTGCTGGGGAGAAAAAGAACTCAGGAGAGGTAGAGGAGGTACCCCACCATCACTTTCCAGGAAGAGTGAAGAGTTTTATGGATATGTGCATTACCATTGCCAGCTGCTGATTCTAAAGATTATCCTTTCAACTAAGTTTCACAACAGAAGATGCAGGTAGGTGCAGTGGCTCACACCTGTAATTCCAGCACTTTGAGGGGGTGCACAGCAGGAAGATCACTTAAGCTGAGGAGTTTGAGGCTGCAGTGAGCTATGATTGCACCACTGCACTCCAGCCTGGGCAACAGAGCGAGACTGTCTCAAAAAAAAAAAAAGTCATTTATTGAATTTTTACTATGTGCCAACCACTGTGCTAAGTACTTTATATATTCAACCTTATTTAACCCTCACAACCATCATTTTAAGTGGCCATTATCCCCATTTATAGAGGAGGACACTGAAGCTCAAAGAAGTTAAATAACTTTCCCAAGATCAAGTGGTGGGCCAGGTCTAGACCCAGGTCTCCATGACTCCAAACCTTCATTCGACGTAGAATTTCAGAGAACTTGCCTCTGGTAAATTTTAATTCCTCTACCCCTATAAGAACTTGTGCTTGGATGATGGACCATGCATATCAATATATGAACGTGAACTTCATCTTGCATAGTAACAGTTATTCAAAAGAGAAGTCTAGACTTTAACAAGGTCACTGTAATCAAGAGATAATTTCTACCTAAGTGTAATCTTCTACAACGAAGGCACTACCCTAGCTTATTGACACAACCCCCTAACCTTGGAAGAGTACACTTAGCCAACAAAAGAAAAGTCAACCAGCATTTCCAAATTATCATTTTGGACTCTATTAAGTCATTTCAGATGTCCACTAGGAACAAGCCCTCCGGCCGTCTGGCTGCATGCAGTTCTTGAATTTTTGCAGACTACTAGGGGATGCCTGATAGTCAGACATGGAAATGTTTCCTAGGGCTTTGCAATTTTCCCAGCAGTCCTCCAACCTAATTGGCCTTGAAAGAAATCATAAAAGGTCCACAGGGGCACTCCAAGATGGACCACACCCACCCCCAAAAAAACATATCCACGCCGGGGCTAGCAAGGAGGGTAAGAGGACAGCCAGATGATGCTGTCACAGACTGTTACCACCACTGATTCGGTTTTAGCCTCCCACTAAAGTTCTAGAAACCTTGTGCAAGGGTGAGCACTTGCCCTTGTTTAGTACAGAAGCCAGGCATTTCTCTACTGATTTCTTTTTTAGACCAGCAATTTCCATAGGACCCACTGTGAGCCTAACGCAATTTGCACTAAAAAGAAAATAATTCTTGTGAAAGAAGCTATATTCCATTCAAATGTCATCTGAGTAATAATGGTGGAGGGTTTGGGGAGAAGTAAAGCCTGAATTTGTACTGGAAGTAAGTTAGGGGCAGGGTTTTTTTAGTCTTTCCGTTAAGACAAAGAACTAGTATTAAGACAAGTACAGTCAAATTCCCTGCCCTGTCAGGAATCCATTCTTTTTTATTATGCCATACGCGTAGCTTGAGGTTATATTGGAATGCATAAATCTCTTGTGAGCCACAAAACGTCAAGCTGCCGTTGTCCTCATAATTTCATTATCTCAGTTTCTGCCCTAAAACGTTTAACACTAATTGAACACCCGAGTTTTTCCTGTGAAGTTTATTTTCTGAACATTATTGAAGTGCTGTTGATAAAAGTCAGAATTTATGGAGTCAGCACTCCTTAAAATGCCATGATAGATTTGCTCAGGAATATTTTTTTAAAAGCAGGAATATTTTTATGACTTTGCCTGGAATTTCAAAGTATTTCAATCATTCTACATTATAAAGCTGTCTATTTCAAGGTGCATTTTCCAAGAAGCAAATTACTTTGCTGTACTCAGCCTGTTCATCTACGGTTCAGATTGGACATACTTGGCTATCAGATTTATCTCACATTTCAGGTTGTCTCTTGATGTTTATTTTGGTCCTGATTAAAAATACCTGACTTCTTCCCATTCACCCTTATTCTCCGTGCTCCAGTTCAGGCTGCCCAGAATAATGTAAATATTGACAGTCATTTCACTAATGAGAGTTCATTCTTTTTCTCTGAAAGAAATGCATTTCCATGACTCAAAGTTATCAAGCATCCTTTAGTCCTTTAAGAGAAAGAACTGTTTCCTGTAAGTTAAAAATAAAATCATAATAAAAAGAAGCCATGTGTTAAATCTATCTCTTGGATATTGTTTGCATTTCAATTAATTTCACATGTCTGTCAGAAAGTAATTTAGTTCAAAAATGAGCTATGATTGGTGTCTCATATGGATTTTGTGTTAATATTTATGCATATGTATGCATGCACAAATTACACACACACACAAACACACACAACTTATGGTATACCATTCAGGTGTGGAATCTTTACAAAGCATACGACTGCATCTTGGCTTCCAAAAATGAAGCAAAAACTTAGAGGTAAATGTCCATTTCCCATTTAAAAGAAGTTAAGTTGTTCCCGGTTACTATAGTAACTGCCAACATACTAGCATTTTTCTGTCATTATTATACTTGAAAAAGCAAACAATCTGTTTTAAATTCTAAAGCATGGAGAGGACTGTGCCTCTAAAATAGGTCCCTACCTGGCTGAGGAGGAGGCACAACAGATATTTGCCACACTTGGGATTGGGGCTCCACTTTCCTAGACTGAAATATAGTTTCTGAAGGGCTAAGCAAGGGTAAGTTGTTTATGCTGTTGCAGGAACCACAGTGATGGGAAAGAAAAATGATATGGTATTTCCATCCCGGGCCTTAAAATAAGTAAAAAAAATTTCAAAACTGCTTTCACACGGTGAAACGTAACTAAATGTGATTTTTTTCGTATTCTAGGAGCACAGTCCATGTGTCTCACTGTACATATTCAGTCTCTGCCCTTTATTACCATTTACCACCATCATCTGCAAGGGATAATTTATTTTATTCATAAAAGAAAAGACTTTCTCTTCCTTTCAATGAATTCTCCCTCTATTCGCTTTTTTCCCGTTTAAAACCTTTCCTTTTGCACAGAAAGAAAGCTGAAAATAAATAACCCAAAATATTAACAATGGGGGGATGCCAAATGAATTTAACTTTATATTTCAATGTTAAAAATACATTTTCTACAATAAATTAATATTCTTTTATAATCTGAAAAAAACATAAAAAGTGAGATAATGAAAAAAATACACAATCACCTGTAAATTCAAAAGATTTTCTAACAGAAATAAAATAATCTCTATATAACCCAAACATAATCAAAACACCGAATATCAAAATTTATATGCTACTGCTGAAAGGTTCTTAAAGGGATATTTATCATCTTATTCTTTATATTGGAACATAAAAAGTGGAAATTAATGAGCTAGGAATCAATTTTTTTAAGGATGAGTATTGATAAAGGAGATCCATATTTTAAAAGGATTTTCTTTTTTTATGAGTACAGGATACCTTGTTTTATTGTACTTTATTGTGCTTCACAGATATTGTGTTTTTTACAGATTGAAGGTTTGTGGCAACCTTGTGTCAAGTAAGCCTCTTAGTGCCATTTTTTCCAACAGTATATGCTCATTTCTTCAGCATTTTTAACAATAAAGCATCTTTAAAAACTAATGCATAATATATGTACATATTTGGGGGGTACATGTGATTTTTTTTTTGGAGTACCTAAATTTTTTTTAATTTTATTTTTCCATAAGTTATTGGGGTACAGGTAGCATTTGGTTACAACATGAGTAAGGTCTTGGTTTTTTTTTTTGTTTTTTTTTTTTTGAGACAGAGTCTCACTCTGCCACCAGGCTGGAGTGCAGTGGCGCGATCTTGGCTCACTGCAACCTCCGCCTCCCGGGTTCAAGCGATTCTCCTGCCTCAGCCTCCTGAATAGCTGGAGACTACAGGCACGTGCCACCACACCCAGCTAATTTTTGTATTTTTAGTAAAGATGGGATTTCACCATGTTGGCCAGGATGGTCTCAATCTCTCGACCTCATGATCCACCCATCTCAGCCTCCCAAAGTGTACATGAGTAAGTTTTTTAGTGGTAATTTGTGAGATTTTGGTGTACCCCTCACCTGAGCATTATATACTGCACCATATTTGTAGTCTAAAAAGATTTTATGTTGTGAGATTTTTCTCTTGGCATTTTCTTGCACACAATAAGTGAAACGCTGTGCATGAAGGCTTTCTCTCTAGCAGAGTTCTCTATATGTCCTAGGAATAATGGGCAACTAAAGACTTTCCTATGTTTTGCATATTTATAGGGTCTCTCCATAGCCTGAGATCTCACATGTTACCTAAGATTTGAAAATGACTTATGGATAAATTCCAACTCTACAGTCATATAATTTATCTACAGAGTGACCTCTCACATGTACAATAACAAATAAGCAATTAGTGAAGGCTCTCCCTCGTGTGTTTTCTCTAGTGTGAATTCTCACATGTCTTAAGGTATATAGTACAACAAAATCTTGGTCATATTCGTTAAATCTTGACAGTTTGTCTCCATTGTGTGTTCTCACTTGTAAATTTTAAAAACTCATTAAGGATCTTTCTACAATTTTTACATTCATAAGCCTTCTCTCCACTGTGAAGCCTGAATTGTTGTGAAAGGACTATGTATTAGTTACCTATTGTCACATAGCAAATGACCACACACTTATCAGCTTAAAACAACATACGTTTATTATCTCACAGTTTCTGTGGGTCAAGAATCTGAGCGTGACTTATTGGGTCCTCTGCTTCATGGCCTCTCAAAGCCTGCCTCAAGATATCACAGGGCTGGGGTCTCATCTGCAAGCTCAACCGAGGAAGAATCTGCTTGTAAACTCACATGGTTGTTGGCAGGATTTAGTTCCTTGCAGATAGGTGGACTGAGAACCTTAGTTCCTTGATAGCTGTTGGCTAGAGGCCACCTTCAGTTGCTTGCCAAATGGACCTCTCCAACATGGAAGCTTGCTTCATCAAAGCCAGCATCAGAGAAAGTCTGCTAGCAAGATGGAAGTCACAATCTTATGCAGCCAAATAATGAAAGTGAAATCCTATCACCTTTGCCATATTCTACTGGTTACAGGCAAATTATTAGGCCAGCCAAAACTCAAGGGAGGGCAATTACCCAACGATGTAAATACCAGGAAGCAGAGATCCTTGGGGGATATCTTAGAGTCTGCCTGCCACATATGAAAAATGACTAAAGCCTTCCCCATATTCTTTATTTACATATATGTTGCACTTTTCCAATGTGACCTCTGACATTTGCCCTAAAAGATCGGGGCAACAGTAGGCTTCCCAGCATTCCTTGCATTTATAGCATTTATCTCCATCATGACTACTTAGAGAAATCCTTAAATATGAGCAACAACAGCAGGCTTGTCCACATTCCTTACAATGATAGAGTTTGTGTGCAGGTGAGATCTGACATGATTCTTAAGGGAGGAATGATCCATAAAGGCTTTTCCACATACACTTTTATAGGCTTTGACCCCAACAGGGGTTCTCTTCAGCACACTAAGGTTTGGAAAATGCCTGAAGTTTTTTCCACACTGATTACATTCATTACTTTTATAGATGCTATCTACATATGGCTTCTCAAATGTCTCTCCTTGTTCTGTGCTGAATTTTAATGACATGATATTCCCAGTTTTCTCCTAAAATGGAGAACCAGGAGTTATTCCTTGTTATTCTTACTACTTTCTGTTCATTGGAATTTTTTTCTTCATGAATATCCTGCTGAACAACTGACTCATGGGTTTTAAGTTGAATCTCACAATCTACTGAGGCCAGATTCCTACAGCATTTTTCCAGCATCACATCTCTGTAGGGGCTCCTTTGAGCAGGAGCCAGGAAAGCCTACTCCTTCTAAGTAAATTTCATAGCCACATCCTCAAACACCATTACGTCCATTTCCTGGCTTAAGCTTCTGGACGTTCCTGTGGGCATAAGCCATGCAGTCCAAACGGGAGAGGGAAAAAGGTGAATTGAGGCCACCTTCAATTTGAAGTCAAATGAGAAAAGCCTGTGCCACTCAGGCTGGCAGAGCAGCTGACAGGCTTTAAAACCTTCCATTACCACTTAGATTTTAAAATGTATCTCTCTCTTTTTTTGTTCTATTCTCCTCCTCTATCAATACCCTTATTAACTCTTATTATTCTTGAGAACTATAGAAAGCTGTTATAGTTAAAGAATTAAGCTAAGACATTTCATCCTTATTTAGTAGGAATCCTTAGCCAAATATGGGATCTGGTTTTTTTGTTTATTTATTTATTTATTTATTTTTGAGATGGACTCTTGCTCTGTCACCCAGGCTGTAGTGCAATGGCATGATCTTGGCTCACTGCAACCTCTGTCTCCCGGGTTCAAGTGATTCTCCTGCCTCAGCCTCCCAAGAAGCTGGGATTAAAGGAACCCGCCACCATGTCTGGCTAATTTTTGTATTTTTAATAGAGATGAGTTTTCACCATGTTGGTTGGGCTGGTCTTGAACTCCTGACCTCAGGTGATCCACCTGCCTCTGCCTCCCAAAGTGCTGGGATTACAGGCATGAGCCACCGCACCTGGCCTGGGATCTGTTTTTGAGAGACCAAATACATAAATGGACAGTAGCCAGACCATCTATGCCAATAGAACTCTGACCCATAACCTCTGCAGACATCATTTCAGGAAGGGAAATCCTAATCTCCGCAACAGTTGGCCCAGAAAAATCAAGACTGGCACATTGACTGCCAGCTGCCCTATTTTTGGTTCCCTCTGCTTCCAACTCAGGATCAACCAGAGAAAGCCAAATATTATCTCCATACCAAATAACATAAAATTTTGTGCTTCTAGCTAGCCAGCCTCCTGCATCCCTATGCTAATGACCTCCAATCAGAACATACCCTAGGGCAGTGGTTCCCATCCAACCTTTTTGGCACCAGGGACCAGTTTCATGGAAGACAATTTTTCCACACACTGGGGGTGGGAAGATGGTTTCTGGATGATTTAAGCACATTACATTTATTGTGCACTTTATTTCTAATATTATTACGTTGTAATACAGAATGAAATAATTATACAACTCACCAGAATATAGAATCAGTGGGAGCTCTGAGCTTCTTTTCCTGCAACTATCTGGGAAGCCCCATATGGGGGTGATGGGAGACAGTGACAGATCATCAGGCATTAGATTCTCATAAGGAGCGCACAACCTAGATCCCTCACATGCACAGTTCACAATAAAGTTCACGCTCCTATGAGAATCTAATGCTGCCACTGATCTGGCAGTAGACAGGGCTCAGGTGGTAATGCAAGCCATGGGGAGCAACTTTAAATACAGTGAAGCTTTGCTCACTCTTGCTCGCCCGCTGCTCACTTCCTGTTGTGCGGCCCAATTCCTAACAGGCCACAGACTACCACCTATCTGTGGTCCAGGGATTGAGGACCCCTGCCCCAGGGGAAATAAATATCTTTTCCTCCAAATTGCTAGGTTCATGGCTGAAATTCTTTTAACAAAAGACAGATTAAAGACAGAAAACCATACAAGTTCATTTAATATAAGTTTTATATGACACAAAAGTCTTCACAAAGAGATAAAAACCCAAAGAAACAAATAAATGTGTATTTTTATGCTTAGGTTTGATGAAGAGTTGAATAGTCACAGAGAAGCATGATTGGACAAAGGGGTTTGTTCTAATGGTAATACACTGCAGGGGGTGAGTCGGGGGACTTAGCAAGGCCTGTTTGTTCAGGTTCTTCTCTGTGTCCCTGTGTCTTCAGAGATAAGGAAGTTTCTTTCTTCCAGGTATGGGGAGGATCCCTCTTGAATTAGGGTCCTATGACTTGCTTCACAGGAGAAGGATGAAAGGAAGGTGAGAGTGGCCCTCCTACGTTCCATGACCTCCTTCTGCTGTTCCCTCAAATGCCAAGGTGCCATATTTTGGGGTAGCATGTCCTGAATTCCATCAATACCTAAAGCCCCTTTTTTCACTGTAAAGCTTTTCCATTCCCCTGACTGCCTGTGAGTCTCTACCAAAATGCAAGTGATGGTCCCTTGCTGTATAGCAAGCTACAAATTAATAGACTATTCTCTCTCTCTTCTTCTCTCTCTCCCTCTTATTTATTTCTGCAATTCCATTCTTTCTTTATTTGTTCATTTCCACAAATTCAAACCCTAGTTGTTCAAAATATTTCAATCTGGGGTATCCCTCACACCTGAAGGAAACACTAAAGTTCAGATTTAGGAAAACTACATTTGCTCTGTAAAGAAATAGAACTCTGTCATTCATATTGTACTACATTCATATCAGACAAAGAAGAAAATTCTTATCAGAAAAAGGAAAAACTGGCCATGCCTGGTGGCTCACGGCTGTAATCCCAGCATTTGGGGAGGCTGAGGCAGGTGGATCACTTGAGGCCAAGAGCTCCAGACCAGCCTGGCCAACATGGCAAAACCCAATCTCTACTAAAGATACAAAAAAATTAACCAGGTGTGGTGAGGCACACCTGTAGTTCCAGCTACTCTGGAGGCTGAGGCACGAGAATCACTTGAGCCCAAGAAGAGGAGGTTGCAGTGAGCCAAGATGGCACCACTGCACTCCAGCCGGGATGACACAGGGAAACTCTGTCAAAAAGAAAGAAAGAAGGAAGGAAGGAAGGAAGGAAGGAAGAAGGAAGGAAGGAAAGAAAGGAAGGAAGGAAGGAAGGAAAGAAAGAAAGAAAGAAAGAAAGAAAGAAAGAAAGAAAGAAAGAAAGAAAGAAAGAAAGAAAGAAGGGAAGGAAGAAAGAAAGAGGGAAGGAAGGAAGGAAGGAAAGAAAGAGAAAGAAAGAGATGGCAAGGAAGAAAGGGAAGAAGGAAGGAAGGAAGGAAGGAAATAGGAAAAGCTCTTTCTCTGCTTTTTTCCCCTGTAACATGTTTATTAAGATATAATTCACATACCATACAATTCCACCCATTTAGAACGAATACTTTCAATGGTTTTCCATATATTCACAGAGTTGTGCAACCATCACCTTATGCGTTGAATTTTAGGTTTCAGGCCTTACAAGGTTTCATGTGTCCCAGATTGAAATACTGTAATAGCTAACATTTATAGAGTGCTTACTATGAGCTAGGCACTGTGCTCAGTGGTTCATGTGTATTGCCCCATGGAGTCCTCTTGGCAAGCTTATGGAGTAGGTACTATTAGTGTCACCACTATTTTACAGGGTAGAAAGCAGTAGCACAGAGTTCCGTGGCTGGCAAGCTTGGAACCAAGATGAGGACCAGTCACGTGAATTTTGCCACTTTTTAAAAAATTAGTCTAATAGACTTTGCTATACTTATGAGAAAATTTTTAGAAAAGAACAGTTTTCTTTCTTAGGTTTTCATACCCTTACTTCTAGACTTAGCTCCACCAGGCTTCCTGAGTCAACTGAGCTCTTGGAATTTGTGAAGTTTTCAGAAATGATGTCAATTTCTCCCATCAGTTACTACTAGAGTAAATTCTATCTTCACATTTCAAAACAGATTTCTTAGGTTCATCACTCATCTGGATATTTCCACATGGTTCCTGTTTTAATGTTATTTTCCAGCTGGTGAGCCTCCTTGCTCCCCATGACCTTCTTAGAAAAAGGTGTATGTGTAGGAACAGAAAAACAAACACCTCATGTTCTCACTCATAAGTGGGAGTTGAACAATGAGAACATATGGATATAGGGAGGGGCCTGTTGGGGGGTGGGGGGGCAAGGGGAGGGAGAGCATTAGGACAAATACCTAATGATGCGAAGCTTAAAACCTAGATGATGGGTTGATGGGAGCAGCAAACCACCATGGCACATGTATACCTATGTAACACACCTGCACATTCTGCACATGTATCCCAGAACTTAAAGTAAAATTTAAAAAAAAAAAAAAAGAAAGTAAAGAAAAAGTTGTATGTGATGGGGAGGTCTGGCAGGGAGTGTGTGAGAGGCAGGCTGAGGCTATTGTCATAATCGACTGTCATTGAAATCAAGTCCTCTAGCCAGAGCATTGCTTCAACAGCAAAAGTTTGGATCGATAAAATTTAAATTTGGCCAGCAAATTGAGATTCTACTTTGTGCTGAGCCTGGAGAAAGGAGGGCCTTGGAAGCAGCTGCTTACCAGCCGGCATTTGACAGAGCCCTGCTGAGCGCTGATTGGCATCTGCACTTTGTTTGTTAAGATGTAGACAGATGCCCTGCTTACTAATTTCACAGGAGGGGTTGGAAACTAGGTTGGCTGCTTCTCAGTGACTAAATGTCACTTATGCTTAGGAGCCTTTCTTTTATGACTTAGAATAGTTTCGCTGCCAAACTAGTTGCTGAAATTGGTCCTATTGCACTGTGAAATTTGTTCACAAACCAGTTAATATTCTCATAGGTCCCCTGCATGCTCTGGACAAATTCATAGAGGAACAGCCGTGTTCTAGAGACATGGGAATCAGGGAGGGACTCATAACCTCCCCTCCTTCCTATCCCTCAGTCACTATGCAAGAGAGGAAACCATGTCACCCTCCTCACGTGAGCCAGATGCTAATCTTGCTGACAGTGAGCTTTAGTACCAGTCAGGGGCGTGCAGGCAGTTAATTATACCCAGAGTTAATTGAGTGGTCAGATTAACAGACTGGTCTCATGAGCTCTAAAAGAGGATTCCAGAAATGTAGGTGTATAAGACCCTCAAAACGATGTCAAATGGGACATTGTGTTCTATTTGACCTTCTCTTTCAAATTGGGATGATGATTTTATTAATCAGGATTCCTTCCCTGCTGTCATTTGCTTCTAATTGACAGATGCTAATTAAAATAGCAAACGGGATCCTCACGGGCAGTTTCTTCTGAGTTTCTTCAGTGACCATTCTGTTCTTGGCTGATTTAGCATGGCTTTTTCCCCTCAATTAACAGACAAGTTAAACTTTATATTCCCTTAAATTTTTATTACTCATAATTAAGAAGTGAAAAAAATCATTTTGCATTTTACAACTTTAAAATGTAAAAGCAAATTGGGTCCTCAAATAATGTGGGACTAATTGCCTAATCGGAGGTGAGCCAGAATCAAGTGGCACGCCAGCACTGTCTCTGTGCCCTGAATCTGCTGTGTTCTTCAACTGGGTATCTTAGTCCCAGCCAATTTTCACAGTAGGGAAACATTTTAAGGGACTTAATTTTTAAATGTGCCTAACAGTAAAATATAAGATTCTAAACATAAAATCACTTCACAACAACAACAACAAAATTGGCTTTCACTCAAAAGCCTAGGTGGTGCATCATTGCTATTCCTGCATTCGGTAAACATGGAAGAACACACATTTTTCCAAGCTCTATAATCTTGAGCAGCCCAAGCTCAGAACATTGTACCCAGTAAGTGCTCAATGACTCTTATTCAAATGACTCAACTGTACCACCCCTCTGCATCCTGTACCCTTAACTTTATGTTTAGTGCTCTTACATCTGTTTTTAACATTCAGCAACACTAAATATGAGTAACTCGAACATCGAGGATGAAGTTGTAGAAACAGTAACGGTCTTTTTTAAAAATGTTGCTTTAGTCTAGTCCCATAAGAAAGAGTGAGTATTAAATGCTGATTACACCTTACCCCCAAAACAAGAAAGAGGAAATTAGCCATGAATGAAAAAATTTATATTAAAATGAAATATGTTCAGTAATTATCTTTAATAGTATTGATCTTTATAAACCCATTTTTTTTTTTTTTTGAGATGGAGTCTCACTCTGTTGCCCAGGCTGGAGTACAGTGGCGTGATCTCAGCTCACTGCAACCTCCGCCTCCCGGGTTCAAGCGATTCTCCTGCCTCAGCCTCACACGTAGCTGGGATTACAGGTGCGTATCACCATGTCCAGCTAATTTTTGTGTTTTAGTAGAGATGGGAGTCTCACTATGTTGGCCAGACTGGTCTCGAACTCCTGACCTCAAGTGATCCGCCTGCCTTGGCCTCCCAAAGTGCTGGGATTATAGGCATGAGCCCCCGTGCCTGGCTAAACCCAAATTTTTATTAAAATGCAAATATAAATTCTAGGTTAACCCATATTTTTTTTCTCTGAGCAGAAAATAGCAGATTTCAATGGGTTACATTTTGACTCTTAAATATAATAATGCCATTTTGCCTCAGAAGAGAGATTTTTAAAAATTACCTTTGTGGAACTACATATTTTGGAAGGAAAGGAAAGCAAGATGCTGAGGAGGAAAGTGGGATTTCTGATCTTTATTCTTCCCCGGGAAAGACCTTGTCACTAAATATCAACAATAATTTCCGCATTACATTAGGAAGAGTTGGAATAGCAGCACAGTCTCCTGCAGTCTCAATGCAAGGTTTTTCACAACTCATGTTCACTGAGAACTAACGGCTGTTTACACTCTTGGGTAACACAAATGCATTCATGAAAACCAGACGGCTACATAAATGTCTCAGGAGGCAGGAGAATGGGCTATTTTGAAAATTAGCCCTGACTCAAAACTGGCTGTAGAAAATCATTCTCTCCTCACCTAATTCATAGATGTGCCAGAAGGGCCCGACCCCCAGAGCCCCTCTGGGATCAGAGCAAGTTTCAATGAACATTTGTATAACAACTAGAAAAGGAAGCTGCAAATATTTATGAATAAACTGCAGCAAGTATTCTCTCCTGCTATGGAGTCTCACCATAAAATTAGGGAGCTTGATATTACAGGGTGACAACAACCCCTCCCAGTTTTCCCTGAACAGAAATGTTGCCCGGGAGCAAGATTTTCCATCGTAAAACTGACAGAATGGGGCAAATCAGGACACTTGATTGCCCTAACCTTGACAGTAAGGCCTGTCCATTTCTGATTACAAGTATTTTGAGCCTACTGAGTTAGCATTACTTAGTTACAAAGCTGCTCTTCTGCTGTAGAAAATGGGGATGTCCTGGGATCCTAAATTTTGGCATTGGGGCTAGGAGTGGGGAAAACTATTAGGAGTGGGAGACAGGGGAAAGTATTGGTCAGTATTTCAGGAGAAGAAAGAGGCCATGCTACGTTTAAAAAATTAAAATTAAAATATTTATTTAAATATAATTAGTCCATAAACTGCCCTAGTGCCCTGGCCATCCCCTCCCTCTCCCTCTCTTTCAACTCTTAGTGTCAGGCTACACTTTTTCCTGGAAGCCTGACTTCCAATTCAACTAAGTATCATACGCAAATGTTGGTGGAGGTACCTTACAGAGATGATCTTAAGGTTTCCCCATCCCTGGACTTCCCAGCATACACTCATCTGACATTGACTAGGGAACAGTTTAGCAGGAAGATGGATTCAAAGCTCTTGGGTTAAGAATTCTTCCCCTTACTTGTTCTTTATCAGGCAATGACCTAGCCCACTGTCATCTTGCACTTGCCTATCCGTCAAATGGGACAATAAAGATATCCTTGGGGTCAGGGTGCTAGTGAAAGCCAGGGTCCACCTTTACACTTTTTGATGCTCTGAGTAGGTACTGCATGCCACAGAAACATTAAAACTCAGAAACTAATATCCTATGCAGTCTTGGAGATTGAATTTGTTCCTATGAAGGTTCCCATTTCTCACCATGTGAGTTATGGTTGGGGAAGGACCTGAAACTGGGAGTGGACTGTGAAAGGCTGCACTGGAGAAGAGGACTTACAGTGTCAGTGAGTTGTGTTCTCTCTGTTCCTCTTTAGAGATAGGCTGGAGGCATGTATAGCTTGGCTTCCATAATGCAGATAAAAAAATATTTTTCCCTAAGTGTTTTCCTTGCCTTAGTGTCTTCTTGCTGTTTCTGCCTGGACTTGGAGAGATTACAACTATCGAATTGAGAATACCAGAAGCAACACAAGTTGTAACTTAGAGACACAGAGCTTACGTGGCTGCAAATACTTTGTAGTGTAAGCGCTGACATACCTCAGTTTTGGAGCCAAAGAGTCACTTTTGGTCACTTCTAGAGGTGTGATCTTAGGCAATTTGCTCAACCTCTCTATGCTTCGGTTTCCTCATCTGAAAGATGAAGATCATAAAAGTAACCATCCCACAGGGTTATCATGAGAATCAATAAAAGAATCTATGTGGAGTGCATTGCATAGGACCAGCTCCACAATGCTCTATATTTCATTATGTTCCCTTGCACTTACAAAAGATGACGGACTGTTCGTGATGGCACAGATACAGACTATCACATTCAGGACTTAGGTCCATGGCTCTCAACCCTAGAGAGCATTTATAAAACTACTAAGGCCTTAGCCTTACCTCAGACCAGTTAAATTACAATTACTGGAGAACAGGGCCTAGGCCTCAATATATTTCTTAAGCTCCACAGGTGATTCTCAAGAGCAACCAAGATTGAGAACTGCTGATGCATTGGACTCTGTTGGTTGTGTCTTTAGGACCTAATAGCAATCATCAGTTGTGTGCTTGGTCCGCAGGGGATTCTGCTAAGACTGTCAGGCCATACAGGGTGTGGGCCTAGTTCTGGGAGAATGGTTTTCAATTTGACTCACACCTGGGGCTGGTAAATCTTCAGTGGGTGCATCACAGAGTAGGGCAACAAGGCTCCCTGAGAGTTGAGAGAAGGGAGTGGGAGCAAATAGGAGGTAACCCCCCTATTCCTTAATTTTAAAAATGAAAAATCAGAGAGCTAAGAGTTTGGAGTTCTAAGGTAAAGTCCAAACTGGGGCACATACTCCCACTTGGGTAAAAAGAAGGAACCAACCTGCAAATCAGACCAAAACCGCAGATGCGCAGCTGGGAAACTAGACACGAACTCATCATATCCAACACTGAAAGATAGCTCAGATTTCTCTTGCATGGCCTTCAAAGCAGGAGATGGTTCTCGAGCCTCCTATGAACTAGAGCGCAATCTCTTAAGAATGATTATACAGGTCAGCTGTGGTGGTTCACACCTGTAATCCCAGAACTTTGGGAAGTTGATGCGGGAGGATCTTTTGAGCTCAGGAATTCGAGGCTGCAGTGAGCTAGGATCATGCCACTGCATTCCAGTCTGGGTGACAGAGGAAGACCCTGTCTCTAAAAAAAAAAAAAAAAAGAGAGAGAGAGAAAGAAAAAGAATTATCATATAGCTTTGGGGAGCTGGTTTAGCTTCTTTAGATTAATGACAGATATTTGGACTTGCACTAAGCTATCACCTGCATATTAAAGCAGTGGGATTTATTTGTCCTTCTCTGAGCTTCTGTTTCCCCAACTTTAAAATAGGAATAGTAATACCTACCCCTTACTTTCCTCAAAGGGAATTTGTGATGATAAACAGAAATAATGTTCCACATAAAACTCAGTTTGAGCTCCTACAAAGAAAAAGGCATGACTTAAATCAAGATAATATTATTGTCCTGGAGGAAGGTGCTGGAACAAGTTATTATTTTTATTCTTATCAAAGAACTGTCTTTCTGGGCAAAGCACAAAGTTTCCCCAGGAGAGATTTCTCTCAAGTATTATCCAGTAAATCCCAACATTCCATTTCTTCTAATGAGCCACACATTAAAACTTGCTGCCAAGGTCTATAAGGCACCCCACAGTAGTAAGATGGTCAAAAAAAAAGTTTATGTTAACCCCAAAATGAGTTCCAATCTACCCCCTAACATGTTCAATAATGGTTCCAGTGCCGTGACCCACTTTGGATGCCTTGCTGTGGTGAGCTGTGTATGCATTTCACACATCTGTGCTTGCTATTGTTCTCCAGGCCACTGACACTCTTCTACAAGGCTAGTTTAACAACCCTATGGGGTTTTTTATTATTGGAAATAACATTGAGTCTATAGCCTCCCCAGCTGAATCTTAAATACTTCTTTCTTTTCCATAATGGACTGTCCCAGTATTATTAAACTGTAACCCTTTTTTTGGGAATACCTTTCACATCTCTTCAAAATTTGCTTTTTTTTCTACTTAAGCTCACTATTTCTTTTAAACTAACTGTTCTTTCCATAGACTCTTATTAGCATTTCAAACCTGATAATATATTACAGCTTTGAGGCACATCAGGTCTTTTGTGTAGCCTGTCTCCCAAAATGTTCCCAAGAATTAAAACAAGGGAACAAACAATGCACTCTAATTTGTTGAAAATTCTGCTCTGCAAAATTTAGGTATGCAATATGACTAAAACCTGAATGGGAAGGAGAGGCAGAAGTTCAGAGGAAAGTATAAAATGTGAATATTTTTGAAGAAATGAGAAGTCAGGGAGGTGAAAGATGGCAGGAAAAGAAATGTTTGTATACATAGGGACAAAGCAATGATTACTCAATGGACACAATGCTAATTTTGGTGGGATGATTAAAACAAATATAAGATCGTCACAATCTTGTGTGTGTGTCCACTTTGGGGGAGTCTCCAGTCAGCAGATGACAATCTGCTGATGGATCTTTCTAAATTGTTAATAACCATAACCCTTTTTTTCTTTTTTTTGAGACAGAGTTTCACTTTTATTGCCCAGGCTGGAATGCAGTGGTACTATCTCAGCTCACCGCAACATCCACCTCCCAGGTTCAAGCGATTCTCCTGCCTCAGGCTCCCAAGTAGCTGGGATTACAGGCAGCCACAACCACGCCCAGCTAATTTTGTATTTTTAGTAGAGACAGGGTTTCTCCATGTTGGTCAGGCTAGTCTCAAACTCCTGACCTCAGGTGATCTGCCTGCCTCAGCCTCCCAAGGTGCAGGGATTACAGGTGTGAGCCACCATGCCTGGCTACCATAAGCCTTTTTGCTCTCCTGTATGCTTCACAGTTTCCCAGGAGGAGGGCAGTGGAAATGATAACTAACTGATCTCCACTAGAACATATGCTCTTCAAGGAAAGTAGAACAGAAATTGGTTGTTCAACATCCTTTCATCCCATGGTAATGGTATCCTAATTTTCTTCTGAAGAACAACTTCCTCCTGTAGGGCCCATAGAGTTTGGATGGAGCTAGAAAAAAATAAATCAAAGCATTTCATCCCCCAGTATGGGAATGTGACCCGGTGTTTGCTGATAAGGTACCATGAAATTCTGCGCCTTCCCTGTGGGATGTGCTGGATCAATGAAGACATCTTGCAACACACAATCCTTCCTTTAAAATAGAGTGGACATGTTAGAAGACAGAGCTAAGAGACGGAAAAGACAAGTTGAGACCTGGTGACATTGTTTGAACTCTGGTCAAGCAATGGCCTGAATTTTTACGTTATGTGAACCACTTAACTGAGTTTTTGCTCAAGCCAGTTTATGTTGGTTTTTGACCACTTGTGACCAAATATCCTACCTAACATAGGTGGCATCTGCGTTTTACTCATTCTATTTCCCCAGAGCCAAGCTTGGTAACTGGCACATAGTAGGCACTTAATAAATACATATGAAACTGTGTTGATTTTTAAAATATCCCTGTCAGCAACAACACTGCTTTTTTTAATTTTTTTAATTTTTCCTTTCTCATCTCCACTCAACATTTCATTTGGTAGAATATACAGCCTCCTCAACCCGGAGAGAAGCAGCAGCAATATTAAGACATTGAGGGAAATAAAAAAAATATTTCCTCACATAAAATGGAGGGCTTTCAACGACTGCATACCAAAGACACTACCCTGAACAATAGAAAAATAGTGATCTGATGTCTTCACTCTCTTCTTGAATTTTCCTGCTCAATCATTAAGTGAGCGCACTGGCTTTCAACATCAGTAAAAACATTCCCCTTTCAATCATGCTTTGATAGTCTACCACCATATCCCAAAATGAATTTCCATTCACATCAGAAGTTGTACCTCTGCCATTGAATACTGAGGTTATTGACATTTGGATTTTTGTCTTGGATTCCTTTACTAGCAAATTGCCAAGCAAACAAAAAGGACATTTTTTACAATAGGACATTTGTGACTAGGAGTTGGAAATTAATTGAGAATCAGAAGCCTTCGCTCTTGGCTTTGCCAGTGACTTTCAGCAGAACTTGGAAAAGCCATCATTTCACTTGGTTTTACTTTCCCCAGCCTTTGAAAAGTGGAGCTAGAAATAGCTCAGAATAGGACAGTCACGCCGATTTGGCAATGAGAGGCCACTGCATAAAGACTTAAATATTAGGACCTTCAATCTGTAAATGTGGTAGTGGATAAGTTGAAAACTGATATGTGCCTTAAATTCTAGGGTACTAGGAGACACAGACTGAATTTGCAAGGGGCATATTTAGGTACAGCAAAAGACAGTTATACTTTATATAGCAAGAGTAAAGTTAATTTCAAAAAATCTATGTATAAGAGATTCATAAATGATTAAGAGGAGCTGTGGTGATTTGTGGTGTATTCCACAGAGACAGAGAATGCTGGACTTGATTAATCTGGGTCTAACCTATAAAAAATCTCATATTTATATGCTTTATCTGACTATAAAATAAATTCCAAAGTTCTCATAAGGGTTTTGTTGTTGAGGATCTATGAATGCTCAGCATAAGGAAGACATAAATAGAAATGTTTTCATTTCTATGCACAGGTGACTATAAATACAGGCTCCTGGAAGTTGTGCCCTCATCCCTGACCAATTTTCCTGTCCAGTTTGGTTCACAGCAGTATTAAAGCACAGGCCATGGAGTCAGGCACCCTGAAACTTAATCCCTAGTCTTCTAATGACCGGGTGTATAATCTTAATCACATCATTTTACCTCCTGAGCCACAGAATCTTCATGTGTGAAATGAAGTTTGGATTTGACTTTAGGTACTCTCTTCCATCTCTAAAACTATATCTAGCAAGAAAACCCTGTAAGACAGGCAGCAGATTTCCTTTTTATTAAAGAGTTGGAGTACAAGATAATTCTTTTTTTCGAGACAGAGTCTCGCTTTTGTTGCCCAGGCTGGAGTGCAGTGGTGCGATCTCTGCTCACTGCAACCTCTGTCTCCTGGGTTCAAGCAATTCTCCTGCCTCAGCCTCCTCAGTAGCTAGGATTAAAGACGTGCACCACTATTCCCAGCTAATTTTTATATTTTTAGTAGAGACGAGGTTTCACCATGTTGGCCAGGCTGGTCTCAAACTCCTGACCTCGTGATCCGCCCGCCTCAGCCTCCCAAAGTGTTGGGATTACAGGCATGAGCCACCATGGCCGGCCTGAGAATTCTTAGACATCTTTAAATACAAGGTGATTTGTGCCTGGTCAAGAACAATACACAAATGGTTATTGTGCATGGACTAAATGGAAAACTAAGAAAGCACAAATGCTCTGCCATGCAGGCTTCTTCCTAGTTATTCTTTTACTCTCAGAGAAGCTGAGTGCTGCAAAGATCAGGAAAATGAGGGTGACTGACAGTGCTGCAGGCTATGACAAGCAATCTTTCATTGCATGACTAGATAACAATGGAAATAAGACATCGTCTTTTTTATCAAATACAATATTTGCCATCTCTTGTTAAGGAACATGATGCAATTAAACCACCAATCTTACCCTCTGTGTTCCTCTCTCACTCACAACTTACTCAAACAAAATTTTGGCTGATACTTTAGAGTCTCTTAGGCAACACTCAACGTTGGAAATGTTTTCCTTATTCTGTCCTGTGTCCAACTTTCAATTAAAAAAAATGAAGGAGAAAAGGGTTTTCCTTGATTGCAAATTCTTAAGGGAGGTTTTAAATTTTTTGCAGACAAATTGCTTTAGGTACATCGACTTCATAATTTGTGTGTGGCTAATTGGATTGCCTGATTAAGGACATGGCCATTGTTCCAAGATAGCAATTGCTGGACAGGGTTGCTCTGGTGGCTGAAAAGCCCTCTAGCGTATAATTCTACACCTCTGATTTGATGCGATTTGTAGTGTCTAAAGCCAAAGGAAAACTATGAGACTTCTGAAAGCGCCTGCACCAATGAGTAACCTACAGTCTTCCCACAGTCTCAGGGATTCTCCGACTTCTGCAGAGCCTAGATCCTGAAGCTTACACATGACTTAAGACAAGAAGAGCGGCCCCAGCTGCATGGATGGCATATTGCCTCAACATCGCTACCCCATTAGCATTGGGCTGCAAATAAGCTATCCATCTAACCACTAGGGGTCCCAATCTTTATACCCTTGCCTATCTTTATTAGAACATCCTTTTATTAAAGGTAGAAATGCAGAATATATTAAACCAACAGGTCTAAAGGTCTATTTCACATAAACCTTTACCACTAGTGCTTTGATGGTATGAAATGCCACATGATCCTATATCTGGTTTAAGTCTGCAATATAACATGGAGATGAGAGGGTAGCATGTACTTACATATGAGTTCAGTGCATCTGATTTTGAACTATCCCATTTTTACCCTGATTTCTGGGGTTTCCAAATAAAAGTCAAGGGAATACAAAATATTACTTAAAGCAAAGCTAAAATTGCATGTTTTAAATTTTTATGTCAAGAAATGCAAAATTAATACTCTCCTGCGATATTGCTCATTAATACTGTACTTAGACTAAGCTATAGTTTTAATGGCCTAATTCAAAAGAACGGAAAATTTTATTTTACTTTAATTTAAATCATTTAGATGTATGAGCTCTTTTATTTCCACTGGCACTTTTTCACAGTGAGCGTAATAGGGATGAAGTTGATCTCAAACTCTCTCATAGAACATAAACTCTTGATGGACTGAAACGAAGCTGAGCCTCTGAATGCTTAGGACATAATGAGCTGGATGGATTGGGAGAGCAGGTCGTTGAAACTACACAGATTGGGACACCCAGGGGGGATGTCCACATGATCGGGTCAGAGAAAAAGCACAAGGCAGCTCAGAGGTATTACTTCTCAGTATGGCATCCCCATTTGAAACAGCTGCAAAACAAGCCACAGCTTGGGAATGTGGCAAGGTTTCAGCAGCGTGGAGGTGGTAAGAACATCCAGAAGTGCCATTAAGCCTCGTGAAGGAATAGACAGAGGAATTCATGAAACAAAGCCTGGCCAGCAGCAGGCCCAGCTAATAATCAAAAGACAGTCTATATTCCCCTCAGCATAGTGGGGCTATGGCTTAGGGAGTCTGGGCTCTTCTCCCAGCCTGGCCACCAACTGTCCTCAGTTTTCTCATCTACAATATGTATGTAGGTCCTGGGCTGGAAGAACTCTAAAGTCTCTGCCCACTCTAGTGTTCTGTTCTTTGATAAAATAGCTCCAGGAAAATTGAGTTTTAAGCACTGTTATAGGAAAGCATAAGAAAGAGTCACTCGTTTATTAAATATCTTCTGTATAAATAGTTATATGCTAGTAACAGCACTATTCACAGTATTTTTATCACAGTGGATATATGGCATAAAAGTAAGCACTAAGGTTATCTCCCCAAACAGCATGATCACTGTTCTTAATATTTCTTATGAATACTATTGTCTTCTGTACTACATATTTCAGCCCAAATAAAACAGGATTGAAGAAATACAATTACACAGAATTTTAAGGCAATGCAGAAGGAAGGTGTCAATGTCAGTCAGTGACTTCCTAAGAGATTCCTTTGTTTCTTCATTGTACTTATTGCAGATCTGCCAAATTGAGCCAGGGTCTAAGAGTAGAAGAAGAGATATTTTCATTTTTCTGTAACAATTTTTTCTTTCCAGCATATAGCCATTATTAGAGCATCCTACTCATTTTTAGAAGGTAAACTGATCTCAACAGTAAACCCACAATGAGAAGCAGGAAAACTGAGACCACATGGACTGCAGGAATGGGGTAAAATACAGGGCTGACCCATAAGAAGTGTCCCCAACAACACAAAAACATTTCATAAAGGAAGGTGGAGGGTTCTGATGCAGGATGTGGTTAATAGTTAAGAGCAAGACCACAATGACTAGATGGCCTAGGTTCATATCTCACCCTCCTACTACTAGCTGTGTGACCTTAGGTAAGTTATGTAAACTCTGTGTCTTGGTTCCAGACTCATATATCCAGCTGCCTACTCAGCAATTCCACCTACATGTCAAAGTTAACATGCCCCAAATTAAACTCTTTATTTCCAATTCCTCCCAACCCCTACCTAAATTTGGTCTTCACCCAGTCTCCCACAACTCAGTAAAAGGAAATTTCCTTCCACCAAAAGCCTCTTGGAGTCATTCTTGATGCATCTTTCTTTTTTTTTTTTTTTTTGAGATGGAGTCTCGCTCTGTCACCCAGGCTGGAGTGCAGTGGCGAGATCTCGGCTCACTGCAACCTGCACCTCCTGGGTTCAAGTGATTCTCCTCTCTCAGCCTCCTGAGTAGCTGGGATTACAGGTGCACACCGCCATGCCTGGCTAATTTTTCGTATTTTAGTAGAAACGGGGTTTCACCATGTTGCCCAGGCTGCTCAGACTCCTGACCTCAGGCAATCCGACTGCCTTGGCCTCCCAAAGTGCTAGGATTACAGGCATGAGCCACATCCCACATCCATGATGCCAGCTAAATCCTATTGGATCAGCCTTACAAATACATCTCCCATCTGACCACTTCCAAACACTCCTATGTCCACCACCCTAGTCCCCACCCTCTCTTACCTGGACTATTACAGTAACCTCCCATATGGTCCCTCCTTTCCTACCCTTGTCCCCTAACAGTCCCTACTCCTCAGAACATCTAGCGTGTTCTTTCTAATCCTAAGGCTCCTACTCCAACAGCCCCATTGACTTTCTTTTTTTCTTCCCAATGACTTATCATCTCACTCAGAGTCAAACCCCAAATCCTCACCGTGACCTACAAGACCCTACCAGATGACCCCTCCTACTTCTGTAACCTCAACTCCTCCCTTTATCCCTTGGACTCGTTCTACTCCAGCCACACTGCCATCTTGCTATTCCTGGAACAAACCAAGGAAGCCCTTCCCTCTGCCTTGAACCCTCTTTAAATATTTACAATCCTAACTCACTTCCTTCAAAGTTCTGCTCAGATGTCACCTTATTAGAGAGGGAGGGTTCCCCAACTCTCCTAAATAAGACATCACCTGTTCCCCCAGCAGGCTCCATCTCCTCTCTTTGTACTTCCTGGCACTCCATATGATATATACATGTTTATTTGTTAACTGTCTATATCCCATTACTATATGGTAATCTCCATGAGAGTAGGAACTTTATATGGTTTGTTCACTGCTGTCTCCCCAATGCCTCAAACAGTAGGTGTTCAACAAATATTTGTCAAATGATTAAATAAATTAATATAAAATATTAGGGTAATTATAATTATTAAAATATGAAATAATTGGGATAGTAATAGAGCCTACCACATAAGGTTGTATGGACTTTAAGATAATAGATGTAAAATGCTTAGAACAGAAGCTCATTAAACATTAACTACTAATGTTAATATCAAATTTGCTTTGCTATCCAAGATGTTCATCTAGTGGTAGGGGCAAATTTTAGGATAGTGGAAAAATCAAAAGCACTTGGACTACAGCACATTAGCTCAAGAAGGATCCATCAAAGATAAAGCAGGACCCAGTAGGTGGCATGGAGGATACTGGAATTAAATTCACAATGTGAGAGAAAGAGGCCTCATAAGATTATGTTGATGGGTGGAGCCCCAGCAAAGCTGACTAGGGTTCAAGACTGAGCTTCAGTACTGCTGAAATTAAAGAATGAGATGAAACCAGATGTGGTGTCTCATGCTTATAATCCCAGCACCTTAAGAGGGCAAGGCAGGCAGATTGCCTGAGCTCAGGAGTTCAAGACCAACCCGGACAACATGATGAAACCCGGTCTCTACAAAAAATACAAACATTAGCCTGGTGTGGTGGCGCATGCCTGTAATCCCAACTACTTGGGAGGCTGAGGCAGGAGGATCGCTTGAGCCTGGGGAGTCGGGGCTGCAGTGAACAATGACACCACTGCATTCCAGCCTGGGCGACAGAACGAGACCCTGTCTCCAAAAAAAAAAAAAAAAAGAGAGAGAGAGAGATGAGACCAAAAAATGATTCTTATTTGCTCCGGAGAGCACTCCGGTATTTCCTCCTTAGCTTCAGGCTCCCTCCCAAACTCTGGGGCAGAAAGGCAAGAGTTGCATGGACAGATTCTCTGCAAGGTGCTGAGCAAGGTAGCAGACATGCCAGGTCTTGAGTGCATTGTGTCTAGAGGTAGAGCACAGAGGAGGAAAAGGTGAGCAGAAGGCAAGATGGTGTACAGGGAGTGTGCCAACCAGAGAGAGCTCTGGGGAGAAGAATAAGAGGCTCTTCTCATTAGCTCAGGGACTTGAGGGGGCTGGTAATCTATAGCAGGGGTCCCCAACCCCTGGCCCATGGACCAGTACTGGTCAGTGGCCTGTTGGAACTGGACGGCACAGCAGGAGGTGATCAGCATTACCTCCTAAGCTCCACCTCCTTTCCGATTGGCCAGCGGCATTAGATTCTCATAGTAGTGCGAACCTTATTGTGAACTGAGCATGTGAGGGATCTAGGCTGAGCATTCCTCATCAGAATCTAATGCCTGATGATCTGAGGTGGAACAGTTTCATCCCAAGCCAGCCCCTTCCACCTCCCCCAACCCAATGGCTGTGGAAAACCTGTCTTCCAGGAAACCGGTCCCTGACACCAAAAAGGTTGGGAACTGCTAATCTACAGCATATGTATAAAGACAATGTTAAGCAGGCAAGAGCTGGACATCACAAGTTCTCTGTATATGAATATGTGTGTGTCTAAATCTACTACACCTCCTACATCTGTAGATATTCTCTCTCTCTTTCTCTCTCTGTCTGTCTCTGCCTCTCTCTCTCTCTCTTTCTCTCTCTCTCTCTCTCTCACACACACACACACACACACACAGGAGAGATCACATTTATGGAAGATCACATGGGACCTCCAATGAGGCAGTGGCTGAAGGGATATCCTGATATTAAACTTTTTATAAAAGAAAGTGTTTTAAGGTATATAGAAATATGTTTGAGTGGAGTGGAGTCGAATGGAGAAAAGGAAAACAGATGAGTTTAGTTGTTAGTAGCTGCTGCTTCTAATGGGGATTAGAGACACACCAAATGGGATAGCCCAGGAGTAAGGACACTCTGTCCCACGAAGTTTCCAAGTCCCAACTTAAGAGCTGCGGGGCCTGGTTTGAATCCTGATTCTACCACTTACAAATACTTTGACCTTGGTAAAGTAATGTGAACTCTGAAAAATGAGGCTGGTGGCACCTATCTCATTAGGTTGTTGGGCTAATTCAATAGAAGTAAGTATGTCAGGTGCCTTTTACCGTTCCTAACACATAGTGCGTGCTCAATCAGATTGCACTAAATTTTATGGAGAACTTATCCCAGGGGAATATCTAATGTAGGGCTTTTTCCAAAGAAAGTAATTCTCAGGCTATCTATGAAAAGACAAGTTACTCAAAGCAAGTAGATTTATGTCAAGGGAACAGGCCACCTGGAGAGACAGACATTCAGATGCCAGTTATGTTTCCAAAATAGCCTTTCTTCTGCAAACTCATTTGCATAAGGCTCTCTCTTCTTGAGAGTCTACCTTTTAAACCAGAGATTATGTTCCTGTTCTTGCTAACTGAAACTTGCATTCTCCTTTCTTTTTAAAAATTCTTTGTACTGGCTGGGCATGATGGCTCACACTTATAATCCCAGCACTTTGGGAAGCAGAGGCAGGAGGATCACTTGAAGCCAGTTCAGGACCAGTCTGGACAACACACTGAGACTTTGTCAATTTAAAAAAAAAAAGAAAAAAAAGTCCTTTGTACCTTTTCTGTTCTTGAGAATGGGAAGTAGAGCTATTTTATATGAAAAAAAAGTGTAGCCCTTAATTATGAGTTATAAACCCACAGAAATGCAACATATTTTATAATAATAATGAGATAGCTTATGTTCTATTTTCTCCCTTGTGAGTATATGCAAACCTTCTTCTTACTTTTGAATTTTTAATTTTCTTTTTTTCCATGTTAAGCAGGGATTCCCCTGAGTTTCTGTTCTTCTGATGTGTGTGTAAAATTTAGAAAGTGATTAGAAAATCTTTTTTACTATGAAAAGCAATCAGAGCTAATACGCATAAAGACTAATTACTGTGAAGGTGGATGATATGTTTTGGTATCTAATCATATTTTATTTGTTAAGGATGATGCATTCTAAGTGGCTCCATCTTCCCTTCACTTGAGTAGAAAATGAAAGAAATAATCACTAGATGGGAATACCCAGTGAAGCTTCATCCCTGAAGTCTTGTGACCATTCAAACCCAGATTTCCAGGTGGTTTTGCTCTCAAGGTTCTTGGTTAAGCATTCAGGACTGCACAAGCCCCTTTGAGCCTGTGTTCCAGAAGTATGGTAGAAGATTCATGTAATGTTAAGCAAGCTCATTTATCTTCTTTTCCCTTTTTACACATCAGTGTGAGGTTCATATGCAGAAACGGCTCATGAGTCTTAGAAAATCAATAATCTAAATTACATTATATACATAAAGTGCAGCTCTTTCCAAAGCAGTTTCAAATATACTCCTTCATTTTCTCACCTCCTTGCTCCCACCCCTGCTACTCCACTAAAGCTTCCCTCACTGAGGTCACCAATGACTGTCACTCAATTCAATGAGCACTTTTCAGTTTTCATCTTGGTTAACATCTCAATAACATTTCATTCCCATAACCATCTGCTTCTCCAAATATACTCTCTTCTTGGTTTTTAGGGGACTGCAGCCCACTGCTTTTCTCCAATTTCAATGGCTTTTACTTTGAAGTCGTTTGTCAGGTTTCACTTTGTTTTCTTTTATTTCATTTTGATTGTTATCAAAGTTATGTCATGCAGAGCTTTAACAAATAGTTCTACAAAGCTTATAATGAAAAAAAATCACAGCCTCTGATTCCACCCTTGATTTCCTCTTCCCACTCTTTAAGGTGTTTGCTCTGGTATTTATCTCCATATTTCTAAATAGCATGCTATTTCTGGGTTTTTTCATTTTTGATATATCTTTTGATTTCCAACTTAGGAAGATAAGTATTTAAATCTGTTATATTTTCTGTTCCTGCAAAACAGACTTTCTCTTCATCTCTCTGTCTTCTCTCTTTCCTTTTTCCCTCATCCTCTCCATAAATTATAGCAGAAATTTTGGCTGAATCAATCATTTGTACTTGCTTTATTCACATCTATTTTGTATAGTATACTAAGATTACAATTTTTTCTTGTAAAATTTTTTGTTTTCCCTGATATTAGTAATTTTTGTACTTTCCCCCTCTATGTTTAGTAAGTTTACTAGTTGTTGTCACAAAGACACCTCCAAATCTCATTGGCTTAACACAGTAAATGTTTACTTCTTACACATAGGAGATCCAATACAGATGTTTTCACTTGGTGGGAGACCCTTTATGGGGTGATTCGGGCCCCAAGAACCTCCCACCTTGATGCTTCTCTACCCCCAGGGCCTTGGAGTCCCCTGTTGGATCCTCAATATCTGCAGAGAGGCCAGGGTGATGTTTTAATGAGATAGGTTGGAAGTGGTGTGTGTACCTTCCATTCATAGACCCCTGGTCAGAATTCAAGGCATGCGGCACAACCTAGCTGCAAGGAAGATTAGAAATAGCATCTATGTTAGTGGATAGAAAAATTTGGGGCCGGGCGCGGTGGCTCATGCCTGTAATCCCAGCACTTTGGGAGGCCGAGGCAGGCGGATCACGAGGTCAGGAGATCGAGACCATCCTGGCTAACATGGTGAAACCCCGTCTCTACTAAAAATACAAAAAATTAGCCAGGTGTGGTGGCGGGTGCCTGTAGTCCCAGCTACTCGGGAGGCTGAGGCAGGAGAATGGCGTGAACCCGGGAGGCGGAGCTTGCAGTGAGCCGAGATCACACCACTGCACTCCAGCCTGGGGGACAGAGCAAGACTCCGTCTCAAAAAAAAAAAGAAAAGAAAAGAAAAGAAAAACTTGGATAAACATAGTGCTGTCTCTGTCATTCCAGTCAGCATATATGTGTTTTACTCTTCCTCCCACAGGCCTACCATAATCAGTTCTTCCACTAGGGCTATAACCCCAAGCCCCAGAGTTACTGCTTCTCCATCAAAATTGAGATCCACAGGTAATACACAGTCCTCTCTCTAAGGTTTAGATACAACTCTTCAAGCCCAAGAACCTACAAACTAAACAGACAAGTAATTTGCTGTCCCCGCTCCCCCAAAGCATATGCACACACTCAATAGGCAACGGGAGAGCAGGAAAACTGAAGAACAGAAGCAGTCATGGTCACATAGCAATGATGGAATCCTGTGAGCAGGATTTCAACTCCTGGGTATTGGCAAATTCCTTGCTTAGACTCAGATTCAGTTCTGGGAAAGAAGTTTCCTATCCACTGTCTTCCATGGCTCCTGAATCTTCCCTCTGGGAAATTTTTCCTTGTATGTTATTTTCCATTGAAGTGGGTTTTGAGGTGCCTGCCTTCCCCGAGAACTGGGTGGATTCTAACAGTACACTTTCTGCTAGGGGTTTGCTTCAAGACTTACAGAGCAGTCAAAAGGCTTTTGAGGTTAAGTTTATGGTGTCTTTGACAATACACTTCCCTCAAAATATTCATTAGACTTCCCAGGCTGGGCATGGTGGCTCATGCCTGTAATCCCAGCACGTTGGGAGGCTGAGGTGGGCAGATCACCTGAGGTCAGGAGTTCAAGACCAGCCTGTCCAATATGGCAAAACCCCATCTCTACTAAAAATACAAAAATTAACCAGGCATGGTGGTGGCGCCTATAATCCCAGCTACTCGGGAGGCTGAGGGAGGAGAATCGCTTGAACTTGGGGGGCGGAGGTTGCAGTGAGCCAGGATTGCACCACTTCACTCCAGCCTGGGCAAAACAGCAAAACTCTGTCTCAAAAAAAAAAAAAAAATCATTAGACTATTGGTCTATTTGCTGCCAGTCATTTCATAGTCTAATAGTCTACCGAACTTTTTTCCTAGATGCAGTTCTCAATCTTGACTTCTTTATTTCCTCACCTCCATTTCTCTCTCTCAACTCATAGTAGCTATGTGGAAGTCATCTGACACCAAAGCTTACGTGAGAAGGTAACATCTTTAATGGGGCCTGTGCTAGAGGCCTGAATCATTTTTTTTATTAACTGAGAACTTGTAAAATCTATAAATACTTAATACTCCAAGTCTCCACCAGATGTGTAAGTCCCCTTTCTTTATGTGTAAGCATATCAAGGAACTTCTCCTTTTCATTTTTCCTTAATGAGATCACTCCTGGAGCCAAGTTCTCCTGCTTCACTTGGAACTAGCTGCTCTCTAGTACTCAGATGAAGCACTGAAGTCTGTCCTCATAGTCACTCTGAAAATCTCCTTTCCTTGCCCTTGTTTTAAAGCCCCATTTACTGGATCCCACTGTCAGGATCTGGCATCTGATTTTACTCTGCTTACAAGATAAGGTTGCCTGTTTTGGGTTCATGGATGTTAGAAGAAGACTAGAGATTCCTGGGTCAGAAACAAAGGACTTTATTAATCACAGCATAGCAAGCAGCATGAGTGTCAGTTTCCTTTGCCCCCCCGCCCTCCCCAACCCAAGTCTTCTGGGGACAACAAGAAGAGGCTCGGGTGAATGCTGTGCACATATAGGTTGTTGTACAACAGAGAAATACTGGCTTGGGAACCTGCTGTTTTATAGCAAGCAGTAAGCAAGCCTGCTCTTTGTTCCAGAGGTACACATTGCCTCATCCTTGAAGGTTGCTTGCTGCAGACATAACCTTGAAAAGTGGTCCTGATAAAGATTGGTCAGGGCCTTGCATTCTTGGCATACTCAAAAAGAATGTACGTGGACACTCTAGGCCTTGGAAGATTGCTTTTCTCAAAACCTGTATGTGGTGCTCCAGGTTTATACACTCGCAGATTTACCCAGTCATAGTTGTCTGCTCAACAATACCAATTGCCCAACAGGAAGATTATTAGGAAGGCAAGGACCAAATCTGTTTTCTCACCATCGAATCCCCAGTGCCTATCACGGTGCATGGTATGTGGTAGGTAATCAACTCATAATTCCAATAAATTAAGAGACGTAAGTGATTTACTCTATGGATGATATTACATTCTAGAAGCTCGGATAAGCCACAGATACATCACACACACACGTGCACACACGTGTGCACGCACACTCACACACACACACAAAGTGTCCTTAGGAAAACACAAAAATGGAATTTTTCTTAATAAGAGTATCCATTTCTTTATACTGAACATTTGTTGTTTTCCCTTTTCTCTCCTCCTCCAGTCTCTCACATTCCATCCACAATCTCCAGAGCCCCTCATTTGACAAACTCTGTGACTTAGAGAAAATAATCTTGGAATCCACACTTGCCTGACCCTGCCTTTTCAACAACACCATTTTGTCTGTCATTACATTTTTCTTAAGATACTATTAAATAAAGGTCTAATTATTTAGTATCTAGACTAGTCCTTATGATTGCTCTAGTACAGTGGGGTTTTTTGTTTTGTTTTGTTTTGTTTTTTTGTTTTTGGATGGAGTCTCGCACTGTTGTCCCGGCTGGAGTGCAGTGGCACAATCTCGGCTCACTGCAACTTCAGCCTCCCAGGTTGAAGTGATTCTCCTGCCTCAGCCTCCTGAGTAGCTAGGATTACAGGTGCCCGCCACCACGCCTGGCTAATTTTTCGTATTTTCACTATAGATGGGGTTTCACTATGTTGGCCAGGCTGGTCTTGAACGCCTGACCTCGTGATCCACCCGCCTCAGCCTCTCAAAGTGCTGGGATTACAGGCATGAGCCACTACGCCCGGCCAGTACAGTGGTTCTTAACCAGCGATCCTTTTGCCCCTGAGGGGATGTTGAGCAATACCTGAAGACATTTTTCATTGCCATTTTTTAGGTAGGAGGTGCTACTGGTCACTAGTAGATAGAAGCCAGAGATTCTGCCAACATCAGAATGGCACCCCACAACAAAGAAGTATCCAGTCCAAAGTGACAATAGTGCCAGGGCTGAGAAACCTTGCTGTAGTGTGGATGGATGGAACTGCCGCATATGGGTAACACTACAGCTCAGTTGTTGGGTGAGCTGCACAGGAATTCATTATTCTCCCAATGTTTATGTCTCCTTTAGTGTTTCAGAAACCTAAATTTCTCTTTCCCCTAAAGGTAAAGTCATTGTTTATTCTACCACAACTATCTTTTTCTTCTTTTTTTTTTTTTTTTTTTTTTTTTTTTTTGGTATAGCACCTATGTCTTCAGGAAGCAAATAATCTTTAGAAAAGAGTGTTAAGTTAAATAACATGGATTAAAGATTCACTTCTGTCCCAAATTTATCTGTGCCCTTCTTAACCTACACATACCTCCCTGTGTGGTCTAATTTATTTCTTGCTGCTCTTTGGGTAACAAGGACACAATAAGCACTCCATATGATCATATCTTACCTTAAACTGTAAAATTTAGTTTAAGATTATTTCAAAAGAGGCCTGTACCACCTATTTGACCCTTTATTCAAATATCGGCCCCACTTAAACCTGAAGTCTCTGAAAGTTTAGGAGAGCTAACCACAGTAACTTCACTGAATGCCTCTGTACTTGCATTTAGGCTGAGTCGGGAAACAGTGCAAACCATAATCATTCACCACAAGATAAGTTCTGTTTGCACAGCAATCTAGCCTCACCTAAATCAGGATAGACAGGTAAACCAACACAGGAAAGTTTGGCATGTAGACTTAATTTCCAGACCTAAGAGATTAGAGATGCGTTTGGAAAGACATATAAGCACAGACCTACAAATGGATACAGATTGCTTTTAACTCATCTCACATACAGAATTCCTTTGCCTCATCTGCTTATTTGTCCTCCTGACATCCCAAAGACCATGGCTTGCATTATCTTTTCAAAAGCATTACAACCCAGAAATTTTCCACTTATCGATAATATTGGAAATTAAATTGCTGCATGGCAGGCTCTAACCCAGTACAGTCTGGATCTCTCCTGGCTTCTTAGTTATTTCTAGGTAACTTAAGTGTCCTTCCCTTTTCTCCACTGCATTTCTGTTGTCCTTAAACATTGTCCTGGCACTCATTCCCAACAAACCCTTTCCCTCCCCTCCAGTTGCCAACTCTTTTCTCCTGCTACCACTCTGATTTCTGGCTCCAAAGTGATCCACTCAGCAATGATCCAGACTCATAATTCAACGGTGTGACTCCACATCCAGGGGCAATGAGCTGTTTTTCCATGAAAGGATAGTTAGTGCTGGAGCCTGTGCCTTCTATTACAGGAAATTACATCAAGCATTAATTTAACTTACAAAATCTCCAACTTTTTTAAGGCGGGAGGGAAAAGGGAGGTGTAAGAGAAAAAGAATCCACAAATATATTTTTTGTTGAAACATACCAGAAATGGAGCTTGAAGTGCCAGCAGAATGTTCCAAACACCATTTTTTAAATGATTTTCCATGAATGTAAAGAGTGAATCCAGCATATAGTTTATGACTGGAATTGGAGTTTGTCTGATACGATAGTTAAGCTACAATAGCTTCCCATAATGCAAGTGACTGAAGCCTAAATGAATGGAATGGGAAACTGATGGCAAGTTGAGGGAATGGGCTTTTCTAGGCAGCAAGACATTTCTCAAAGCTCTAAGACAGATAGGAAGTGAAGATGGATGGAAGATTAGATTGGAAAATAAAACAGGTACCTCCTTTAAGGAAAGAGGAGCTATTTTTAACACATTCATCTTCTAAGGAAAGAGGTGAAGGATAGCAAAAATTGAACATTTTAGTTCAAAGCTCAGTAACAGCTTGTTCTCATTTGGCTTAATTTAGTTCAACAGATAAAGTACTATGTCCAAATCTCATCCAAAACTGTCATGAGATTTTACTACATTGAATCCCTACTCTTCTTTTCTTTTTTTCAGAGTGTCTGTGTTGGTCTTTCTTCCTCCTTCTCCTTCTCCCCATTTTCCTCCTCCTCCTCCTTTTCTGTCTCCTTACTTGAATAGCCTATCCCAAGCAATAGAAAGTAGATTGCTACTAACTTTTAAAGGAAAATGCCAAGTAACTAAAGCCATTTCCATGAAGGATTATGAAAATGAATACACATGAAATAGTCCCTGGGGTCCTACTGGTAAAATAAATGGCTCTTCATCACCTCTCCCCCAATCTTGTTCACCCTTCAGGCCTGCCCTGGAAAGACATTAGAAATAAAGTAAAGACTGTCTAATGACAACATTTGAAAAATGAAGAATCTTGGAATTGAGGGGAGGGGATATGTGGATCAGGATTAGACACAGCTGAGGGGCAGTGGGACACATCTCTTTTGGCCTATGGGGACTTCCACACTTGTTTGCATGTTAGCTATTGGAGGAAGGGATAACATGGGTAATGGGGCAGCCATAACTCTTTTCCTTGGAAACTTTCCCATGCACCTTGGCATCATGGGGTGGGCCTAGCCATCCTTGTGTGCAGGCTGATGAGAAAAAATGTAAGAAAAGGAGAGAAGAAAAACACCTTTCAGGTTTGTTTGAAGGCACAGCATCATGGATCCACTTTAAAGAAGTTCAAATTCATGTACAAATAATTCATATTATATATAACTTTTTGTAAGCTCCTTAGATATTTTTGAGAGCAAGGTGTGTATTTTTAAAAAATTATGGAGGGTAAACTCTATTTTTGTTAATGAAAGAAGCATTAGTCAAAGAATCAGCCCACCTGGTATCTATAGACTTACCTTCCTATCAATACCAAATAACCCAACCTTAGTCATCCATTTGCCTCTGCTTCCCTAACACTCTTTACTTAAATCTCGTGTAGCACTTTTCACATTTGAAGGTAATCATCTATTAATATATCTGTCTCTATCCATAATCATAAGCTTTTTAAAGAAAAAGACTGTCCTTTTCAGCTCTGTGGGGATCTTTAAATGTTGAATAAGTGAATGAATGAACTTTCTGCATCTCAGTTTTCCTTCTTATTCCCCATTGAAGAGCCATTGTGAGCATTAAATGAATGAAGTTAGGTTAAAATGTCATTAAAATGCAGTATCTCTGCAATAATCACATAGAGAAGAATGACATTAAGATAAATATGGAATATGAGCAGATGAAAGTAAGAACTCCAGTGAAGGAATATCCAGCTGACAGCTCATTGGCTGTCACCACAGCCATCTTACAAAGGCCTCATACTATCTGGGGAAGACCCAGTCTGAAGCTACCAAAGAAAAAGTCCATAAGTGATTATTATTCATTGCACTAGCTCTCCCTGTTGCCCAATTTATGAGACCAAGCTTGTGTTGTTTTTGGAAAAGTCTTCCTATCCTGACGATCCCCGTGGAAACACAGGAGCATTTACCTCTCTCTTTGTCTTCCATTTGAAGTTGATCTAATCCAGATGGAAAATTTTTCATAGGCATTATAAAGTACTCCATCTGTGAAGCAAACAAAAGAAAGTAAAAGACAATGAACTCTATGAAAGCTGAATTACCCATTAAGGGGTTATGCAGAGGTCTTTTAATGAATTAACTCAGTGTTGTGTGAATACTGCAGGTAATGCTGAAGAAAAACACTTTCTTTCCTCCACTTTCCCTTTTGAGGGTCACTGAAATTATGAACATCTTTACCAGTTGGCAGAAAATATACACATCTTATTTATTACTTAAGTTAAATACATTTAGTTGCCCTCTTCAATCCCTTCTCTCTGTGGATCAGGCAAACCTCTGGTAGCAGTGTGACCATGGGCTTTTTTTTTTTTTTTAACATTCGAGTTTCAGTTTCTTCATTTGTAATTTGGGATGGTATACTTACTATCCACTATTCCATACGATTGTTGAAAAAAATAAATGACAAAAACTTGTATAAAGGGCTTAGCAGCATACATGGTGCATAATACACTCTCTATACGATAGTAGCCAATAATGTTATTAGGCTTCTGTTGCGCAATTTGTTAATATTACCATGCTTTGCTATTTATGTATTTTTATTTTATACTCTATGTCCATCACCTCAGTACCAAACAGCAAGAAAGAGATGAACTTGCCCAAAGCTAATGAGCCATTGTTTCTCCAAGGTGACAGAGAACAGCTAGAAATTCTAAGCATCAATAGCATTGAGGTTAGGTTTAAACAGACATATATAAATATATAATGGTGGCCATATGCAATAGAACAGCCAGAGTTAAAAAGAATGACAACACCAAATGTTGCTGAGGATGTGGGGCACCTGAAACTTTCATCTGTTTGTGGTTGGCAGGAATGTAAAATGGTGCAACCTCTTTGGAAAACAGCAGTTTCTTTTCTTTTCTTTCCTTTTCTTTTCTTTTCTTTTCTTTTTTAATACTTTAAATTCTAGGGTACATGTGCATAACATGTAGGTTTGATACATAGGTATAGATATGCCATGTTGGTTTGCTGCACCCATTAACTCGTCATTTATGTTAGGTATTTTTCCTAATACTATCCCTCTCCCAGCCCCCCAGACTCTGACAGGCACCAGTGTGTGATGTTCCCCACCCTGTGTCCAAGTGTTTTCATTGTTCACTCCCCACCTATGAGTGAGAACATGCAGTGTTTGGTTTTCTGTCCTTGTGATAGTTTGCTCAGAATGATGGTTTCCAGCATCATCCATGTCCATGCAAAGGACATGAACTCGTCCTTTTTTATGGCTGCATAGTATTCCATGGTGTATATGTGCCACATTTTCTTAATCCATTCTATCATTGATGGACATTTGGGTTGGTTCCAAGTCTTTGCTATTGTGAATGGTGCCGCAATAAACATACGTGTGCATGTGTCTTTATAGTAGCATGATTTATAATCCTTTGGGTATATACCCAGTAATAGGATTGCTGAGTCAAATGGTATTTCTAGTTCTAGATCCTTGAGGAATCACCACACTGTCTTCCACAATGGTTGAACTAATTTACACTCCCACCAACAGTGTAAAAGCGTTCCTACTTCTCCACATCCTCTCCAGCATCTGTTGTTTCCTGACTTCTTAATGATCGCCATTCTAACCGGCATGAGATGGTATCTCATTATAGTTTTGATTTGCATTTCTCTGATGACCAGTGATGATGAGCTTTTTTTCATGTGTCTGTTGGCTGCAGGCAGTTTCTTATAAAACTAAGCATTCACCTTTCCTGTCACTGAAAAAGGCCACTTCTAGGAATTCACTCAAAGAAAATGAAAACTTATGTTTACAAAATACATTATGGTAACATTCACAGCAGCTTTATCATAATAGCCAAACTGGAAACAGCTCAGATATCCGTTGATGGCAAACTGGATAATAAACTATGGCATACAATTTGCTACTACACAATAAAAAGGAACAAAATACTGAATGTTAGATGAATCTCAAAAACATTATCCTGAGTGAAAAAAGCCCTACACACCAGAGAACATACCATATGAGTTCTTTTATGTTACATTCTATAACAGGCAAAGCAAATCCATGATAGGAAAGACTCAAAACAGTTGCTGCTTCAAGGACAGGCAGGATGTCTGGGAAGGAGTATGAAGAAACTTTCTGGGATGATGATAATTTTCTAAATCTTGTTAGGCCTTCAGTTCACACAGGCATATGCATTTGAAGTATACCACAAATGTACATTTAAGATCTGTGTGTTTCACTCTATGTACACTTTATATCAAATAAAAAAACTGTAAACAAAAATGGAACTCTACTTAATAAGACACAGGGTGAAGTATTCAGGGGGATATATACTGAGATCTGCAATTTATTTTGAAATGCATAAAAACAAGTGGATTAATGATGGATAAGGCTTAGATAGATAGATACATGATCAAGTAGAATAAATATCAATGGTAAAACTACATGGTGGGTATATAGGTGTCTGCTGTAAAATTCTTTCAGCATTATTATATGATTGATAATTTTCATAATAAAATTTTGGAGAAAATATAGTGGTGGCCAAAGTTCTTTCCTGCCTACGGGAGTAATTCTTTAACTTTCCTTTGTCTTAAGGAGTCCTGCTCTATTAAAGGAAATTATTCCATAGAGTGTGACAAAAGGAATACATCAAATGTAGAGGGAGCTGTCCAAAGATACCTCCCCCAAAGACAGAGCTAGTTAAAATCAGGTTCCCTTTCACTACCTTCTCTCGTTCATGTTTCCTCCTGATTTTTCTACTAGTCTGGTGGTGCTCATTGGCTAAGTCCTATCTAAATAATGGGTTCTGCCCATTTGTGGCCTGAGTTGGAGACCTCTAGGCAAGACCTCCATTTCAGTATCAAGCAGTTTAGGAAAGAGGGGGAGTCAGGGGGGAATGTAAGAGAGAAGATAGAAGATGGTACAAATTTGCTTCTGCAGAGACCAAGCTTTTATGTGAAGTGAGTATGGTGATAGATTTGTTGCCTTTACTATAAAGATTGAAACACCTGTATTGCCAACACATTAATGTAATACACACGGAGAAAAGGAAAGTGCTTGTTTTTCACTGGGCGAGGAATAAGAGCAGTACCATGTATGAAAAATGGAATTTTCCTTTTGTTAACAGGATCTGGTTTTCCATTTTTCCACATTAGGACTAGCTGGCATAGTTATTTATAGGACCTGGGCCCATACACACTAGCCATGTGCTGATTTTGATACTTTTCCTTGTTTAAAATTTATAGCAAAGTAGCAAAAAGATACATTATCTACAAAGTAAAATGAAATCTCAAGAAAGGATCTATTAAGGCAATGTAGTCTTTTCTTTTAAAAATATCGCAAGATTTTGCATTTTATAGGTGAGCATGTGTTCTGCTTATTTTGGCACAAGGAAAGGAAATTTAGGCAAAATAGAAGGAAATGACCATATCAAGGTTACGACTCCGTAATAACGAATGGGCTGACAGCACTTGATTTTAATGAACACATGAGTGAAAGTAATTAAGCATAATTGTTAATTTTGCCTTATATAATTTCAGAATCACCACTTTCAGGAGATGGAACTTCTACTAATGGCTTCAGTATTTTCAAGCTTCAATCACTTTTCCACACCCCTTTCTGGGAAGGTAACAGGAAACAGCATTCAAAAGATAAGCCTAAGGCGGACATCAGACATGACACTCTCGAATCCACATTATCCAAAACCCAAACCCACTGGGCAGAAATTTTATCTTTCTAAACTTCTTCAGCTTAGCTCTAGCACCTTATTAAATTTCTTAAATTAGAACTTAATTAGTAAATTCAAAAACAATTGCTACAAGGGAAAATGAGGAAAGCTTCCTATTTTAGTGTCCTTCTGAAGAAGAGAAAAACATTTATTAAAGTGCTTTCTTTGATTTTCTGGAGATGGAAACTTAAAAACATTATGTTAATCTTCTGCTGTTATTTGCATTTCCTCATTTTGAAGAGAAAGCATTTAGAAATAGAAGCCCAAACCTCATTATTATGAAATATATTTCTGTAACAAACCTGCACATGGACCCCCTGAATCTAAAATAAAATAATAATAAAAGAATGATCACAAAAAATACATATGGCCAATAAAAATGAAAAATGTCTATTCTCATTAGTAATTTAAGAACTATAAATAAAGCAATGAAATATAATTTTTCTCATTTATCAAACTGGCAAAGATTAAAAATTGGCAGGAGAACGGAGGGGAAATTCTTATAAACATGCTTGTATGTGAGGATATAAATCTGCTATAATTTTTGCTACAACCATGTTGATGGGAGGTTTTGGCAATGTTGATTAAGAGTTTGAAAATATTCTATTTAAAGTTGTGTACCAATGTAATAATCAGAGGTACACACAAAAATTTATATTTCAAGAAAGGTTTATTACTGAATTTTTATAATAGCCCAAAATTGGAAATAACCCAAATGCCCACCCATAGGAGATTGGTGAAATAAATGATGGTACATTCATATATGGGAAAGACATGCAAAAAAAAATGGTTTTAAAAAATATTTAGTAATATGTTTATAATATACCATTAAGTAAAAAGAGAAAAATCTGATAAAATCATATTTAGAGCATTATTCCAGTTTTGTGACATATGTCTACATGCATGAAAATCCTGCAAGGGTATATATCAATATTTGTGCATGATAGGACTTTGGGTGATTTTTGTTTTCTGATATTTTCTGTATTATATGTATTCTCTACAATGAGCATATTCTACCAGACAACAATGAATCAATACTTTGAATTATACAAAACAGATTTTCTGCTTTGTTTGCATCTCGCAGGCCATTGTCAGTCAATTCAGTTGAATGATGGGACAATTCAGTGAAGAAAAAAAAAATTAGGCAACCTGGTTGGTTGGCAGTTTGTAGACAAAAGACTTGGCTAATTTCCCATACTTGTAATTTTTCAACTAGTTGGTTTGGCATCACATAAATACAGCCAGAGTTGGAACATTTGAAACTGAAAAAGCTTTAATGCCAAAAATCTCTTGGACTCAAATTGAAAAAAGATGCACACTGATTTTTTTTCTATTACAGTTTCTCTCATACATAAAAATGAACTAATAAAGCAAATCCTCCATTACCACCAGCTATATTTCAAGCATTTTAAACTGTAAAAGTGGCCCTTAACCCCAGCTGGCTATAGAAGAGCTATGTTTTAGGCTGCCGGGAGTATGGTGGGGGGTGGCCCATGAGAAAAGGGAAATCCATCTCTGCTTCAGCATGCCTGAGCTTCTGGGCTTTCTTCATTTTTGCCACATCCTACTGTGTTGCTGCTTCTCTGCTGGTCACCTTGGATCTGGTCAGAGCCACTATTATAGCTGTTATCTCGTAGATATTAGCTGAAAGATGGCCAGGAATTGTCATCTGTTTTCTCCATTGCAATGTTTGCAGCAGCTGAAAAGGTCCCTGACACATAGTAGGCACTCAGATAATGAATGATGGAAAGAATCTACAATCGAATGAATGCCTATAATTCTATAGCTGTTCAGACACTTCTTAAACTTAAAGCCTTGGGAGAAACATTCACATTTATAGATTAAGAGTTTAGGTTGTTACCAGTAATTTATACTTCAGTGTGTGAAGAGTTTCAGGTCTTTGAGAATGAGTTATATCTGGAAAATGGAGATTGCAAAAGAAATTTCAGGGTGCCTATAACAAGAGAAGAGAAATGATGCTTTTTGACTGCAAATTATCATATATTTAAGTAAACTGTCATACACTTAAATAAATAAGAGGTTTCTAGTAAGTACACAAGAAAAAGGAACTGTTTTGAGAGAAAAATAACCTAAAGTCTTGCAAGGTGCTTTCACATGTCCAATATCACTTAATCCCTGCAATAATCTTTTCAAGAAAAATATATCTTATTCCCATCTTGCAGGTAAGAAACTGAGGCTCAGACAGATTGAGTAACTTGTCGAAGGCCTGACGGCTAGAAAGTGGAAGTGTCTAGATATGTTTTACTCTAAAGTTCCAAACCATGGAGGAAAAATAAATAAAATTTTAACGTTGGAAACTGGGAGCACGCTAAAGGAATGTGATTGTCTCACTAGTTTTCTTCAGGCCTGCCAGTCTGGTGGCACTGGTGTTTATTGCTCAACAGAGCTAAGCTCCTTAGATGGGTTCATGATGGAAGAAATTAGACAATCACTTTAACCAAGCAGGCAAGACTGTTGTAAACCTACTGCCACATTATCAACATAGCTGTACCAACCTCGTGGGCAGTAAAAACATCCTCCCCAAGCACTTCTAATATCCTTAAATAAACACGAGGAAGTTCCAAGTAAATATCCAGAAAGCAAAGGTTGAACTGAGAGCTAAACATTAAATTATTTAAATTCCTGAAGATCAAATAAAAGAACCAGACACGAGGTAAATTAGCGGAATGTTTACACACCAACTGGATAATTTCTAATCTAATGTGCAATGGTGATTGGAACACGACTGACCATTTGAAATAAATAATATGTTGTCTTAGATTCGGATGATTAGAATACTTGGCAAAAATCTGTTTTATTGTATGATGCTGTCTAGCAAAGAAATATCACTTTAGGAATAACTATTGCCAAACTAGGGATTGTTTTCAAAATATACATGGCTGATGATAATTGCCTGCAGCATGAATCTTACCACTATACAGAAAATTAAAACAGCTTTCATGGATAGTAGCAGAAACTGAAATAAATATGACTTGGAGTGCTTTTATTCCAAGGAATAATTGTGTACTCTGTCCAGCAGTTGAGAGCTTATAAATAATGTTTGGGAAGTCAGGAACAAATGTTTTAATTTTAGTGAGTTAAAAAAGTTTGTGAAAGAACATCTGAGTAGAACAAGACTGCTCTTAAAAGCAAGAGTAAAAACTGACTACATCCTCAGAAGGGCAGCTGTCCAGACAAGGGCTTTGAGAATTGGAAAGCTGGACTCGCTTCAGCCAAGCTTCCTAATTTCTGGAGCTCTGGTTTCCTCCTCTGCCAACAGAAAAGGAAGGCAAACATGAAAATAGAAAATGTGCACTTTCAGCAAGGCTTGCTGGCTTTGCAGCACTCACGTCTCAAAGCAAAGACCATAATGGGTAATGACAATGCTATGCCATCAACAGACAGAATTTTAGTCTGCACATGTTCCAGACTAATATTTAAATTTAAATACTAATAAGTGGAGTAAGATGAAATTTTATGGCAATAAATAGATGACTAGGTATCATAATTTGAGAATATTGATTTTTAAAATTGATAACATTATGACCCAAGAGTATATAAATATACATATTTGATGTCAGATTCAAGGGTGTGGGTCTCTAGGTCAACTGTGTTCTGGTCGATAAGAATTGATTAAGAACTACTGTATGATTGTATCTAATATCTGCTATAGAAGTAATAAAATTATCAGATATAACTTGAATCTTCTGAAAAAGGAAAACAGAAGGAGATGGAAACTCATCAAAAGTCAACTCTATGCCAGACACAGTTCTAAGCACTTTACATTTAATGTGCCAATACTTCAAGGGAAGTATTAGGATTTCTATTTTATGAATGAAATATGCATGAAAACAACTGCAAAATAATACAAGATAGTATATCATTAAGTTTTACATTAAATATCATCAGGTTCTATAGTTTATGATTCTTAGAGAGTCCTACAGATAGTCCAGAAGGGATGAAATCATTATTGACAAGAGTGACTACAAATGGCACCATGAGGAGCTGTTCCTTGGAATGGATTTGAAAGTACAGGTAGGTTAAAATAGATGACACAATTATCTAAATGGAAAGAGGTTGGGCATGGAGACAAAAGCCATATAATCAAAAGCAAAAATACATTAATAAAGATAGTGCATGGGGCAGTGGCCAATCCGAGAAGAAGAGAGGGTGCATTAAGGCGAGTTTAGGAGTATAAAATTAGAGTAGAAGAAAAGTATTGAATGTTTAAATTCTGGTTGATTCAAAAAGCAAGGGGAGGCAATTATAGATTCTTGAGAATAAATTAGTTGATGATTCATATATCAAGCCAGGTTGACAAGCAAATCGCTAGCCATGGAGGCCATCCAATTTTGGGTGGCATTCAGGACAAATGTTATCATGACACTGATGTTTTAGGAAGACATAACTTATGTCTGGCATGGCAGAAATTAGTGAAGGAACAAAACTAAATCAGGGAGATCGCTACATTCTCTCTCATGTGATAACAACGGCCTGAACTATAGTTACAGCAGTAGACATAGAGAATAAGAGAAGCTTTCAGCTGATTTAAAGGAAGAATCTATGGGGCTTTATGATAGATATGAGATGGTAGAAGGGAAAGCATGAAGGTGACTCCCAAGTATCTTGCTAGCAACATAGGCATAACTTACAAAGAAAGCACATAAAATTCAGCTCTAATATGTTAGGACAACTTCAATGTTTTAACTAATCATCTTGCTCCCCCACCCAACACACATGTGTGTTTAGAGGTACAGCCAGGTAGAAGGAACAGAAAATGGAGGGAACAATTTGTAATATTTACATTTTAGTCCAAATATGTATTATACCTTTACCTAAGAGAATGTGAAGCTGGGGTGGAAGGTGATGCATGGAATGGCTCCTACATGCCCTCTAAGAGATCAAAGGTTAGTGGGATTATTTTGGTCCCATTGGCCTTCAGGAGATCTTACATTAAGCTTGGGCCTCACCACCTAGTATTAGGACCTAACCAATACCCAACACCCCTGCCCTCTTCTCGCCCACTACTATGAAATATGAAAGCATTTTACTGGAGAGCAACAGAACCTGTAGAAAATATTTTGTTGAGTTAAAAAATAATGTTGAAAGCAAAAATGCTGGCCTGGTGTGGTGGCTCATGCCTGTAATCTCAGCACTTTGGGAGGCCAAGGCAGGTGGATCACTTGAGGCCAAGAGTTTGAGACCAGCCTGGCCAACATGGCAAAACTGTGTCTCTACTAAAAATGCAAAAATTAGCTAGGTTTGGTGGTGCACATATGTAATCCCAGCTTACTCATGAGGCTGAGGCATGAGAATCGCTTGAACCCAGGAGGTGGAAGTTGCAGTGAGCTGAGACTGTGCCACTGCACTCCAACCTGGGCAACAGAGCAAGATTCTGTCTCAAAAAAAAAAAAAAGGCAAGAATGTTGACCAAAATTCGAGATTGCAGTCTTCAAGAGTGCATTATGTGTCTTTGGATCAGAAGTTCAAATAATAACTCAGCACTGGGTGTAGTATCTGGTATAAAATTGGCTCACAATAAGCATATGATGAATTAATAGACAAATTTTCTTATTTTCATTTTCTTTTTATATGTTGCCTTTGCTTGAAAAAAATCCAAAGGCCATCATCACTATGGTACTCTAAAGAATGTTAGAAGATAGCTAAATTTAAGACAGCTGTGACAATTTTGCAGCACAGTGGAGTGGAAGAAGCATTAGGCTCAGTAGACCTGGGTCTGAGTCCTGGCTTTCCTTGTAATAATCTGTGCTACTTTTGGACAAATCCCTTTCTCTCCCTAGGCCTCCATTTTCCCAAAGGTAGAAGAAGGTGCTGGATCAGGAGGGATCACTGAATCTATGCAATAAATCTATGCCTAGGCTGGTCATGGTGACTCACGCCTATAACCCCAGCAGTTTGGGAGGCCAAGGCAGGCGGATCACTTGAGGCAAGGAGTTCGAGACCAGCGGGACTGACATGGTGAAACCCCGTCTCTACTAAAAATACAAAAGTTAGTCAGGTGTGGTGGTGCATGCCTGCAGTCCCAGCTACTTGGAAAACTGAGGCAGGAGAATCGCTTGAACCCAGGAGGTGGAGGCTGCAGTGAGCCGAGATTGTGCCACTGCACTCCAGCCTGGATGACAGAGTGAGACTCCATCTCAAAAAGAAACAGATAAACAAACAAACAAACAAAAAATGTTGCCCAGAAGATCCAGTTGTTTAAAATTTCTTTTCTGGACTTAAAATATGACTTGGTAGGATTTTCTTTTCATCACCTGATGGATGTCATTTGAAAAATCTTCTGTAATAACCACAATGAATGTGACCTCTAAGCCCTTTCAAGACCTTTAAATAAACATGATATGACAATTATTTTGTGGCATCCATGAGTCACCCATGAATTTTACCACACTGTGCATATGATTTGATCATCATAATCTGAAAAGCCTTTCACAGGAAACACCTGCTGAGACGTAGTTCAGCCCAGCTGCTCTAAATATGAAACACGTCTATACATGTCCCCATGGGAACAGAGATAAGCAGGATAGACTCGGCAAAACCTAAAATGTGCAGCTTTCTCCTCATTCTGCCATTCTTCCATCAGGTGTCTACCATCTCACCTAGAGGCCCCACTCTATATCTTTTTCTCAGGAAAAAGAGCAAAGGAGCAACCATTGGCATGTGCCATTCTACCAAATTTTAACCAGATTTAATTGTCCTGGTCATATTTGGTTCAAAATTTTTTCTTTCCTATTAAAAGCAGCAACAAGTTGGTGGAGATTTATCTTGGTGGGAAAGTATCAAGTAATAGGAAACAGATCCGAGCATAATGGATACTTTTAGAGGTCTGTCTTGCTCTATCTCTCACTGCACCGTCTCCTCTGTGTATAGCTCAGGACTAGGGAATCATGTGCTAGCAACCCGGACTCCTCCATCCTTGCCCTGACTTCTTGACGCCAGTTGCTTTCCTTTCAACACCCTGGTCTAAGTCTCCCAGATGTTCAGCTTTCCCCCTATGCCTTCCTCATTCTCCTGTGGCTTCACCATTGGCCTAGGTTCTCGTCTTTCTCTACAACTCCCCTTTTCAGGGAATCCACAGTTTCAGATCTTGGAGTTATTGCAGTTTTAAGCCTCCTAGAAAGTATGCTTCTGGAACATTAATCTTTTAACAAATAGGTATTCAGTCACACCCGGCTCTTTGCTAGGTGTGAAAACATGGCAGCAAGAAAAACAGGCAAGAGGAACAGCAGCAGCAGGAAGCAGATCGCCCCCTTCAGGAAGGGGGTGGCATAGGGCTGGGAGTATGTAGTAGGTGGAATAGTGTCCCCCAAAAGTTCAGGTCATCCCAGAACCTATAAATACTTTATTTGGAAATATGGTCTTTGCTGATGAAATCAAGTTAAGATGATGTTATATTGGATTTGGGTCCCAAATCCAAGAGGACTGGCATCTTTATAAGAGGGAGATTTGGACACAGACACACAGAGGGAATCCCATGTGACAACACAAGTGAGACTGGAAAGAGGCAAGCCAAAGAGCACCAGGGATTGCTGGCAACCACCAGAAGCTAGGAAAAGGGAAGGAGAGATCCTCCCCTAGAGCCTTCAGACAGAGATGGCCCTGAGGACACCTTGATTTCAGACTTCTGGCCGCCAGAACTATGAGAGAGTAAATTTCTGTTGTTTTAAGCCACCAAGTTTGTGCTAATTTCTTACAGCGGACCCCAGAAATTAATTCAGGTTATCAAAGGGATTAAGTACAGGTAGAGGAAGCAAAGCCCTGAGAACTTTGCCCCTGGGCACAGGAGGACGGAGGGTCTTAGACCAAGGATCTCCCAACTTTGGAAGCCAGATCCAAAGCTCTCACCCCCAATATGCGTGGATATCAGAATATGTCAGTGTTCGGGGAAGATGATGATAGTAACAATGATGACTACAGTTGTTACTAAGATAAAGAAAAAGAGAAGAGACAGAAGAGGGAAAAAGTGAAAAAAATGAGATGGAGGAAAGCATAATTTTAGAGTAAAATGACAATATCATTATAATTTTATATCTATGACCACAGTCAAGCTGAATGAGGAGTAAAACTCCAAACTCTTGTTCTTCTGGGTAAAATAATATTTATTATGTAAACTGCTTTCCATTTATGCCTAATAATATAATGGCACAATAACAATTATGTGTATCGTTAAATGTTAGATTTAAGTTATTGTAAATTTCATTTGGTCAAAGCAGTAAACACTATGGAAATGACTTTTGTAAACAGTGGCTCCTAACATGTGGTCATTAGCTCACAATCCAAAACAAAACCTGTAGGCAACATTGCTTCATTCCATTCAAATAGGTACAGAAAATATGATGTGGTACTCATGCTATTTATGAATTTCACCACCCAGACAAAGATAAGGATTGGGAGAAATTACGCATTTTATTCCATATGAAAGCAAATGTTAAAAGAACGCAGCCAGTCCACAGCGTTGCTATATCCTTTGTCTATAGCATTCTTCGACCAAAATAAAAGTGCTACATGTTCGACAGAGGAATGTTAAGCTTTCTTTGGCATACCTCTAACATATCTGCTGCCTGGGTTTTAACAAAGACTGTTTGTCATTAATGTGTGCTCGCTGGTTTGTATACCAGTCTCACACACACAATAAGGTCTCCTTTCATGCTCCCACCAAGACTTAAGAAAAATATCCTGCAAATGTGAATGCACAATCATGTCTAATTGTTGCAGTTCAGCTGAACTTTGCCTCTCTTATTTTGAGACCATGAACATAATCTCACAGTTCTCCTCTCCCAAATATAACAGATTTTTTTGTTTGTTTGTTTAATGATCAGTCTGGGATTAAACAAAATGCAATTTGTTTTTAAAGATATTTGAAACTAAATAGGAAGTCTCATTATTGGTTTATTGGTCTATAACCAGGTTCTTTCCTGTAGAGAGATGTTTTCAACATTCAATGTGAAATCCACACATAGCAGCACCCTTTCTAGGGATGGGGTGTTGGTGCCCTCTTGAGGAAGAAAGAACAAGGCAAAGGAAAAAGTTGAAGAAAGCAGTTGGAAACTGGGAGAATATTTAGGTAGCCCTGTGCTTAAAAAAACTCTAGTCTCTCTCAAAGGGCAATTCAGTCTGCCTGGGATATGGCCAACAAACTTTCTGCATTTTGTTCCAGCACAAAACTCACACGTTATGATATTTATAAGTATAGCCTGTTTTACTACCACTTTTTATTTACAGTGTGTTTTCCAAGGAAATGCCATTTTGATGAAGCAGTGCCGCCCTTGCTTTCATGTAGCTCACAGGCAAGAATGACTTTTGATTATTAAATCCACAGTCACCTGACAGAATATTTGCCGTTCGATCCCTGGGAGCGGTACTTGAGGATCACAAATCTCAAAGAGCTCCATCTATTTTACCCTCCTCCCCCACTTCATACTCTGGCCTAATCTAACTATACACAGTCGGTAATTTTACTCTTTACTTAATATTCACTTCTGCCAAGCTCCTAATCATTTGTCTTACAATTCTTTGAACTCAGTCCAATTTTCTGCCTCATTCTGATTCCAGGAATGTGGGCTTAGACTATCTTTTTTTAATATATATAGGACAAGTGATACCTTTAGTTAGACTCTCCACCCTCAATCCCCAAATTTAAAAACCTTTTTTAAAGTTTCCTTGAAAGAAAATTAATTGACAAATGAACAATCCCAGAAAACTAAAGAGACTTTAGGAGCATTTTACTGGATTAATTCTAATAGAGTATCAGCAGCAAATCTTCTGTGGTTCTAACTTAACACGCAATGGACCCTTAACCCAATTTTGGCCTTAGAGCCACCCGTCTGGTTCTCTCTTAAGTTAGTATTATCTTGGCACTGGTCAGTGTAAAGATGCAAACGTGTTGGCTTCCAAGAGACAGTATAGTATAGTAGTAGATCAGAAAACCATTTTAAAACTATGTCACCTGAGTCCTAATTCCCTCATCTGCCACTTTCTGATTATGTAAATCTCATCAAGCTCTCTGGGCCTCATCCCAGTATCTGTAAAATCGTAATGTTCAAAGTGCCTCTGTGGGCTAAGAGACCCTGGGGCAATCCTAGGGACACAGGCCAGGACTTCTTTTTGGCCATTTGTGACAATAGTTCCTGTTTCTTTGAACATATTGAATTTACAAAGCTGTTGAGGAAAACAGAGCTTAAAATACTCTATTTCAACAAAACAATATATTAAGTTAAAATAAGGGAACTAGAGTAGAGCCTGGGGTGGTCTTTAGCTTTGTTTTGAATTGTCCTGAGACAATTGTCATGTTTTGCATCCTTGCTACTTTGTGACAGCCTCTCTCTCTGTGCCCCAAGTGAGAAGCTGCAGCTTGACTCCATTCATGTCAGTCTTTGTAGGTGTCACAGGGAAGCTGCTCTTTCAAGGTGGGGAAGCTGTGACGACTGTGTTGTGTCCACAGTGCTTCTTTGTGAACAAACATATTTTTGCCAGATCTGCCTAAGAAAGAGTGGGTGTTGGATGGTGAAGAAGGCAGAAACAGATTTTTATCTCCATTCAGAGCTTTGAAACCTTTCATCACTTTAAGAGAGAGATTTCAGCATCAGAAGGCTGAAAAACCAGGTCAGGTAATATTAGATTGTTATATAATGTGACCTGAAGTCAAAAGTAAAGGGAGTTTGCTGGGGGAAAAACAAAATAAAACTTTCTGACTCTGTTATTTGTCTCAAAATTCTGAACCTCCTGCTCACTGTCATACAAAAAGAATTTACTTATCAGCTCAGGACCTGAAAGGAGTCTCTTATTTTTTGACCAAAAATTCCCCCAAAACATCCCTCCTAGAGCGATTGCAAGGATTCAATGAGACAGCGGTTGTAGTGTGCTCAGCCCAGGGCCTGTGAAGTGATTGTAGTCAGTAGATACTCATCACTAACGACTAAGCTTGCCCCTGATACAAGGTACTCAACACGGGGAGGTTTAATGTCTTGTGAGTGAGAGGTTGGCGAGGGGATGGTGGTGGGGGAAACCCAGCAGATGCCTGCAGAGACAAGATGTGTGTCCCTTTAAGTCTGGGCAAGGTCAGACAAGAGGACTAGAATGCTTCCCACAGTTATCACCAATCAAGTCCACCTTCATTGTGGTAGGGCCTGTCTCAACATGGGCTCAGGGGTTCTGCTACTGAGAATTCTTGGAGAAATCTTTGGCATTTTCTACCACATGTTCTATATGCTTGTCTTTATAGCATCTAACTTTTGGCTCTCTTCCTCACAGAGCCAGAAAGAGTGCCGCTTTAAAGGTGAAGAATTGAGCATGTTAGCTGCTGTGTGCCATTGATTATTTTATTGATGCAATTTGTGGTTCTTAAAGAAGAGACTTTCCATGAATAAGATATTTTCCCCTTACTTAAGTAACATGACTTTTTCCCAGAAACCCACCCAAATCTGCCTTAAATCTCATGGAGGTTAAGAATGAATGGACTTAGGTACAACACAAAGCTTATTTCCCTCATATTGTTATTTGTTAATATATCTATTGGGCTTATTGCTTGAAAGGTTAAGAAAAAGACCTGATTTTATTGATAACAAGAAGCATTCAATATTTCTATGCCTGACCCCTCACATCTCAGGATGTATGACTCCACTGCACATCAGACTCTTCCTTAGGGTCAAAATAACAATATTTTAGATCAATAGAGACCATGAAAAGGCTCCTGGAGGATAGTTTTGCTGTGTGTCAGTGATACTTGAGGCAAGTAGTCAAGAAGAGCAGGACAACCACCTTCCAGAATATCCCAAGTCTAAGTGCCCCAGCTGTTTCTCATAAAACCCGCAAAAGCAACAGGGTTTTTCTCTTGCCTCAAGTGGCTCATTGGCTTACATAGGCATCCTTGAGATTTAAGGTATAAACAAGAGCAACTGTAATTTTAACTTATACAATATGTGTGTAAATAAAGATATGACAGTGGGTTAGCGATTTTAAAGAGAGAGAGAGAGAATCTAGTGTTATTCTTTAATCATCTCTCTGCTTCTAATGTGTTAATATCAAGATCCAATATCTCAATCCCACCCTGTAGAGTTTTCCTTGTTACTTTGGAGTTCCTGTAATGTGAACTCTTCATCACTAAAAATCAGTGATTACATGTATTCCATTCTCTGGAAATGTTTTCTGAGATAAGCGTTGTTTTTCTTAATGCTGGATAGCCAGAAAATAAAATTGGCTAACCAGAATAATTTAGATACCATCAACCGCTGAGAATAACCAAGGCTATCAAATTACGTTGTAATGTTTTTAAGCTGAGTTCCAAATAGACTGTTCAGTCTGCAGTCACAGACTCCAAAATATGAACTGAATATGAAAACATTTTAACTTTCATGTTTTAATGATAAGAATGTTGTTGGCATTAATATTTGAACATTTCAGCCTACCTAGTTCTGAAAGCTATGTCATGGCAGGCTCAGAATCCACTGGCAGACTATAAATAAAATCTTTCTATAAATATATTTTATGCCAAACTACCAGCAGAATACATTTTTCATCTTCTAAACAGATGGTATAAGAGAAAAATCATGCATGTATATGATTAATCAACGTGCTTTTGCTGATAGAATTTTCATTACCATTATCAGCATGAGTTTTGTGAAATTTCTGCATTTTATATTTTCTTTTGAGAATTAGTGTATTTAAAGAAGTGATTAATATAAATGAAGACAGAGAGATGATAAGACTTTATATGTTTGGTTTCCTTTAGGTCCAATGGGCCTGAGATTTTTTTTTTTTTTTTTTTTTTTTTTTTTTTTTTTTTTACAAAAAGATAGCTAGGCAGTTTGTTTCAGGCCTATGGTTGAACCACATGCTAAGCCCCTCACCTTCCTTCTACCCCAGTCCCTACTCCTCGCTGTCACTGGTCACTTGTCAGAACTCTTACTCTGCTAAGAAGTTAGCCTTTATCAAAGTCCTTACTCACTTGATGCTAATGACCAGTATACTGAAAGCCAAGAAGAGAACTTACTGGGCAAATGCCATGATAGCACCATATTATTAAAAAAAAAAAAATAGCACCATATTATAAAGTAGCACCCAAGTGTGGATATGGTATAGTCACAAAAGGGTAGGGGCTCCTCTGGATTCCAATGACTCGGATTCAAACCCAGCCCATCACAGTAGCCAAGAATCCTGGCTTTTTTACCCCTATATCCATTCTCTCATTTTAACTTTAGAGAACACCTCAAACTTTTATCCAGGCATATTGCCATGTAGAATAAAAGACTATTTCCTATCCACCCTAGTGGCTAGGTGAGGCCATAGGAGTAGGTTGTGGCATAGGACTAAATTTTGTCCAGTGAGATATAAATAAGATAGATGGCTTATTTTTTGTCCTTCTCCCTTTTGTTCTGCTTCTAAATTGCAATGTGGATGTGACGGCTGGAGTTCCAGCAGCCATTTTGAGCCATGAGGTGACCAGGATACTAGAAATGGTGTGCTAGGATGGTGTGCAGAAATTTAGAACAGAGTCTCTGAAGTCACTGAGGGGCTACAACATCAATGCCATCCTACCTCCTGGTAGGCTTCATTTATGTGAGAAAGAAATAAAGAGCTATATTATTTAACACACTGCCTATCAACTTTAGCAAGTTACTTAATTTCTCAATACGTTAGTTACTACACCTATAAAATGAGGATAATGATACTGCCTAACTCGGAGGGTTGTCATGGGTCTTAAATGAGATGATACATGCAAAGTACTTATAGGAGAAACCTGTACATAGTAAGTGCACAAGCTGTTGCTCCTACCATAGATGCCTGACCCTTGAGTCTGTAACAGTTTCAACAGTTGAAAAGTAACCTGGGAAGTTCCTTAGCAAGTTATTACTTTGAAACATTCTGAAGTGGGAATCTGAATCATGCCCTCTGAGAGAGAATGAGTCATTTCGCTAGTCCTGGAGGCTAGCATCTGCCTATCTGCACTGCTTTGTTGCCCGCTGCTCATGTGGCAACTCACTCAAGGTATGACTACAACGTTGTTTCTTCATGTAAACAGCCCTGAAAAAAAGCCAAATGCCAGTGCTAGTGACAGTAATAAAGAAAATACTTTAGAAGCCTAACAAGGGAATAAAGTGATCATTCCTAGTTAGAATATTGACATTGTGGCAATGGATCTGAACCAGGACATGAACATAACCACCACAGGCTTCATGCCAAGGAAGCTAGAGATTACAGAGGTCATTTCAAATATGAGCATTTTAAAATGTCTCTCAACATTGACGAATGTTACCAACCTGCTGTGACATATGATCCACAAGGAAAAGCCACAGGTAATAAAGAGATAAAGTGAAAGAATTAAAGAAAAGAGAACCTACAGAATTATGACACTGGGCATATCATGTTTGCTTCAAAAGAGCTCCCATAGGAAAAAGAAAACTATTTTTATTTTATCCACACCCACCTACCACCCCCACCCCAAAAGACTTGATACTTTTTCTAATAAAAGGCACAGAATTACCAAAGCATAGAACCATGGAGACACAGGGCATCGAATGATGAAATGGTGTAGCCGAGAAGGAAGACTAATTATCATCGGACAGCCTGGTTCCTGGTCTAGGAATGTCAGGGATGTCACTTCCTACGATTTCACTTAGGTCAGAGGTAACGCTTGGAGAATGCACACTTACAGCAGAAAGAGGAATGCCTGCTGTGCTGAATCTTTCCATTTGCCCCTCCAGATGCTGCTGCACCCTTCCCACCCTGCTCCTCGTCACAGAGGCAGACTTGCTGGCCTGCATCCACAGGCTCCCCTGCCCGCTGGCTTGTGGTTGGGTTCAGTCAGTGATGAGCCCTGGCAGGAGACCAGAGGCAGAAAAGAGATGGAGATCTCAGTATTTATTCTCTGGTTCCTTCCCTGTGTGGTTGACTTGAATTGGAATTACCTTATATCCCTAGATAGAAGCTTACCGCATGTCTCAGAGCAGCCTACTCTATATGACTCTCTCTTTACAAGTTCTCTCGTCTTCTCCCTTCCCTTTGAGTCTAAAATAAAGATGTCATATTTAGCAAATACAAATATAAGATGGCCAGGGAAATTTGAATTCTAGATAAACAATGAACTTTTAAAAATAAGGATGTCCCATGCAATAATTAAGTCATATTTATGCTAAGAGATTATTCATTGTTTATCTGAAATTCAAATTTAATGGGGCATCCTGTATTGATATGACAACTCTAACCTAAAGGGACCGTCAGCTGCTAACCTGGGCTCCTGCTGTACTCTTATGGTTCCCCTGCACACTGCCTACATCTTTGGAATAGGTCCCTTTGTCTATAAGCCATCCTCAAATTATCCTGATTTGAGTATGCCATCTGTTTCCCCCTCAGGATCCTAATACAGTCATCACACCCTTTAGTTTATTCCCGTCAAGGTTATTTCCTCTCAACCACATTTCATATGTTATTTCTTTCTGAAGATTTTCCACAAGGGTCCTATGGTAGACAACTCAATGATACTGAAAGGAGATTCTTACTTTCCAGAAAACAGATGATACAGAGATGGAAAAGTTGGCATCTTAACACGAGACTCAAAGGGTCCAATTTGGATCCTTGTATCAATGTACCTTATCATGGGTTTCCCTGAAATTAGAGCCTGAGACAAAGGTTTGCTTGAGTGTAGTTAATTTCTGAATGTGACCTTAGGGAGCAGGACTGCAAGGCAAGGATAGTGGAAATGGGAAGGAGGGAAAGCCAGTATAAGGAGTTGATATGAAGACTATTGATTGACTGTAGGCAACTGGTGTTTGAGCCCACCAAGACCTTCTGAAGATCCTTGCAAATATGGCTCAGACCATCTATCCAGAGGATCAAAGAGGGAGGCATTTACCAATGGCTTCTGTTCCCCAGTAGTCAAGAATGGTCCCAAGCACTCCCTGAATTTCCAGGTTAAACATACAGGAGTTCCAGGCCAGTTTCTGGGATTTCCATGCTGCAACATCAGAGAAGACTCAAGGCAAAAAAGCGAGAAATATTTGGCACAGGCCTAAAGTGAGTTACTGTCTAGCTGCAACTGCCTGAAGATGGTCAAATCCTCTACAGCACTGGTTGGAGCCAAGAGGAATTTGAGGGAGTGACCAAGATGTCTCCTATGTCCAGTGGGAGGCCAGTCTATTTCTGTACAGTATTAAGCTACATGCTTTCCTAGAGAAGTGCCAAGACATGAATGAAGATGATGTTGATGCTATTGAGAAAAACATGTCCTTTTTAAGATGGAATCTCTGGAGGAGTTGTCTCAGTTGGCAGCAACTGCAAGTCAAGCTTGTTCTCAAGCACTGAATGTGAAGATGGATGCTTGGGTAGAGCTTAAGTAGTTGAAAGGAGAAGAACTGAGCTCCTCCTTGAAAGCACCACATGTATTTGTTAATAGTTATCATAGGCCATGCCTGTAGCAGCCCAGGGAAAGTCCTTGATAGAGTTTGGATATTTGTCGCTTCCAAATCTCATATCAAAATTTGATTCCCAATGTTATAGATAGGACCTGATGGGAAGTGTTTGGGCCACGGGGACAGGTTCCTCATGAATGTCTTGGTGCCATCCTCGGAATAGTGAGTGAGTTCTTACTCTTAATTCCCATGACAACTGGCTGTTAAGAAGAGCCTGGCACCTTCCTCCCTCTCTCTCTTCCTTCCTCTCTTGCCGTGTGATGCTTGCTTTCCTTTACCTTCTGCCATGAGTAGAAGCTCCCTGAAGCCCTCATCTAAAGCAGAACTATAAGCCAAACAAATTCCTTTTCTTTATAAATATCCAGCCTCATGTATTCCTTTATAAGAATGCAAAATGCACTAAGACAGTCCCCAAGTGGACATGCGTGGGATTCCTCAACTCTCTAATGCAGGTGTAGTTAAGTGGCATTTACCCCAGTCCTGGTACAACAAAAATCCAAGGCCTAGAATCTATATTAATCCTGAGCAGCAGAATTGTTGCTTTGTATGGTAGGTTAAGTTGCTTCTGGGTAAAATGATGGCCATGGGTATAAAAGGTGGAGTCCATGCTTCTCTGGCCCGGTGGGCATCTCACTTCATCCACACAGCCAAAGACCACCAACCACAGCTGTATTTCCATGATAAGTGCGGGCAGAATGGGGAATTGTGGCCAACCACCCAAGTCTTTCCCTTGTTTAGGTAAAAACACTTATGAAAAAGAAGTTCTTGAACTCAATCCAAGCCATCATTCTTACTCATCCTTGAACCCAAATCACACTGCATATTACTAACTAGGGTGGCAAACAACTAAGTAGGTAGACAGAAGGCTCCATGGTTAGGTATAGGTAAAATTATAGAGCAATACCAACAATATATAATTTTATTTATAAATCACAGTTTTAACTCACAAGCCTGTCCAGTGGCTTGCAGTAGGGAACAAATGAGTTCTCGTCTGATTCATGTTTCAGTTTGGGATTGAAGGAGTGACAGAAGATAACTCTCACATCCTAGCTTAGGATAAAACTGCTCCTCACATATGAGCCAGACCCAGGCTTCTAATCATATACTCTGTAAACTGTGTGCTCATTCAGATTACTATCATCATGGGTATATTTCAGCTTTTTACCTTGTGGTGAATAAAGAGACTTGAGCAATATTTTCAGTACTTTTTATTCTCCATGCGAAATGTACTAATGTGAAATACAGCCACAATGATTTGAAACTGTTCCTGATAGTTTAGCGACTAAGTTTTGAAAATGCTTACAATTAACCATTTAAATTAAAGAAGGAGATATGGAGATTTAAGGGTTAAAATATAAAATAATGGTTTTCCTCCACTTTTTTTTTTTGTATTTTTCTAATATTCAGAAAAATTGGAAAATGTGTTAGCCATCAACCCATGTGACGGTAGAATGATGCTCAAATCACACGCATTGAGTTTCATTTCAACCACGATAGCTGACAGACAAGACTACAATGATTGAAACTGAATTTCATCTACAGAAAATTGCAATTTGATCTTGCCTTCCCGTTACACCAATACGTCACCAATAGATTGCCTCTTCCCCTAAAACTCCACATCCTGTAACGTGTTTGAAAACGTCATGATGGGGGCACTGCAGAGTCTAAGGGCTGAATACACCCTTGAGTGTAATGGGAAGTTCATATCATTTCAAGACATCTCAGGCATTATACTTCCTCCAAATGCTCTCAGGTCATATAGACCTTGCTGAGCAATCACAAAGTTAAAATATTCAAATTGTTTGGTCTCTTTGTAATCTGTGCTGCTATATTTCTTTCCAAGCCTAGAGCTTTACAATAACAAAAATGGCAGAGAAATTTACCCATTGAAGACTGTGGCAAACCGGGAGTGAGAGGAATGATTTGTGGGTAAAATTACTATCACACAGAATTGGAGCTGTGGTGAAAGATGTTTTGACTCATTAACAAGTGATGTAACTTGACAAGTGTTGAAGGAAATTTAAGAGATTGATAGTGCCCTGGTTTATAGCCAGTGCAGACAGAGTGTTGAACTGAGAAACAACACTTGACTTCCTTGACCTAAGTGTCTGGCTCCCAGGGACCCCACGAATCATTAGCATAAGGTGTGAAGATTGTGGCCATGTGCCTTTTCTTCCTGCTGTGTGGCAACCATGGAAGGGGATAAGGGTTGGAGGACCAAGAAGGAACTGACAAACAGAAATTCACCTTGTGACATGATGTCAGCCTCAGCTTCAACATGTAAAGCTCAACACTATTGTTTATGTGACAAGAAAAAACTGAGCAAACTGAAAATTGATTACTTTTCTTCGACCTTCCAGGGAACTGAAGTTGCAGAACAAACTGCCACCAAGAAATCTGGACAGTCAGGGCATCCAGAGAGACATAACCAAGATCTGCTTCTCTGGAACAGAAGCTGCTGAAGCCCTGAATTGGTAGGAACACTTAAATGGTCATTTTGATGGATTCTGGAGGCTGAGTGTGGAGTAATAGGGAGTGAGAAACCCCTGGGGGGTGGGGTCACAGTCTTAGACATGGCCCCCACACCTTCATGGGCTTTCTTTCTAAGAATCCCACAGGTTCTCAAGATGAAGATCTGAGAAAGATGACCTCTAGGCTCTGGGGCGGAGAAGATTCATGTGGTGAAACACTCCAGAGCCTTCTCCATAATAAAAGCCTACTATCTAAGGAAAAAAGACTTTGCCAGCGCCTTATCCCAGCTAGGGGAAGGTCATTACTCCCATCCCAGCCTTCCCTAGCCTTCCTGTCTCACCTAAGAAAAAGACACAATCAACAGCCAGAGCTTCAAGAAAATAGATTGGAAAGGACTGGTCTGGAGGGAGCGAAAGATACATCTATGGGGAAACACTGGGGAGGGTCACAGTTCCAAGACTCAGATGGGCTAAAAGGCTGAGATTCAATTGGAAGATTATAGAACACTCCCTCTTCCCTAAAACTTGCCACCACACTGGCACTACAACAGTGGATTATAGCTGAAAGCTTACATCCTGTTACAGCAGCAGATACTGGTCAAACATCTCTGTCCAGTCTTAGAGTAGGTTAACAATTGTTCTAGTTGGTTAATAAAATACCATAATTCCATGGGACCTACCCACTGTGTGTCTCTGAAAGGAGACCCGACACACAGAATATATAATGGCAATAAGCTATGATAAGCCAAGAGAGAAAACGGATCCATGCCTGGCAAGCTTGCCCATTTCTAATGTCCTGTAAGTGGGCTTGGGGTTCCCTAGTACAAAGAGTTTCAGGCACAAAGTTGTTGGCTGTACTATGGTAGTAACAGCTTCTTGTAGTATTAGTGGATTTGCTTAGATGAGTCTCTGAAGAGTCTTCTTCTCCTACTTGCCTAAGTTCATCCTGAGTCTCAGGAGGTGCCTGTAAGATGAACCAATCTTCTGGCCATATACATGATTCAATTGATGGTCTAGATTGCTGACCTCCCTAGTTCAAAAAGGTTCATCATGGAAGGTTCTAGAGTCCTTAGTAGAGTTTCATTAGCAAGATGATATCGATTCAGTACAAGTTATTTGCGTATATGCATTACTCAGGTAGAGCAGCTATCTGACCCAATAATCTAAGTGTGGTAGTAAGTGGTAACCTTCATACTACTTGGCATAACAAAAGTACTATTAAGATCCCTCATATAATCTTCAGAAGGGGCTTCCTGGATTTATATACACAATGGCCAATTCGGTTAGTCAGGATACTCAGTTTCAAGCAGCAGAAACTCAAACTAGCTTAAACGAATAGAAAATGTATTGGCTTATGTAACTAAGAAGTTGGGGATATAGCATTTTTCAGAAATGACTGGGACTTAAATGCAGTCATTAAGTCTAGGTCTGTCTCTCTCTCTTGGGATTTCTTTTCTTCTCTTTTTCTCCCTCCCTCTCTCACCTCTGCTTCTCTTTCTTTCTTTCTATAAACGTTTCTCTCAATTTGGTGGGGAAAGTGACCACTGTAACCCCAGTCCTAGAACATTCTGATACTAAAATTCCAGAAGAAAGAGTAACTTTATTTCTCCAAGAGCCCATATAATAATCTGAGAGAAGGACTCTTGGTTGACTGCTTGATCATGTACCCACTCCTTGGACCAATGATTATTTCTAAAAGGAAGGCTACAATGCCTGCCCATCCCTGTGGCCAGAGAGTACTTTGGCCAAGAGCTCCATTAACACTACTTGGAATGAGAAGGGACAATTTCCCCCCAGGAAAATGAGAGGAGTTATTGCTAGAAAAAGGGTGAAGACATCCCAGGATGGCAAAAACAGATGCCCACTATATTCCACCCCTTGCTCTCCCAGCATGCACATTTAATCTTTACCCAATACAGATAATTTCAAAGGTGCCCTCACCTGAGGATTTGATCACCTTCTCCCTAAAGAGACACAACCCAAAATCACATCCCAGTTTGGCATATCTGGATCATGTACCTTGCCCTGACTACATCCAGATAGTTTCTCACAACAGTAGAACCTAGGGCTCAATGACAAAGTTAACTACCCTCAACATACCCAGTATAAAATAGCAGAGGAAGACAGAATAACAATGGAGACTGCCATTTGGTGAGTAGAGAAGAGGAAAGAATATAAATACCACATGCCGTATCCTGCTGGACGTGTGTCATAAGAATGCATGCCCCTAGGGCTGCAACGGGAGCCAATTCCATCCCTAGTCCTGCTTACAAGGAGGCTCTCCCTTGGCCATTTAACTCTAAGGCTGCCCTTGAGATGTGTATAGAGGGATATGCTAGGGTCTCTTTAGTAGCCTAATACTGAAGGCATGGTTATGGAGGCCTGGGAATTGCCCTAGGGGTTGAGCAATCCCAGGTCACTTTCTAGACATGAGATTTCTCAGATAGCATAACCTTTTAAAACCCCAGTAAGTTGTTAATTGAATCAATTCTAGGAAAACTCTATTAGCTTGGAACCAATGCCAGCAATCTTGGCCAGTCACAATTTGTAAATCTGAATCCTGTCTTTCAAGTTTCTGTCTCTTAGCAACGAATCTTGGTTCTCTGCCCATGCTCCTAGCTCTCTGTTTTATGTGTCAGTCTTGGTCACTGCTTTAGGACTATATGAAACAATAAATTGGAGTGGTGAGGCAGAGCTAATCTGTCCTTGGCTGGCCAGGCTGTATCCCATTGGATGAGGTCTTTGTATAGGGGTAATTATGACCTTTATTTAGCAGGAGTGACACAGCGCAGGAAGTATTTGGGAGGAGTTTCTGTATTCTCTGACCTTTCTCTGGTTTCAATATAATCTCCTGTCTTTCTCTGCATTGAATTAAAAATTAGACAGATATTTTGACATTTGCAATTCCACAAATACATGATTCTCTTGCCCTTAGTGGTCTTGGCTTTCTGGCAATCAACAGATGTCTGCTATTCTTTCTCTGCTTTTAACCCACCAACCTGTCCCTTTTTTCAGAGCAATAGTGAATACTGCGAAAAGAGGCAACACTCTTTATTATTCTGATATTTTTCTAGCAAATCCTCTGAAACTCCAGACTTGGTAGGCTCATAGTCTGAGTCCTAAAATCCCAGAGGTGATAATGAGTTAGCTACTGAGCTAGGGCATGGTAAATATTTGATCTTCCCAGCCTGGGATGGTGGATGACTCTCAGTTTTCTACTTCGTCTCAACACAGGTAGTTCCACAGTGTAAGGTCTGTCACTGGCAATGCCAGTTTCTGTGTTGGCCAAACTACTTTTGTTTGCAAGTGACAGAAATCTAACATAGTTTAAACAAAAAAGAGAATTTACTAGCTCACATAATGTGGGTAGATGAAATCTGCAGTAAAATGAGGTTCTCAGGTCTCCACCTCTCAGTTCTGCTTCTTTCTGAGTGTTGGTCTCTTCTGGCAGATGGTCTCCTGTTTGATGGAGAGAAACCCCTTGGCAACCCCAAGCCCACAGCGTCCAGGTGCAGACATCTGACAGAATGAGAAGTGTATTTGTAATAGCATTCAGTTACCAGTCCCAGGAAAGGTCTTTGGCTGGCCCTGATTGGTCATGTACCCAGCTTACAAACTCATCCCCATTTCCATGGCAGTGGATTACAATAAAGTGGCAGGGCTGAGTCATATAGCCTTCCCACGGCTGCATATTGTGTGAAAGGACAGGGATTATGACTGACAGCCCCTGCAGCCACATGGGATGGGGGGAAGTTCTCAAAAGGAGAGTGGAAAATAAGAAGCAAGGAGATACAAGGAAGATGAAAATGACACTGATTCCACTTCCATCAGGCTGAGACTCACTGTATTACTGAGAATCTGACGCTTAGGCTCCACAAAATATATCCACTCATTTAAAAAATCCACCAAAAGGAAAAATGACTGTGTTACTCGCAAAGATAACTGATGCAAATATTTACATGTGAAGTCTGCAGGAAGAAACACCTTAAGCCACAGGACCAGGCCATGAGAGCATATAGACAGTACTGTCACCACCATCTGTTACACATCTCAGGGGTGGCTTTGTCTGTGAGTGCTGTGTTAGCTAAACACAGGAACTACATGTCAATCCTTATATTTCCTGGGTCACTTCTGGAGTGATCTTGGAAATGTGATGTCCAAGACCTGATGTTTTGTGGTGTCTGAGATGCCACAGTTAATGAGGCAAAACATCTTTCAACAGTCTCTACCAGGTTAGTGGTTCTTTGAGCAGGATCATAGTGAGCAGAATATCACACCGGAGAAAGTGTAACCAGAAGGATGCATTTTCACACAGCATATTACTCTGTTTTCACATTGCTACAAAGAACTACAAGAGACCGGGTAGTTTATGAAGAAAAGAGGTTTAATTGACTCACAGTTCCACAGGCTTGACAGGAAGCATGACTGAGAGGCCTTAGGAAACTTACAATCAGGACTTCTGGCAAACGGGAAGCAAGCACCTTTTTCACATTGTGGCAGGAGAGAGACAGAGAAAGGGCAGAAGTTCCACACACTTTAAAACCATCAGATCTCATGAGTACTCACTCACTATCATGAGAAGAGCATGGGTGAAATCCGCCTCCATGATCCAATCACCTCCCACCAGGTCCCTCCCCCAACACTGGGAATTGCAATTCAACATGAGATTTGGGTGGGAACACACAGCCAAACCATATCATATAGCAAAGTGCATCCAATGATCATGGTGGGGCATGTGGTACTGCCAGATCCTATGAGGAGTTGGGAGGTGATAAGAGATATGTCAGGATGAATGATTCAGAACTAAGAACATAAATGACATGAGGCAAGAGACCTGCTTTTGTGTGGTTCCTGGAAACTCCTGGGGAAGGTAGGCTTGAAGCTGAAAGGAATAGAAGGCAAGACAATAGACTATATATTGAATTATTGTCTAAGTGCTCAGTTGTTTTACTTTAAGATTTTTTACACATATTTTATTGATTATGATTCTGAAATGAAGAAAAGCTATCTTGCATAATGATTCAGGGTATTTTATCTCAAGGCTATCATATTGCTTACTTTTATATAATTGATGTTCTAAACATCATAGAATTGTTTTTAAAGCACAGGGAGTTCTACAGAGCATTTAGTCCAGTGGTTCTCACACCTTTTTTTTTAATCAATAAAACTTTTTTCCCTTCAAATAAAATATTACAAGAAATTCCAATATATAAGATGGTGTCATTCATTCAACAAATATCTATGCTCCAGACACTAGGCTAAGCATTGAAAAGAGGGCAGGAATCAAACAAACTACACCAGAACTCCTCTCTCATCGAAGCTCGAATGGAGCCTGGAGGGTCCCAGGAGTCACCTGTCACCTCTTGCATGAGCCTGTGGGGTCCCCTGAGACCCTGGCATGAGTTCAAAGACTGGTCTAGGCTCACTCCCTTATTCAGCAGGAGGGCATTCTGAGATTAGAGAGTAAACGATTCATGCCATGTTTCACAACCTAACTATCAAAAATCTTAATTGCATCTGTTACTTTCTTCTGTTGCTTCAAACACAAAGAACAGCAGAAGTTGCCCACCTTCTGCTTTAAAATAGAACAAAAAATCTATTCCTCCTACATTTTCCTTTAAAATTATTTTGCTTCAAATAGAAGAACACAGTGCTTTTTCTCATTCTTGGTACTCTCTTGATACTATCCTTTGATTTCTTGAAGGAAATCTATGTGGGAGGATGAGGGTAAAGTTAAGTTGACAAAATTAAGAAAGCAAATAATGGTCTCCATGATGTAGCAAAAGCCTTAGGATGGAGGAGTAGGAGAAGGAGATCCAGAAATGTGATTTTAATAAAATTATTAGGAAAGAAATCCTGAAAGTTGAAGGTCAAGAGAAGGAGAAAAAGCCACTCACTGAGGATGCTCCTTGGATGACCGGAGTGTCAAGGATGGAAGAAGAGCACTATTAGTGACAGATAAGTTGTAGAGGACATGGGATGATGAAAAGAAATAAGTAGAAGAAAGAAAAGCCCATGGGGACACATTTTCTTCATGACATTTTCTTGTTTTGCACCTTTGTGATCAAAGAAGCACTTAGATACAACTGTTGATCAAACTGCAGGCTAATTTGTGACACTGAAATGGAATATAATGTCATTCGAAATACACTGAGAACCTACCCTGGGGCAGGTACTATGGTACACACTGAGGAGCTAAAGGACTAAGTTACAGCCCTGCCTCCCAGGAGCTCTCTAGCGGGAGAAAGAGAAAGACCCAAAAGCAAACAAATACTGCATTGATTTATTGATTTATTCATCCCACTGTGTGCTCAGTACCCGCTCGGAGCCAAGCATTGGGCTGGGGAAAAAGAAATACAGGCCAGCAACAACAGGAACGTTTCCTCAACTCTTGGCATATACAACACATGGAGAAGGCGGCCAATCAAATAATTGCACAAACAATAAAACTGCCTCTGCTACAGGACTATGAAGATGAGGCCCAGGGAACTATGAGAGCCTAAAATGGGAGATTTGATCTAGTTACAGAATTCAGGGAAGGCGCTCCCTGGCCAAGATCTGAAAGAAAACTAGAGATTAACAAGGCAAGAAGAGAACGAGCCTTTTAGGCAGAAGAAAGCTCTGTCAAGGTCAGAAGAGGTCTAGGGCAAGACTGGTGAGGTGGGGTGACACCTACGTAGGAACCAGAAGACCACATCAAGGTTTTGTCTTTATTTGAAGAGTATTGAGGAACCATAAATCCTTTATAAAAGTTCTATGTAAGAAACACTATGAGCATAGAAAATATGGAGTCGATTCTTCCCAAAGGTTGGGGAAGTCTGAAAATGCTACTGAGAGGAAGAGACATTTGGGCTGGCCCTGTCAGATAACTTCATATTTTTTCAGGTGGCAAAATTGGGTAAAGCCATTCCAGGCAATTCCAATGATGTGAGAAAATGAACTGGGAAAAGGGAACTTGGCCATGACCAGGAAACATGAGTAGGATGTATGATATTCTGGCTGGGTTGGCAAGTGCTGGTGAGGTCTTGGGGGTTGCTGAAGGAGAAGGAGTTAAAAATGGTGTCAGTAAACCAAACTTGGGTAGTTGAGGCATATGTCATAAATACAGAGGAGAGAAAGAGGAACAGGTATGAAGGGAAAGACAAAGCCAGTTGGCCAGAGAGACGATAAACTTGGAGACTTGGTTTTCTTTTAGTACCTGTCAAGAATTGCCTTCTCTTTCTCCCCTAGGTAGCCAGGTAGACAAAATTCCCTCTACCATCAGAATTGGAGTCTTGCACTCTGAGAGTCTGGTTCTGGCCCTTAGGCAATGGGTCCTCACAATGCCAAGTTCCCAGCAAGCTGCATTCTCACTTCTTCCCCTGTAACTATCCTCTCAGACCCTTTGCCTCCAACTCAATATTTGGTTGCCCAGATTCTTTGTTTAGGGTTCTCGAACCTATGCCATACAGACTCTGCCTTCTTACTTTCATTTCCAAGTTTCCCCTTCTGGGTTTTCAAGCCTCCAGCCTGACTTTCCAAGTCCCTTGACTGTCATTTCCTCACTGCCAAATCTGACTTCTTCAGGTTCTTTAGACTCTTGGGACCTATGAGTGCCGCATGGACACTTTTGTTGCTCTTTCCATTATTTCTCCAGCCAATTTCCCAATTTGGTTCTTCCTAGTCAACTTATTCCCTTTTGCCACCAAGAATCCTGCCATATGGTGGCATGCTCAAACCCACCATAATAAGATAAGAGCCACAGTAGGTTTTTATGACTTTCCAGGTGATACGGTTTTGCTGTGTCCCCACCCAAATCTACTCTTGAACTGTAGCTCCCACAATCCCCACGTGTTGTGAGAGGGACCTGGTGAGAAATAATTGAATCATGGGGGGCAGTTTCCCCCATACTGTTCTCATGGTAGTGAATAAGTCTCACATGATCTGACGGTTTTATAAAGGGTTTCCCTTTTTGCTTGGCTCTCATTCTCTCTTGACTGCCGCCACGTAAGATGTGCCTTTTGCCTTCCACCATGATTGTGAGGCCTCCCCAGCCACGTGGAACTGTGAGTCCATTAAACCTCTTTTTCTTTAAAAATTACCCAGTCTTGGGTATGTCTTTATTAGCAGCATGAAAATGACTAATACTCCAAGGATCCCATTACTACCCCATCCTGTACTGTATTAGCCCATTCACCTCTGCCTTTTGGACAGTCTGAGGGAATGCAGGCCCTGAAACATTTCAAACATAAACCACTGCCATGTGCCAATCTCCCCAGCATCCAGTTAATAATGAAATCAAACAAACAGAAAGCTGATGCTGGTCTACATTTCTCCACATCAGCTTCATGATTCTGGGAAATAACGTTAACCTGAATACTTTCTTTTTCAAGTAAAATGGGGCCTTGTCAGGGTTTCATGAAATAACGTAGGTAACATGCTTAGCTCAATGGCTAAGTGACACAGCAAGTGCTCATTGAGGGTTTGCTATTATTAAATACTTTGACAATGAAAAAATATATATATTTATGTTACTTTTATTTCATATTTTCCTGGGATTAAGCTATATGACAACTGGTGAATAAACCATACAAGAAATAAATGATTTAGATCAGGAGTTGGCAAACTTTTTCTATAAAGAGCTAGAGAGTAAGCTTTTAGGCTTTGCAGGCAATATCATCTGTGTCACAGCTACTCGATGCTGCCTTTGTACAGCAAAATTAGCCACAGGAAACAGTAAGCAAATGGGTATGGCTGTGTCTCAATAGACTTTATTTACAAAATCAAGCCACAGGCCAGTGGGCCACAGTTTGCTGAACTCCAATGTAGATAGTTACCTATGACTCTATTTTGACTAATTGATTAATTAATTTACTAAGTTGACAAATATTCATTCAGAGCCTACTATGTTAAGTGCTGAGAATACAATGGTAAAACAAATGAATGTAGTTCCTGCTTCACAGAGATGACACCTAAATGGAAGGGTTGGACATTAATCAAACAAATACCCATATAAATATAAAGTAACGAATGCAGTTAAGGCTATGAAGCAGACATATGGTGCTACGAGACGATTTAACGATGAAGTGTTTGTTCATATGTTGGTTAGAGAGGTTTCTCTACAGAAGTGTTACTTGAGCCAGGATCTGAAGAGTGAGAGAAAGTTCACCAAGTTGAAGAAGCTGTAGAAAGGTTCCCAAACAAAGCACATAACATATGCAAAGCATTATGAAGGGATGAAATAGGGAGGAGCCAAAGAATTGAGACAAGACTGGTGTGGCCAAAGCACATGTAACAGGGATACGCAGTTTAAGATTTGATGGAGGAAGCTGGCAGGGGCCTTGGTAAGGATTATGGTCTTTAGCCTAAGAGCACAGGGAAGACAATAACAAGTTTTAAAGTATGATCAGATTTGCATGTTGAAAAAATTATTCTTTCAGCTAAGGTGTTGAAAATCAAATGGAGAGGGATGTAGACAACATTGCAATGAAAGAAATCTCCAGTTGTGGCTAGATCACTCTTTAGAAAGAAGCAGGATGGGTGATTTGCTAATTTGCAAGTAGGAGTTGCTTTTCTACATCATGGGAAATCACTTAAACTCCTTGTGGCCTATAGAAAATGAAGAAAAAAATGCATAATTTTTATTTCATCAGTGCCAACCTTTTCATCTTCTCAGTGTTTCTCTTTCAGTGGCAAAATGCAGGTGAATTTGCATAAAAGTATATTCACACACAGTTCTGGTGACCTACTGACTCAACTTGTTTTTCAACTTGACTTATTTTCCACACGTGAAACATTTTGGCTCAGATAGAAGACAGGTTGTAATAAAACATCTCTCTTGTTGTTTGAATCAAAATACAATGAATCAAAACTATCTGCAAGTAAATTAAGTATTTTCAAAGTTTAAAAACCAATAATCCAAATGGTGAGTTGGTTACCTGTAAAATGAGATTAAAAAAATAAAAAAAGTAATTATCTTTTTTAGGTTTTGTAACTTGTCTATGTTTCTTCTGATGGCACCAAAAATATACAAGGTCTAGAACAAAGGTTCTTAACAATGAGTGGTTGTTGTCTCCCCGGGGGACATTTTTGGTTGGCACATCTCTTGGGGGAGGTGAAAGGAGCAGGGCTTCTACTGGCATCTAGTGTGGCAAGATCAGGGATGCCATTAACACCTTCCTATACATACAACCCACCTTCCCACTCCCACCAATAGAATTATCCAAACCAATATGCTAACAGGATTGAGAAACCCTGGTCTAGAATAATGATAGTCTACAAACTCTTCTTGTTCTGGGCGATTTTTCTCTTCCCTTGTTTCCTTCTTTCCTTCCTTCCTTCCTTCCTTTCTTCCTTCCTTCCTTTCTTTCTTTTGTTTTCTTTTTTTCTTTCTCTTTCTTTTTTCTTTCTTTCTTTTTCTCTTTCCTCATCTTCTTTCTCTTCTTTCTCTTTCGCATTTTCCATAATGTATAATCTAACCCCTGTGAATACCTCTCTTTATACACCTCAGGTACACCATAGCATTTAATCCTCTTCTTCCCATTATTAAATCTTACCTTTAGGAAAGCATATTAAACTTCAATCTACTAAAATGTTGATTGATAGGTTGATTGATTGATTGATTGATCTGAATAGCTCTTGGAGCTCCTGCTTTGTGCAGAGGTCTACCCAGTCAAGGACAAATCCTAGGACTATCTCTGAAAAGGATCTTAGAACCCAAATGCAGAAATCTCTTCTACCATATCTAGCCAGACAGCCTCTTCTGGAATATTCCCAATGTGTTTAGTTTCTGAACCTATTTCACTTGGAGGAAGTTCCAACTGTTAAAAAGTTCCTCTGTATTTTGAGCCAAGATCTGCAGCCCCTATTTTCTATTCAAGCTGCAGCCTTGCTGGTGACTAGTTTGTCTTTTCTGACCTACCTACTGTCCATAATCTGAAGTGAGACTTCTCAGCTTTTTCAGAAGTTATAGACTACCTCCTGGACACAAGTCACTTCCATTCTGGTATACATTAGAATTCAGAAATGATTGGCTCAGCTCTAATCACAGTGACTTGTGTCCTCAGTATATCAATCATTATCTCTCCCTGTGACTCACTCGTGTTTCTCACTGCATTCATTCCTATACCCCCTCAGCTCCACCAATCAACCTTTCAGACATATAAATTTAACCTTGTGAGTGTCCAATTTATTTTTTTAAAAAAACTTCAATGACTTCCCAAGATGTAGTTTAAAATCTGTATTGGCCCATGAGACTCTGCATAATGTCTCTGTGTGCCACACCTCCCACTTTTTCCATTTCTTCTTGTGACTTTCCTCCTTGCTCCCACTATGCTGGATTCTCTCCATCCCTTGAGCATGCAGTGCTCTGTTCTGACTCAGACACTCCTTTCAGGCTCTTCCCTCTGCGTGGAATGCTGCTACCTTTATCCAAACTCCTACTTATTCTTCAAGTTTCAACTTAGTTATAATTTCTCAAGGAAAGATTCCCTAACTCCCAGACTAAGTACATGAAAATCAGAACACTTGAAAATATTTATTTACGTATTATCTTTTATTTAATGTTAATGCTGGCTTTCTCCACTAGACTATAAAGCAAACCATGAGTAGATGGTCAAAGGAAGCTTGCATTTCAGGCTGTTGCAAGCACTTCTGAGCTTTCTTTTGTAACCACATATCATGGACCCAATGTTCTCTCTAAGAAAAGAGTGCACTTGGGCAGAATTTTCAAATAATTCTGGCATCCTCTATAGCACTGCACAATGAGCCACATTTATCAATTCCAATCCAAGATCATTCCACCTCTACCATTAGCCTTGCTGACTGTAGTAGACATATTTTGTGCCCCATCTCGTGTTCTTCTGTATCACTCTTTCTAGGCACTGTGACAGAAACCAGTTAGTTTGGGGTTAAACCAGGTTTCCTGACCTTATCTTGTCATATATCTCTAGCTTTCAGCCCTGGGACTTTTATGATGTATCATGGAACACCTGAAGGAAACTTCCTGGACTGACGAATGGGCAGGTTTGAAGTGCAAGCAATTTAGCACCCACAGGGCAACTCTTGGTCAATGACTGATAAAACTAGTGTTCTCCCACCAGCCCTGCTGTCTTGGACAGACTACTCTGGAATACCTTCTATGTTTTCTTCAGAAGGTCCTGGCTGAGCTCTAGCTGCCTACGCTGATGATCAGGCCAATAATGTGTCCTTGAATTGGCTTTCCCTCCTTTCTTCTTTTCTAAATCCATCATTCATGTTCTCAGAGACCACTTCCAAAATAAACTACCTACATATAAACCCTTGCTCTGGGCTCTCATTGTATAGGGAACCCTATACAATGAGACTAAGACTGATTGTAAGTCTAAGACTGTGATATTGGATATTACAGGAATCTTCAGAAGCAGCTATTTAATCACACAGCAAGTGAATTCCACTTAGATCGAGAAGTCCTGAATCCGCCTGTGGTAGGCTAAATGATACCCTCCCTCACCCCAAACCTACCCACATCCTAATCTCTGGAAACTGTTATGTTATCTTGACATGGTAAAATGGACTTTGCAGATGTGACTAAGATGAGGATCTTGAGGTAGGAGGATGATCTTGGATTATCCAAGTAGTCCCTAAATGTAATCACAAGTCCTTATAAAAAGATGAGCCATAGGGTCAGGGTCAGAGAGAAGACCATGTGAACATGGAAGCAGAGGCTGGCGTGATACACTCTGAAGATGGAAAAAGGGGCCACAAGCCAAAGAATTCTGGCCACCACCAGAAACTGGAAAAGGCAAGAAAATTGATTCTCCCCGGAAGTCTATAAAAGAAACATTAGCCTGATGAAACTGACTTTGTGTACTTCTGTCCTCCAGAACTCTAATAAATTTGTGTTCTTTTTAAAGCACTAAATTTGTGTTATTTTTAACAGTAGTAATAGGAAATTAATATACCACTTCTTTCTTGGATGAGTCTTAGCTGTATGTTCACGTTACAAGGGCCAGCCTTCCACACTCAATCTAGCTCACACTCAAGAGACACCAGCTGTAGTACAACTGGCTCCTTGCCTGCAAGGAAAAATCAAACATGTCATAAGAGACACAACTGAATGCCTCTGTTAATAAAAATAATATTAAATGCTAATATTTATTTATTTAAAGATGGGGTCTCACTATGTTGCCCAAACTGGAGTGCAGTGGCTATTCACAGGTGTGATCATAGCGCACTACAGCCTCAAACTCCTGGGCCCGAGTGACCCTCCCACCCTTGCCTCACGAGTAGTTGGGACTATGGGCATGTGTCACTACCCTCAGCTGTTAAGCCAAGTTCTTACTATGGGTCAATTTCTGTGCTAATCATGTCTTCTCCATTCTTCCCTAATCTTCACAACTACCCTAAGGTTGATACTTCTACTATCCACCATGGTGGATATCTTTCTTATGACCCTCTAGATTCACTCTCCTCCCTGCCTTGCCCTGCTGTCTGCCATGGGAAGTGGGTCTCTATAGAGTGCCTCAACTGGCTCCCTTGATCTCTGGCTTCCAGTTGGGTTTGGCCAGTGGAGGCAACAACAGGAGATGTGGAGGGTGGGAGCAGGGTGAGATCTCCTGCTCTCTCCCTTTCAGGCTATCACAGATTGACCACATTCCTCTTCTGAGGTTGCAGAGCATGTCAGGTAACTGCTACATAGAGCTTACTGGCAGGATCCTTGCTCCTGCTATCCCTGAGAATTTTCTGGAATCCTACCCACATTTCTGGAAATAGTCTCTAATTAAACTCTCTTTTAAAGACCTAGTTTGCATGTGCCGTCTGATTTCTCCAAGACTCTGCTTGATGTTCTGCACTTCACAGCTAAGGAGGCTGAGGCTCAGAATGGCTAACTCACACATTTCATCTAAGTATAAAATAACCGAAGAATGATAAGAATAACAGATTTCATCTGCTTTTGCTGTGGTAGGGAGAATTGCTGATGTTCTCCCCAAATCTGAAAAAGAAAATCAAATTTATTGTCACTAATCATGGGTCTATCATTCACATGTGCATTTAATTTGCCTGCATTTTTATCAGGGCTCTCTCCTTTAAAGGTTGTGTTCTTATTTTGTATGTGCACTGTCTGGTATTTTTTAATAATGTATGCAAATTTTGTGAAAATATATCATTTCCTATCTTGTTTTGATCATCTTGACACCACATTTTCCTGTTATACAAACATTTTAGAGTGTGGTTTGTCCTCAAAGACCATGCCAATTGAGAGGAAATGTTTCTGTGAACTGTCTGAGTTATATGTTGCCATTTTTTATGAAGTCTGCAATTCTAACAGCTGTGTCCCAAATTAAGAAGAAGATATGCATTTCTCCAGAGAAAAACCAATCCATCAAGACTTGATCTTGCACATACTATAAAAATTTAATAATTCAACCCTACTGGGGGCCTGGCCAGGCTGAAACATGTTGTATAAAGAAATGAAGTTTGATGGCTTTGAAATACAAACAAGAACTTCTTCTAGGTAAATATAATGTGGCCAAACATAGTTCTTAGGAAATCTGCTTGAGTGAAGAGCTAAGAAAGATTTATAATTGGTGTATCAATTATGTCTATGGGAGTGGATGTTTTTATGATGCTTGAGGGCACTTAAAAAGTTTGTTCTCATAAGTAATTTAAACATTCCTCTTGAAATACTGTTTGCACTATTAATTTATTTAGCAAATTAATCATGGAATCATAACATTTTAGAGCAGAAAGAGACCTCAGAGAAAATCCAGTGCCAGTCTCTTTTTGCAAACACTTTCTTGGATCACTCTTAGCTCCATGCTTACAGCACAAGGACCAGCACTCCACATACCTTCTCAATCCAGCTCAAACTTCCAAGACATTAACATAATAGGCTATTTATTCTCAGATTTAAGTCTCTGGCCCAAATTCTCCAGAGCACCTAACTGCCTTCTGAAGTTCCACTGACACTTCAAACTCAATAGATACAAAACAGAGCTATTAGTCCCCTGAAATGTGCTTCCTACCTATGTTTTTCTTTCTATGAATAGCAGCATCATTCACATAGGTGCCCAAGCCAGAAATATAGGTTGCTAGGTCAGTCTATCAGTGATTTCCCAGTGCTCCTGGAACAAAATCCAAACTTCTTAACATAACATATAAGGGAGGCCCATTGAGATCTGATCACTGCCTATTGCAACAGCTTCCTCTCTTGTAGCTTCTCTCTGTCAGTCCTCACACCAATTCCAGGTACACTGTCCTTTCCATAGTCTTCAGAAGAACACTGGCTCATATCCCAACAGTCAGCTCAAACGTTACCTTCCTTTTCAAGCTTTTCCTCCCTGATATCTCCCTCTCTGGAAGATTCACTCATTCCCTGTGCACCTCCATCTATGACATTTAGGTACACATATTTGTTCTTCAGGTCAGGCACCATGTCTAGTGTGTCTTGATGTCCACTGGATTTAGTTGTTCAAAAGAGCTTATGATAAAACTGACACTAAATGAATGAATAAATGGATGCCTGAATGAATTGGGTATAATTGAAGCTTTTTAACACCCTGAGGTTGCCACTATAGGTCTCACTGAGTAAGGCTTTTTTGTTCCTAGAAATACTAACTGTCAGTAGCTTGAAATTCACTAGGGGTTGTGGCTGGGCAAGCACAGAGTAGGGAGAGGAGAGGCAAGGTATGATAACTAAATCAATTTGCTGCAGAGAAAGCGTTTTGAAGGTTAAAAAAAAGTAATGAGAAAAAAGTCTAGAAAGATACTTGGTACCAGATTATGATGAAACTTGAATGCCAGGGCTAAGTGGATGTTGAAGATTCATTCTAGGCTTATAAGCAGAAAAATAACAGGATTCTATTATTAGTTCATAAATAGCAAGAACAATAGCATAACGAAAATTATATTCCAGGAATTTTAACATAATCTTGTTGTACATGAATTAAAGACCAGAGTCAAGAAGAGTAGATAGGGGTTAATGGACCAATCTAAGCCCTAAGGTAAGATTCTGAATGAGATTATTGTCACTGGGAATAGAAAGAAAAAGAAAGATCCAAGTCAAATGAAGAATCAATAGTGTCAGGGAAATTCAAGTTGTCTCAATTAAGATCAACTATGCTGAATAACCAGCTTTAAAAATGGGAGAAGTTCAAAACTATTCCCTCCCTGATGCCTCTTTATGCAAGACACTTTCCTGAAAGTGAAATGGCTCTTTGCCTCTGTTTACACAACCTCTCTGTGGTTTCTTTTCTTTGGCTACTGAGTTCTAGAGACTGACATCTTTGTGTGTTACTAATCACAGCCCTGTGAGTAAGGAGTAGGGGAAAGATGAAGATAGGGAAAAAAAATAACAAAGATCCCTCATCTACTGTCTTTAATCTATTAAGGCTAGACACGTGGGAAGAAACACACCAAATGACAAAAGATGCCAAGAAATCACAGGTTCAAAAGAGGGGATTTCACAGAATCAACAGCCCAGTGAAGGATGGGGCTGGTGTGATAAAATAGGAGAAAGTATTTGTCTCTGTTCATTTTGTCTACTTAGAGCTGGGATGGAGTCGTGCCTGACCCTTGTGCCCATACTGTCCAGCGAAACATCCAGAGATCTATACAATCTCCAAAGGTTCTGCAAGTCAGTCATACCAGTCTTTGCTTTCCTTCTTTCAAATTACCTTCGACACCTCAAATGACCACATCTACTGATATCAGAGTTCTGGCAGCAGTAATAAATAAGCATTGTTATGGCAGTCAGCCCTGACACCGGTCATTCTATGTATACATGTTTATTTCATATTCCGTCCTCTGAGTATTTAAATATGTCATATGGTTTTACCTGACTTTTCTGAACTCCCATGTAAAAATTTATGAAAGCAGGTCTCTCTCTCCTAAAGAGAGTTACTATGTGGTTTCTGGATTAGAAATACAAATGTAAGAAAATTCTAAATCTAAACTGGAAAAGCAAACATCTTAACTGTCATGTTTCCCAGATCAAGTCTTTTGTAGATTTATTCCATGAAGTGGCAGGATAAGTGATCCACAATAGAATCAGCCAAAGCTTTTGGATTTTACTAAGGAGGAAGGAGGAGGCTCTCCAAATGATTAACTTTGTCTAATTGAATTGAGAATTTCTGAATGATTAAGAAACTGGAACTTGACTAAATCAGAAACCGTGTGGTCTATAACAGAAAACCTTCTAAAGGAAAAAAACATAAATTCTCAGATGAAGCAAACAGATGATTTCTGTAACTTCACAACTAGGATGAGAATGCCTGTTTGTCCTCAGACTGGATAAAGTCCCTGAACCAAGGCCACTTCAGACAAGGAGGTCAAATGTGTTTTCAGTCATTTCTTGGAAAGGGAAAAATTATCTATTGAAATTGAGTTATCTGAATTATTTTAATAATGTCTCCATTTCAGTCAGGTGAATGAATGTGAGGGGAGTGAGTTTTGAATTACCAGCTTTGCTAGTAGAAATGGTTTTTCACTTGTCATATTTTTCTAATGAAAAGGAAAAGAACACATCTCACTAGAGAAAGTGGCACTAACATTTTACTGAGTCTACCATGGGCAAGACACTGTAGGAAAGGTCTTTTTATATACATTCGCACTATTAGAAGTAGTAACAATAATGATGAAATCTACTGGCATAGCTACCATGGACTGAGAACTTCGTATGTGCCAGTTAAGGGTTAAGTGTTTCAAACAGATCACTCCATTTTCAAAATTCTCGAGGTTCCTTCACGCTATAGCATGTGTCAGCACCTCAATCTTTTTTTTATTACCTTAACTTTAGATAAAACGAATTCAAACTTGTAAAAGAAAGCCGCTGTGGCCATTGACTACCCTCTCCCATTGTAGCCTTGATACCTCTTGTAACTACAGTCATGCACCATTTAATGATGTTTTGGGCAAAGACGGCATATATGACGGTGGTAACATAAGATTATAAAGGAGCTGAAAGCTTTCTGTCACCTAGTGACATCATAATCATTGTCACATCATAGTGCAATGCATTACTTACGTATTTGTGGTGATGCTGGTGTAAACAAAACTATACAGTCAGTTGTATAAATGCCTAGCACATACAATTATGTACAGTACATAAATACTTGATTATGGTAATAAATGTTACTGGTTTATGTATTTACTATAATTTTTATCATTATTTTAGAGTGTACTCCTACTTATTCGTTTCTAAGTGAACAATAAGAGAGCCTCAGGCAGATCCTTCAAGAGATGTTGCAGATGAAGGCAATTGTTATCAGAGGAGATGACAGCTCCATGAGTGTTATTGCCCCTGAAGACCTTCCGGTGGGACAAGATGTGGAGGTGGAAAACATTGATATTGATTCGATGATCTCTAACCCTGTGTTGGCCTAGTCTAATGTGTGTTTCTGTCTTAGTTTTTCACCAAAATAGTTTAAAAAGTAAAAATTAATAAATAAATAAAAATGTTAATCATAGGAAAAAGTGTATGGAATAAGAATATAAAGAAAGAAAATATTCTTATACAGCTGTACCATGTGTTTCTGTTTTAAGCTAAGTGTTATTACAAGTTTTTTTTAATTTAAAGTTTTCTTTTTTTTATTATACTTTAAGTTTTAGGGTGCATGTGCACAACATGCAGGTTAGTTACATATGTAAACATGTGCCATGTTGGTGTGCTGCACCCAGTAACTCGTCATTTAACATTAGGTATATCTCCAAATGCTATCCCTCCCCCTTCCCCCAACCCCACAACAGGCCCTGGTGTGTGATTTTCAAAGTAAAAAAGTTATGGTAAGCTAAGGTTAATTTATTATAGAAGAAAGAAAAAATTCATAATGTAGTGTAGCCTAAGTGTACAGTGTTTATAAAGTCTACAGTAGTATACAGTAATGTCATAGGCCCTCACCTTCACTCACCACTCACTCACTCACTCACTTACCCAGATCAGCTTTCATTCCTGCAAGCTCCATTGATGGTAAGCACCCGTATATAGGTGTACCATTTTTTTAATCTTTTATGCCATGTTTTTACTGACCTTTTCGATGTTTAGATATGAAAAAACATTGCATTACAGTTACCTACAGTACTCAGTACACTAATAGCCTGTATAGGTTTATAACCTAGGAGCAATAGGCTACACCACATAGCTCAGGTGTGTAGTGGGCTACACCATCTAGATTTGTGTAAATACACTCTATGATTTTCACACAACAACGAGATTGCCTAACAACACATTTCTCAGAATGTATCCCCATCATTAAGTGGCACAGGACTGTAATGATTTCTGTACAATCTCTTCAGCCCCCATAGGAAGACAACCAATATTGTATATTTTTTAAGAGACACACAGCATTGTGCATCTTCCATTACCTTCTTTTTTGAGTTCTTGGGTCAGTTGGCTTGGGAATAGATGACCCATTTTTAAATCAAAGGCAAAAAGACCCAAAGATCCCAGGCCTGTCCCAGCTTACATGGGAGGACAGGCCAGATGAGAAGAAATGAGTTTGTTGAAAGTCTGCTGGTCTTTGCGTGTTTATCACCACATTGCTTATCTGTTTTACTGCTCCAAGAATGCAGTAATTCCAGTTCATAGGAGTTTGGGCTTCCCATGATTTCCCTCTTTTGATCCTTTCATTTCCATTATCTGATTTTGATGGTAGAAAAATTTAGGTTGAACGACCATATTGCGATTGGGCTCACCATTTCTACCTAACATTTGGATTTTTTCCCATTCCTCCATTATGATCAGAGAGAGACTCACAGTGTTGGAAGCAACCTCAGTCAAGATCTTTTTAAGAGGCCTGCCAAGGTCACATAGCCAGTTAATAACAAAGCTGCAGTTAGAGCCCAAGGGAGCAGGGTATTCTTCTTGGTGAACAGAAAGTAACATGTATGCACTTGAAAGTCAAAGTATCTAGCTGTGAATCTCCACTCTGCCACTTCCTAGCTGTGGGATCTTGCATAAGCTATTTAACCTCCCCAAGCCATTTTCCTGTAGGGGTGTGAACTTTAATGAGATAAGGTGTCTAAAGTGCCAAACACTGCTTTTGCACATAGTCTAAATGCTCATTCAGTGTTCATTGCCATCCTTCCCACGTCAGGGCTCTTTGGCCTTGTACTTCAAGAGGTCCTTCTGCGGTGGTGACCAGAACTCAGAGTTCCTCATTGCCTCCTCCACTTCCAGAGCAGGAAACTGATGGGCACTTGGCTTCCTAGGATTGTGTCCTTTGGTGAATTGTAACCTGGGTGTCCGTTGTCAAATGCCAGAGCAGACCAGGGCACTGTGCCTTTCAAGGACACAAGCCTTCCTCCAGTCCAGGAGATGCTTCATGTGAGCCCTGAGGCCAGTAGTCATCTCAACCACTGTTATCCTTTTCCCACCCTGAGAAGTTCTGGGAATACATCCCACCCTGGGAAGTATTTTGAATAGAAAGCAAGTTTATCTCATTCACACTTTATGGTTCCCAAGGGCAAGAATGAACCCAGAATGTAGTCTGAACTGCCTCTTAGGCCCTAGACGCATTACATTATTGTATGCAACCCACTCCTTGTAATTGAATCATATTATTTATTGTTACAGTTTTCCCATTACAAAATATTGTCTTAATTTAAACTAACATGCTTACTCCTTAAAATCTAGCTGGAAACTTTCCATGCTACCCAAATAACCTAGCTAAACAAACATATAAGTTCTATCTTGGGTAACTCTTGTTCTAAACTTCCTCCATTTTCATAGGTTATCGACCCAGGGTATTTTACATTTTGCTACATTGCCAGATATGGGTCTAACTGATTCCAAAACAGATTTTCCTCATCTCACAATCTTTTACCTCTCACTGACAGGACTCCTGCTCTGCTGCTGACTCCCTCTAAATCTCCTCAAGGCTGTTCCACAGCTAACCTCAAAACTATCCTCCTTCTCAACATCTTTGCTTCAGTCACTTGGAGAGGGAAAACACCAAGATACATCTCTTGACAATTAATTATTCCATTTTGGGGGTGCCTACTAAGTGTAAAAACTAAACTAGACTTAATCTATAGGTGGCCTAATGCAAATTACTTAACACTTCTAAGCTTTCGTTTCCCCATCTGAAGAATGGAGATAGTCATCGTACCCATGACATAGGGCGGTTTTAGATATTAAGAGAGATAATGAATATCAAGGGCTTGGCAATGTCTAACACACATGAGTGATCAACCAATGTGAGCTGTTGTTCTTGTCATGGTGGTCATTAGACAACGAGCAATACAAAGATACCTCAGACATATTCCTACCACCCCAAGGAGCTTGCAAGATACTTGGGGTGATGAGACATAAGCATGTGATAAGATAATAACATGAGAAGTAGCCTAATAAATATGTGATGATATTATTTGTCAGCTGAGTGAAAGACAGATTACTGTAGGCAAAAATATAACCTGGGAAGACTTCAGGGGGAGGTTGGTGGAGAAATAACAAGCTGGACCTTGACTGATGAATTGCACTTAGATAGTGAGGAGAGCTTTCCAGACAGGGGAGATAGCAATAAGCAACACACAGAGATGGCAATGTGCAAGTGTCTAAAAGATCACCAGTGACAGGTTAACTGGAGAATTCACGTCAATGCAGGTTGGAGCCAGATTGTGACTGGCATTGAGTATAAATGTACACCGTAGACATTTGAGGGTTTAAGCCACAAAGCAGTGGAAGCTAAATATGGTAGTAGTATATGAAGTGGGCTTAAGAGAGGGAGATTACGACAGAAAGCAAACATATTGTTGCAGTAGTCTCAATTTAAGGTGAAGTGCAGAGATCTGGGTGACTGTCTAGAGGTGGAAAAGGAAGCCGTATCTAAAAGACACTTAGAGGGAAAAAGTATGTCCTGATTAAGGAAGCAAGACCAAGGGGGAGTGAGGGTGTTATGCAAGAAGAAGGCGGGTACAGAATACCCCAAGGTTTTAATAACAGGAAGCAGAGAGAACGGGCTATATAGTATCATTAATAAAATAGGAAAATCTTTCATTCAGTCATTTGCTCAATAACATTAACTCTGCACTTTTACCCCCAGATCCTACGTGGTGTATTGGAATCCAGAGATGAACACAGCAGTCCCTGCCTTCCAGGAAATAACAATCTAGTCAGAAGGAGAAACTATCTTGGGGAAGAAAGATGAGTATTTACTCATAAGTTAATAGATCCAAAAAAAACTTAAATGTCACCTAGAGTACTACTCACCCTACCCCACCTGAAACAAACTTTAAAGATGAGAAAATGAAGTCCAAAGACAGTAAGTGGTTACCAAAATTCACACCTCCAGTTATTGTCAGTCCAGAAGGTGAGCCCAGAATTCTTGATGTCATAGCATACCACCATCTATGTTTGACACTTGATCATGTATTGTCTGTGACATCATTCATAGAGTATCAAATAAAGGAATGGAAGTCTATGGCAAACTGCAAACCATAGAAGGTAAACTGTGGCTAACTCACTTCTCACGCGCTGGTGGTCTTTTTATCGCCTCGCAAGATTCTAAGTTATATCCAAGGCCCATGCATCCAATGTCTGTGGGAATGAGGATGTCATCCACCATCCAGATGAAAGCCTGCCTCTCCTCTCTCCCCTATTGCCTGTACCCAAAGATTCTTAAAGTCTTGTCACTCTATCTCTTTGATATTGTTCAAACTGATCACTTCATTTATACCACTGCCACTAGTACCTTAGTCCAGGCCCTCATTCCAGTTGTTGCCTAATTTTTGGCCTGCTCCACTTCAATCTATCATTTTCACTCTGCCATCAAAGGGCCAAATGTCATTCCTCTACTTCATTGACTACAATGTTTGTTCATTGACTACAGGATAGGGTCCAATCTCCTTAGTATGATCAGAAGTTCTTTTTCTTCCAGAAGAACTTTCTTGCCATTCATTTCCAAGTACCCTATGGCCTCCATAAAAAACTACCCACCATTATCAGAACACCTCAAATTCTTTAATTTCATATGCCTTTGCATATACTGTGTATTTTGCCTTTTTTTCTCTTCTTACTACTTGAACTTCTACTCATCCTTCAATGCCCATCTCAAAATCATCTTCCTTAAATATAGATTTCTGTTTATTGTATTTATTCATAACACACACCATGACAAAAAATAAATGCAGATAATGTCACATACAGAGATACGCACTATTTAGCAAAGTTAAATATATTCAAGTTGGCAAATTATGGGAAAATAAGATGAAGACAGGAGTGATGTTAGGCTGCAAAGTGTTTATCTTACAATCTTATGTATTTGCTGGCCTTTCACAGTTCTTCACTTAAGCCTCTGCAACCTTTGTATGTTTATGTGTTTTACTCTTCCCCTAGACCGTGAGTCCATGAGGAAAAGAAACTCATCTTCATGATCTCTGTATCACCAGTTTCTCCAATAATATGTGGCACTTATTAAGCACTCAATACATAGTCACTGGATAAAAGAATAAATGAATGGATAAATGTATATCATACTCATCTTTATACCCCATATACTAAATAATTTATATATAATGTGTGAAGTGATGAAAGGAAATTCTGAGAAATATTCAAGTACCTAGAGATATGGTCATCCCCTTTGGGAATAATAGATTAATCTTTGGGAATACATTAAATATCAAGAAAGAAAATTTAGAATGAAAAGAAATGGGAAAAAGAAGCCAATGAAAAAGAAAAAAGGGAGTGGTCAAATAGGAAGAAGCAGTAGGGAGACAGAAAAGACAGGAAGCGTGATGGGTCCATAGCTGTGAATGCTCAGGAGAGGCAAGCCCATCTTGAGTCTAATGTGTATTCTCCATGCCAGGCATAGAGTAGGCGCTAAATAAACATTGTCATGTCAGAAGTTGGAGAGAGAAACTTTAAGGTCCAAAGTCAGGAGCACAGAAAGTTGAGTGACTTCTTTGTCCTCAGATTCAGTCTGGGCCTCCGTATGAACACGCTGTCACACAATTTGCTATATTTACATTTCCATCAGCTTTAACTCATTTTTGGCTACCTGTTCCTCTAGACTCTAGAGCTCTCAGAAGCAACCCCTTTGTTGACATTTATTCTCCCTGGTTGTTCACTTTTGGGTGAATAGGCATTCTTTTCAGATCCCATTTGATTTCTGCATCCGCCTAGGCATTCCTGACTTACTCTTACCTTAGGTGTAACCCATGGATCACCCATCCTGGGGTAGTCCCACCTTACTCTTCAAATGTATATACACCACCCCTGGCAGTTACACAGCTCGGAAACTCTCATCTCCTTCCTTGTTCCAAACCCTAATGCGTCTTGGCCCTAACAGACTTTGAGATTGAAATACACGTTGTCTCTTGAACTAAGTATATTGTATTTACTCAAAAAGAAGACTAGGTTGCATTGGGTATTTTTCTCTCTTTTGTTTTTTTTTTTTGAGACGGGGTCTCACTCTGTCACCCAGGCTGGAGTGTGGTGGCGTGATCTTGGCTCACTGTAGCCTCTGCCTCCCGGGTTCAAGCTATTCTCTCGCCCCAGCCTCCTAAGTAGCTGGGATTACAGGCACGAGCCACTATGCCTGGCTACTTTTTTGCGTTTTTAGTAGAGATGGGGTTTCACCATATTGGCCAGGCTAGCCTCAAACTCCTGACTTCAGGTGATCCACCCGCCTCGGCCTCCCATAGTGCTTGGGATTACAGGTGTGAGCCACCGCGCCCGGCCACTCTCTGCCATGTTTTGTGAGAAATTTCATCCAAATGTTTCTGATGTTTAAATTGCCACTTAAGCCCAGGAAGCAATTTGACTGCCATCTATGACTTTTTTTAAGTTTTTTCATTTGAAATAACATAAGAGAAGCTTATGTTACATATGTTCTTGTTCTAGAAATCTAAGAATTGGGAGCCTACTAATTCAGCATGTTCCCCATGTAGAATTGCCACAAATAAAAACGCTTGTTTACGTTTATAAAGTCGTTCCTTCCTATCCATTCTCACAGGGGCAATCCCCTTTACCCCATCTAACTTTCAAAGGAAAAAAAAAACCATGAAAGTCACAATATAAAAATACAAAAAATGGAAAAACAGGAACTCCCAAACTGAAGTAAAATCTAAACAGACTATTTCCTCCTAAGCAAGTTGTCAAAGGGTAGAAGATAAAGATAGAAAACATCTTGTGATATGGGTGATTTCCACAGTGACTTTTGAAAAATCTAGGCGTTTCCCAGAAATCAGAGAAGGAAGTTGTGAAATGGTTAAATATGGGGCTCTCAGAAGTAAAACATCATACTCAATTTTTTTTAAAAGATACAAATTCATCTTGCAGGCATAATCCATGGTACTTTCGTAAACAGAGGATTGTCCTCATACCCACCTGGGCAGAATAAAGAGCTGAAGGGCATGGCTTTCTCAGTGAACTAAAACAACACACACTCGTATAACCCTCGAAGTTATCACCCAGTAAAGATTTTAAGGAAATGTTGAAATGTAAATCCTGAGGATTGAGCTAAAGATTTTAAAATGATCGAATAGTAAAACTTCAGAGATAGAAGAGACTTCAGCAACTATTTTTTTAATGAAGTGATGGGGTTCAGGCCACACTATCCCAAAATTTGGCACTTTGGCATTTGAGAAAACAGCAGAAGTGGAAAGGCCACTCTGAATTTCTCCCACTTTTCTCCCCTGAAGTAGGTCATAAGATCCTCATTCAACAGGTACCTCCCCATACCTACAGAGGAAAAAAACATCCATATCTCTGAAGACACAGGACGCAGAGAAGAATCTGAACAAACAGTCCTTGCTAAGTTCCCTAGTTTTTTACCACTAGATCGGACTCCCTAGTCTGGTGTGATTTGCTAAGTTCCCCAGTTTATTACCACTAGATCAGGCCAATCACACTTCCCCAATGACTGTCCACTGTTCATCAAACTTAAGCATAAAAATGCGCAACTTTCTTCCTTTCTTCAGGTCTTCGTTTCTGGAGACTCTCATGTCTTGTAAAATTTATAATAAATAAATCTGCACTCTTTTTTCTTGTTACTCTTTCTTTTGTTATGGAGGCCTCAGCAATGAGCCCACGGATGAGTGAGAGAAGAAATCCTTCTCTTCTGCAGAGGAAACTGAGACCTCGGGTATATTTGACTGGCAGTGAAATGACTGAGTGTGAGGATACATACACAGACATAAAGTGACATGCTTTTAGAAGTAAGAAAAAGTATGTGCAAGGGTTCAAATGAATGGGATTGGCCATAAGTGGGATGAGATGAAGTGGCCTGACCTGTAACACCCCCAGGCTTCAGTCCAGGATCACTTATAGCACATGTCTCACTCTCCCTCCCCAAAAACATAGAGGCTGTGGGATTTGAAGGGGGTAATATATAGAAACTGGAAAGCTCACACCTAGTAATAACTGTGGGAAAATGAAGAGATGCGAAGTGCAAAAGCTGAAAAGCTCATAATTATGAGAATAGAAATTGTACTAATTTTAGCAAATTTTTAGTGAAAATTGTATAACTGCATTGTAAGCTTTCTTTAAAGCATATAATTTAAAAACGTGTCCTAACCCTTTTTTCTAAAGAAGGTGTCATTTTAAAATTCAGGTTTGTCTTTTTTTAAAAGATGTTTTTAAAAGATGTATGTGTTAATTTGATCCGCTGAAACACTAAGTGCCACTTCTTTATAAGAACAAGTTATACTATGGAAAAAAGTGCTTAGCAAGAGCTTCTGTTTTGTTCTTTGTGGGGGTGGCAGATTTCTAGATGATAACATCAGAACTCAGTCTTTTTATCGCTTCTCAGCATTGTGCTCTACCTTCACTATGCCTCTAAGGAAAAATGGTTTCTAAATGGCCCCTATAGCCAGCTGGGCCTCAAAGCACTTTTTTTCTTTCTTTTTTTTAATTTTATTTTTCCATAAGTTATTGGGGTACAGGTGGTATTTGGTTACATAAGTAAGTTCTTTAGGGGAGATTTGTGAGATCCTGGTGCACCCATCACCTGAGAAGTATACACTGCACATATTTGTTTTCTTTTATCCCTCGCCCGCCTCCCATTCTTCTCCCCATGTCCCCAAAGTCTATTGTATCATTCTTATGCCTTTGTGTCCTCATAGCTTAGCTCCCACAATTCTCAAAAGAAGATACACAAATGGCCAAAAAACATATGAAAAATGCTCAACATCACTAACGATCAGGGAAATGCAAATCAACCACAATGCGATACCACCTTACTTCTGCTAGAATAGCCATAATCAAAAAATAAAAAAACAGTAGATATTGGTGTGGATGCAGTGATCAGAGAACACTTCTACACTGCTGGTGGGAATGTCAACTAGTACAGCTGCTATGGAAAACAGTGTGGAGATTCCTTAAACAGCTAAAAATAGAACTACCATTTGATCCAACAATCCCACTACTGGGTATCTACTCAGAGGAAAAGAAGTCATTATTCAAAGTACTTTTTAAGGGCACAACAAGGAGAGCTTGAGCTGAGTAGGGTGCTTGAAATTGTAATATTTAGTGCCTTGAGGCACCAGTGTATGCTCTTGAATGATGAAGATAATTGAAAAAGGGGAAAACCCAAGTGACTTCAAGTAAGCCTATATTCAAAAGCTTACAAAGTCAGGCTGGTAGTCTGAGTTAAGGATCTTTTGTGGGTTGAGCTTGACTTAATACCCCACCCCTTCCTTTACCAACAGTGCATTCAAAAGAGAGAAATTAAAACTGTATTTTGGGCCGGGCGCGGTGGCTCACGCCTGTAATCCCAGCACTTTGGGAGGCCGAGGCGGGTGGATCATGAGGTCAGGAGATCGAGACCATCCTGGCTAACAAGGGGAAACCCCGTCTCTACTAAAAATACAAAAAATTAGCCGGGCACGGTGGCGGGCGCCTGTAGTCCCAGCTACTCGGGAGGCTGAGGCAGGAGAATGGCGTGAACCCGGGAAGCGGAGCTTGCAGTGAGCCGAGATTGCGCCACTGCAGTCCGCAGTCTGGCCTGGGCGACAGAGCGAGACTCCGTCTCAAAAAAAAAAAAAAAAACTGTATTTTGGAAATCACATAAAGGAAAGAAATCGGGTCCATTTGGTCTACATAAGAGAAGATGGAGAAGAGGTTTGCTAACCACCTTCCAGGATGAAACATGACATCATGCCGGGGTTGGTGGATCTGTCCTAGTAGGGCTTCAGTAATAGTTGCATGAATTATTTTCATTAACAGGAAAAAGAAATGGGTTTAAATTCCAGCAAATAAGAGATATGTTCTAGTGAGAACTACTAAAAACCTACAGGAAACACCCATCTCTAAGAATGAAGTAGAAGGCAGTAGAATGGATTACATTTCTTCTTGAGGTCATAACGTATTTGAGCACATGAAAGTTCGTCTCACATATAATTGTTTTTGTGGTATCTCTAGGATTATTTGAAAGGAAAATTATTGTATTTGTCTATGTGTTCCCAAGCTCCTATCAATATATTTCACACAAGGAAGAGATAAAAACTTTCTGTAGGTCAAGAGATTGAGAGCAATCTGGCCAACATGGTGAAACCCCATCTCTACTAAAAATACAAAAAATTAGCTGGGCATGGTGGTGTGCACCTGTAGTCCCAGTTACTCAGGAGACTGAGGCAGGAGAATCGCTTGAACCCAGGAGGCAGAGGTTGCAGTGAGCCAAGATTGAGCCACTGCACTCCAGTGTGGCAATAGCGCAAGACTCCATCTCAAATAAATAAATAAATAAATAAATAAATAAATAAATAAATAAATAAATAGCTTTCTGTGGCTACAAGCTTTCCTTCCTGACCCTATAGGAACCAGAGGATCATGGAAGTGGGACGAGAAGCCTAAGAGAGGGGAGGAAAGGAGAGATGAGAGTGCTCAGAATCACAAAGGGCCTTGGCACCAAGGAAACAAATGACACCAGAATCAAAGCAGAAATCAGGGACTCCACATTCACCAGAGCCCAAGCTGCCCCATCAGAGGAATCAGGACTGAGGAGAACACTAATTACAAAGTGCAAAATGAAGACAGAAGACAGATTGGTCTATACCAGGCCAACTGAGGCCAAGTTTGTATAACTCCTGCCTGCTCTCCATCCCAAGGAGATTACCCCTCCTTGTGAAATCCCAAGTCAAGACATAAAATGTAATTTTTAGGGTTAATTTTCTTATTAAATTGGCAAACAATATATGTTTTCGAAACTTTTCCTCTTTCCCTGAAGCTACCAGCCTGTCTGAAACTTAGAAAGAACAATGACATCTGATGAAAATGTTCCACTATCAATTCTCTAGAAGACCACCAGAAAAACCTGTTACTCAAGAAAAGCTAAGTTTATTGAACTTGTTGAAGTAAGGGAGAACAGTCTCAAAATAAACAACCGAGGCGGGCTATCTCCAGAGTTTTAGGGTCTAGGCTGGGTGACTTTAAAGTAGATATCACAAGGCAGAAAGCTAGTTGGGATTGGGGAGAATATATGACAAAATACATTGACACAGTAGACACAGGGAGGCAGGAGCATTAATGCTGGTCTTTCTGGGCAAGCTGTCAGAAGTAAGCCGCTGAGCTGGCGTTACAGGTTGGGTTCTCCATGAAGTCTGCTTGGGGCAGCTTAGTATTCAGGATGGTTATTAGGAAGGCCTTTGAGATCACACCTATGGAATAGATGAGGAGGAAGCTGCATTGGCCAGAGGGAGAATTCAAGCTGTGATGCAGCCTCCACAATGCAGCCTCGCTCCACATTAGCCAGAGGGAGAAGTCAAGCTATGATGCAGTTTTAATCAATGCCCACCCCCAACCCAGGAAGCTCTGGATTTAAAATGACCCATCAGAAATGCCCCACATTGGGCCATGCTATAGGACATAGGCTGCCCCTGAAAGAAAGTGCCTTGAGCAAAGCAGCTTTCTGCAGCTAAGCAACCCCTGAGCGGAATGACAGATACAGGCTTTCTCCCAGTAGCATTCCCAGCAGAGAGGGCAGGAGTCTTTCCCTGAAGAGGGGTCTGGGCAGGATGGTCCACAGTCTCATCAACCATGAGCATGCGTTCCCTGAAAAAGCAGCTATTAGTGTTGCTTGGTCTTAGCATTGTTTAGCAGAGGAATTGGAAACTCTATCTGGTCCTATTACTGCTTAACACAAGGACAAAGAATTAGGACAGTTTCAGTTTGCAAAACAAGTTTAGCTTTTCTCCTCCCCACATCTAAATTTATCTGGAGCTCAAAGAAGGGGGTACCCTTCCTTTCTATCAATTGCATTTTGCATCCCATTCATCCTCACCCACATTTCTCCATTCATGTGATCCTTTATCCTATACGTATTGCATTACCCCTCACCACTGATAAACTCTTCTCTACCTAGAAATTTCCTCAAGTGCAGTGAATTTTTTTAATATTATTTATTTTGATTCATAAATCTCTACATAGTCATTCACCTTCTTTTTACCAACAAATGTCTTTACTTAAAAAAAAAAGTTCCTACTCGTTCCTCTTCTCCCACCAACTAACTCCTCCGGTTCTAACTTTGCTCTTCTATTGAAACTATCCTCTGGTAAGTCACCAATAATCTGCCCTGAAGCGTATAGGATTTGCTTATCTTGACCGTCTTCTCCTTAAAACTCACTCTGTGCTTCTTGTATTCTGCAGGCTTCCTTCTGCCTTTAAGACATTCATTTTTTAAGTCATGTTAATTGTCTCTTCTTCATTATCTCTCAGAAATGAAGATGATTCCCATTTCTGTCTTCTCCACTCTAGCTATACTTACCTAGTTAATGTTTTCTACTCATGCAAACAACACTGCCATGTGAATAACATATCCCTGACATTCAATATCCAATGGCAAGGAAGAAATCTGTAAATGGTCTATTTGTCAGGATCTCAAACCTATCATCTCTAAAAATAGACACAACATATCAAGACTTCAAGATCACACTTTTTGTACTTTCTGTCTATATCCCTAGGTAGAACCCTATTTAATACAGAATATAGTTCTATATTGATCAGGGTTCAGTCAGGAGAATGAAAACCACACCACTTATTTCAATAGGAAGAATTTAATATGGGGAATAAGTTAAACAGGCATTAGAGGATTGAAAGGGCAAAACAAAGGGAACAGTGAGGTAAACAGTGACTGCAGAAAGCAGCTACCACTCCTAGGGCTAGTAGTGCAGAGGGTAGAGGTCAGGATTATCAGAACCTAGAAGCTTGGATCTGGGGAGAGGGCACTGCCCAGTTGGTGCTGCTGCCTCAGAAGCTCAGATGAGGAGCCTTGAGATGCCAGGACACAAACCTCTGAGGAGAGGATACCAACCAGCTGGTGTTTCTGAGGCATCTGGATCACAGCTGCATTTCAGGAATGTAAGAACCAACTGGAAATCAGAATGCATTGTGGTGGCCTAGTGCAAAAACCATTGTTGTGGTGATCCTGACAAGAACAGCAAGCAAAACATGAAGAACTATGCACGTTCTCCCTGCTCCAGACCTCACACGAAGCAGCTGGCAAAACAGAAACATGGTCTGCAGAGTCTCAGCCACAGCATCCCAGGGCAGGGACTAGAGGGTGAATTTAGAACTCACAGGCAATAATTTAATAACCAGCATCTGTACCATAACCCTCTAAACCAGGGGTCGGCAAATCACAGCCTATAGGCCAGATGTTCTATTAAATAAAGTTTTATTGACACACAGCCTTGTCGTTTGTTTCTGTATTGTCTACTGGTGCTTTCAAGCTACAATGGTAGCTTTGAATAATTGCCATAGAGATTGTATGGCTCACAAAACCTAAAATACATATATCTGCCCTTTACAGAAAAAGTTTGCTTATCCTTGTTTTAAACTGCCAAGGCTGAGCGACTTTATTATGTTGACAACTCTGCTTCCTTCATCCTCAACCGAGAATCATCTGCCAACTTCTACTGGTTACACCTCTACAATATTATCACCCTTTCTTGCCTTTATTTCCTCAGTTGTCTTCTCTCCTATTGACCATCTCCTTTCACCTATCCTTAGTCAATTTACATCCTGCCGTCAGATTATTCTTTGGAAAACTCATGTCTGGAAATGTTCCTGCCCTGTTGAAACACCTCCAATGCTCCCTCCATTTGATTAAAACATATTAAATCTAAAGCCTTGACCATTGCCTGGCTGCAAACTACATGTCTTGGCTCATGGCCCACCACTCTCATGCATTCAAGTCCCTGGTCTCTAACAAACCCTACTCCCTATTTGTGTGATTTTGCATTGATTCCTCTGGTTTGAAAGAATCCAAAAAATAACTCTCCTACTCCCTACATGAGCTAAAAACCAGTTGAGAAACAGACTCTCAATGGGAGACATAAAAATGGAGATTAAAATTTTAGATATAATGCTATAAAAGCTAGGATGGAGTATGTGGCTGATATGTGACTCATGTCCCCACACAAATCTCATTTTGAATTGTACTCCCATAATTCCCACGTGTTATGGGAGGGACCAGTGGGAGATAGTTGAATCAGTCTTTCCCGTGCTGTTCTCATGATAGTGAATAAGTCTCACCAGATCTGATGGCTTTATAAGGCAAAGTTTTCCTGCACAAGCTCTCTTTGCCTGCTGCCATCCACATAAGATGTGACTTGCTCCTCCTTGCCTTCCACCGTGTTTGTGAGGCTGCCCCAGCCACATGGAACTATAAGTCCAATTAAACCTCTTTCTTTAGTAAATTGCCCAGTCTTGAATATGTCTTTATCAGCAGTGTGAAAACGGACTAATACAGTGGCTAATTTGTGCAATAAAAAGACTATACTGATACTCTCTACTATACTACCTCCCATTCATACTCTAGTGAGATCTTAGGAAAGCCCAATGAAGGGAAAAACTTGGATCTGAAAAATCAAACGCCATCCAGGATCTCTGCTTCACACTGATAGAGAAAATAATGGAGATTTACATCCCAGTGCTTGGAATTTTGTAATAGACCAGCTCCATCAAACAGATAAACATGGACCGGTGGGTGTCTACTACTGGTCAGAGTGGGTGGAATAAGAAAGAAAATGGGCAAAAGACAAGGGCGTTAGCTAAGGACCCTCCTATTTAAAAAAAAAAACAAACAAACAGATTGACGGGGAGTGGGAAGTTCCCCAATTGTGTCCCCTTTTTTTCCTCTTATCCTTTGGAATTAACATTAACCTTGAAGTATATCAGCCAAGACTATGACCCTCCTCTGCAAGGGAGGAGACCAGCTATTCATCAAAACAGTCCTATTCTCACCTTCATGGGCTGCTTCTTCAATACCACCTACCGCTTATTTGGTGTCCTCCTGTGACTACTGATGGGAAACATAAAATTGCTCCCAGACAGTACATTAATTAGATTAACTCCACATCTGCCCTGTATCCAGGGCTGACAATTTTCTCCCTCTTCTATTTCCCATCCCAAATTATGCCCAACTCTGCTTCCCAATATAGCTCACCAGAGGTTATGCAAGATGATTAAACGGCAGTACTAATATATTTCACTAATAAATTTCTAACAACATAAAGATTCCCAAAATTTTCATATAAACTCCCTCACATTGTGAAATTCCCAGAAGAAATGGAGGTCCAATGATTAAATTCTCTTGCAAGTTAAAGTCCAAATAATCTAATGTGCAAAAGCATTAATGTCCTTAATTCTTTCTCCCCAAGTTATTATTCCACTTAGGCTCAGCTAAAGGGCTCAGGCTTAGGTAGCTGGTGGAGTCTAAGTTCCTTCAAACACTGCTGCCTTGGATTTTAGCACTACATCCATAAAATTTAGAAATCAAACAAATCCCAGCCCTTAAAGAGATCATCTCAGACAAACCTGTTTCCTGAACACAATACTTAGTCTGGACCCACATTAATGTGGCCAAGGACCATGGCAGTGAATCAGTGGTACTATGGGAAGAAGGGTAGTCAGAGAGAAGGAAACAACTTTTTCATGTTTGTTGGCTGTATATATATATATATCTCTCTTTTGTGAATTGTATACATACCAGTTGACATCTTCAAATCTTGTGCCCATATTTAATTGGGATGTTTTTCTTCTAATTATTGAGTTATATCTTCTGGATATAAGTCTCTTGTAAGATATAGGTATTAACAATATTTTCTACCAGTCTACGACTTGTCTTTTTATTTTCTTAATAGTATGTTTCAAAAACAGAAAGTCCAATTTATGAAATCTAAGTTATAATTTTTTCCATAATTTATATTTTGGTTTCCTTCCTAAGAAATCTTTATTTAAGTCATAAAATTTTGTCTTATGCTTCCTTCTAGGAGATTTATAGTTTTGATTATTTTATTTAAGTTTATGATCCATTTTGAGTTTTTATTATTATTATTGGAGATGGAGTCACACTCTATCGTCCAGGATGGAGTGCAGTGGCATGATCTCGGCTCACTGTAACCTCCTCCACTTGGGTTCAAGCGATTCTCCTGCCTCAACCTCCCAAGTAGCTGGGATTACAGGCATGTACCACCATGCCCAGCTAATTTTTGTATTTTTAGTAGTGACGGGGTTTCACCATGTTGACCAGGGTGGTCTTGAACTCCTGACCTCAGGTGATCCGCCCACCTTGGCCTCCCAAAGTGCTGGGATTACAGGTGTGAGCCACCACACCTGACCTTGAGTTTGAGTATGGTATGAGGTAAGGGACAAAGTTTAATTTTTCCCAACAGATGTCCAATTATTACAGAGCTATTTGCATATAAACTCCCTCACATTGTGCAATTCCCAGAAGAAATTAAACTCTGCCCCTCAGCGCCCTGCTGAATTTTGCTGGTCCCTATCTTAAAAATCAATTGACTGTATATGTGTGATGTGTCAATCTCTATGTCTATCCTTATGCCAATGTCACAATTTCTTGAATTACTATAGCTTTCTAGGAAGTCTTAACTCAGATCATATAAATCTACCAACTTTCCTTCTTTTTTTCGTTTCATTTATTCTATTTCCTTTGCACTTTCATATAAATTTTAGAAGCATCTTGTGAATTTATACCAAAAATCCTGCTAGGATTTTGATTGGCATTTTATTGACTTGATTGGCATCTTCCAATTAATTAGCACGGTTTATATCTCTCAATTTATTCAAGTTTTCTCTAATTTCTCTTTTTGCAGTTTTCAGTGTTTTTTTTTTTAGTTTTCAGAACGCAGGTCTTTCACATCTTTTGCTAATTTTATTCTACGTTTATAATATATTTCACTAATTTTATTTCACTTTAAATTGAATTGTTTTTTATTTCCCAATTGTTTGCTTTGTGGTGGTATATAAACATGGTATTGATGTTTGTATATTAACATTTTATTCTGTGACCTTGCTAAACCACAAGTTCTCAAAGCTTTTTATAGATTCCTTATGAATTCCTACATACACGATAATGTAGTCTTGGCATAAAGACAGATTTTTTTTTCTTCATTTCTAATCTGCATGTATTTTACTTATTTTTCTTGTGTTTTTGCACTAATGAGGACTGTCAGTACAATGTTGAAAAGAAGTGGTGATAGCAGACATCCTTACCTTCTTCCTGTGGTAGAAAGTATGATGCTATCTGTAGGATTTTCTTAAATGGCCCTTATCAAATTGAAGAAGTACCTTTCTATTTCTAGTTTGCTAAGAGTTTGTCAAATGCTTTTTCTGCATGTATGATGATCATGTATTTTTCACCTTTATTTTATTAATATGGTGAAGCATGTTAATTGATTTTTGGATGTTAAACCAGCTTTGCATTCCTAGGACAAAATCAACTTGGTCACAATGCATTCTTCTTTTTATGTATTGCTGGATTAATTTGCTAGATTTTGTTAAGGATTTTTGCCACTATGTTCAAGAAAGATACTGGTCGAAAGTTTTTTCTTGTCATGTCTCTGTCCACAGTAATACTGTCCTCATAAAATGAGAAGTGTTCTAACCTCCTCCAATTTTCTGAAAGAGTTTGTGTGGGATTGATGTTGTATCTTCCTTAAATGGTAGACTGCACCTGTCAAGACACATCTGGATACAGTTTTCATTTTGAAAAGGTTTTAATTACAAATTCAATGCTTTAAATATGAGGATGTTTAGGTCTTCTTGAGTCACTTTTTGTGATTTGTCTTTCAAGGGATTTATCTATTTCATCTGTGTTACCAAATTTATTGCCATGATGTTTTTCATAATATACCTGTGATGGTTAATACTGAATGTCAACCTGATTGGATTGAAGGATGCAAAGTATTGATCTTGGGTGTGTCTATGAGGATGTTGCCAAAGGAAATTAACATTTGAGTCAGTGGGCTGGGAAAGGCAGATGCACCCTTAATCTGGGTGGGCACCATCTAATCAGCTGTCAGCGAAGCTAGAATATAAAACAGGCAGAAAAACATGAAAAGGTTAGACTGGCTTAGCCTCCCAGCCTATATCTTTCTCCTGTACTGAATGCTTCCTGCCCTTGAACCTCGGACTCCAACTTCTTCAGCTTTGAGACTCAGACTAGCTTCCTTGCTCCTCAGCTTACAGATGGCCCATTATGGGACCTTGTGATCTTGTAAGTTAATACTACTTAATAAACACCCCTTTATATATCTATTTCTGTCCTATTAGTTCTGTCCCTCTAGAGAACTCTGACTAATACAGTACCCTTATTTTATTTTATTTTATTTTATTTTATTTTATTTTATTTTATTTTGGTGTCTGAAGGATCTATGTAATGTCTCTCTTTTCATTCCCTATTTTGGTTAAGTTTGTCTTCTTGCCTTTTTCTTGGCAAGTGTACATAAAGAAATAGCTTTTGATTTTCTTTCTATTTTTGACTCTGTTCTGTTTCATTAATTTTATTTTTATTTCCTTTTTTGGAGTACTTTGGATTCAATTTGTTCCTCTTTCTAGCTTCTTAAGGTGGAAGCTTATATTATTGATTTTTAGAACTTTATTCTTTTCTAATTGAAGAATTTAGAATTATAAAATTCCCATTATGCACCACATTGTATGTATGCCACAGATTTTGATATGTTGTATCTTCATTTTCACTTAGTTCAAAATACTTCATAATTTCCTGTAATTTCATCTTTGACCCATGAGTTATTTATAAATAAATTGTTTAATTTCCAAATATTTGCAGCTTTCCACAGCCTATGCTGGGAAGGATGGGGGACTGGGGAGTGCCCCAGACAAGGTAACCACCAACTCACAGTTATTATCAGATGCAGATTTTTCCCAATATTGTGTCTACCTTTGCTTACTTTTTGCAAGAGGAATTGCCCAACCTCTTCATGCATCAAAACTGAAAGCTGCTATTTGCTTCCATTCCTTTTCGTTGGTTTGTTTGTTTATTTATTTATTTATTTACTTATTTATTTATGTTTGAGATGGAGTCTCATTCTGTTGCCCAGGCTAGAGTGCAGTGGCATGATCTTGAATCACTGTAACCTCTGCCTCCTGAGTTTAAACTATTCTCCTGCCTCAGCCTCCTGTGTAGCTTAGACTACAGGTGTGCGCCACCACACCTAGCTAATTTTTTGTATTTTTAGTAGTGATGAGGTTTCACCATGTTGGCCAGGCTGGTCTCAGACTCCTGACCTCAGGTGATCTGCCCACCTCAGCCTCCCAAAGTGCTCGGATTATAGGCGTGAGCCACCATGCCTGGCCATCCTTTTCATTTGTTTATTAATAAAATGCATCAACCTTTGATGGTCAAAACAGCTTGGGCCCCTGAAACCTAATGTCATAGTCACTGCTTATGAAGTTATTATTCTATTTGGTAAGAATTGAGGGCAAGTGATCTGGCACTGCCTCCTCAGACCTAGCACTAAGGTTTTGAAGCTAGACTCTCACACAGTAATGTTTTCTGACACTAGAGAGCTGGATTATTCAAGGTCCTCTAGAGGGACAGGATTAATAGGACAGATGTATATAGGAAGGGGGGTTTATTAAGGAGTGTTGACTCATACAATCACAAGGAGAAGTCCCACAATAGGCTGTCTGCAAGCTGAGGAGCAAGGAAGCCAGTCCAAGTCCTAAAACCTTGAAAGTAGGGAAGCAGACAGTGTAGCCTTCAGTCTGTGGCCAAAGGCCCGAGAGCCCCTGGCAAACCACTGGTGTAGGTCCAAGAGTCAAAAAGCTGAAGAACTTGGAGTCCAATGTTAGAGGAAAGGAAGCACTCAGCACGCGAGAAAGATGGAGGCCAGAAGACTTAGCCAGTCTAGTCCTCTCACGTTCCTCTGCCTGCTTTTATCCTAGTCGTGCTGGCAGCTATGGTTCCCAGATTGAGGATGGGTCTGCGACTCCCAGTTCAGTAACTCAAATGCTAATCTCCTTTGGCATCACCCTCACAGACACACCTAGGAACAATACTTTGCAACCTTCAATCCAATCAAGTTGACACTCAATATTAACTATCACAGGAGCTTCATTGCTGTGTTAGTTTCCTGTTGCTGCTGTAATAAATTACCACAAATTTTGCTAAAAACAACACAGATTTATTAACTTCTAGTTCTAGAAGGCAGAAGTCAGAAATAGGCCTCACTGGGCTAAAATCAAGGTGTCAGCAGAGCTCTATTTCTTCTGGAGGCTCCGGGTGTCAGTCCATTTCCTCGCTTTTTCTGACATTGTCTGCATTATGTGCCTCATAGCCCCCTTTCAAACATCCCTCCAACCCCTGCTTTCATTGTGACATCTCCTTCGTGACTCTCCTGCCTCCCTCTTTCCCTTGTAAGGACCCTTGTGATTACACTGGGCCCACTCAGATAATCCAGGTGAACTTCAAGATCCTTAACTTAATCACATCTGCAAAGTCCTTTTGCTGTGTAAGGTAACATACCCACAGGTTCCAGAGATTAGAATGTGGACCTCTGCAGGGCGGCATTATTTTACCTAAAACAGCTGTCTTTGTTATTTAATGTTCTGATCTTCATCTGGAAGTCTTGCCTAAGAAACATGGTAAAAGCAACAAATACTGACTCACCTACTTGTTCCTAAAATGATGTAATTCTTACTTCAGTCTTACCTGAAATATGCCAAGTTGCATCTGAGAAATTAAAGGTCAGGTGAAGCTCCCAGAATTTGCTAAGATCCCCCACCAAAGCTGCAAATATGCAAAGACCCCTGCCTCACAAACTCTAAGAGTATAAATACTTGCTCCAGTTAACTGTTCTGACAGAGTTGAAGAGCTCCCCTGGCCCAAGGTATTAAAACTTCCCAATCAAGGGTCTCAACCTTCGTGTATTGTTTTGCTATAGAAATGGCCCAATGGCTGTCGCCTGCCATTCTGTCAAAGAAGAGTAAGTAATAATGGGTCAAAGACTGGGAACCTTACTCTAATAGAGTGCCGTACTCATAAAATATGAGGAAAGTGAGATAATTCTTCTTTTTTTTTTTTTTTTTGAGATGGAGTTTCGCTCTTTTTGCCCAGGCTGGAGTGCAATGGTGTGATCTCGGCTCACTGCAACCTCCGCCTCCTGGGTTCAAGCGATTCTCCTGCCTCAGCCTCCCATGTAGCTGGGATTACAGACCACCTGCTACAATGCCCGGCTAATTTTTTGTATTTTTAGTAGAGACAGGGTTTCACCATGTTGGCCAGGGTGGTCTCTATCTCCTGACCTTGTGATCCACCCACCTCAGCCTCCCAAAGAGGAATGTACTGGTCAATCTCAGCTCACTGTAACCTCCACCTCCTGGGTTCAAGCAATTCTCCCGCTTCAGCCTCCAGAAGAGCTGGGATTACAGGAGCCTGCCACCATATCTGACTAATTTTTGTATTTTTAGTAGAGACGGGGTTTCACCATGTTGGCCAGGCTGTTCTCAAACTCCTGACCTCAAGTGATCCACCATCCTCAGCCTCCCACAGTGCTAGGATTACAGGCATGAGCCACTGTGCCCAGCCAATTACCCTTTCTTACTCTCCTCCACCTGGAATATCCCTCCAACATTTGTACATCCTGATAGTGCCCTAGTTCCATCTGTCAAAGTCTTATTCACCCTTTAAGTTTCAATTCACATATAGCTTATTAATTAAAGATTTCTACCTCTCTTGTATCTCCTAGCCTGTCAATACAATATAACAATTTTCACTTGGCTTAGGTTCTTACTATGTTCAATATTGTCTCTTTTATCTCTATGAAATTATAGTTCCTTGAAGGCATTAATCAGGATTTGCACTGATTTTGCCAGACAAAGCAAAAAAAAATATTTATTTCACAGTGATAGGGACCCATTGACACCAAGGGCAGGGCAGGCTTCTGGCTAAGCAAGGCAATTGGGTCTTTTCTTAACATGGGTTTAAACTGTACTGATGCTTTTATTCCCTGTGGCATCTAGTAGAGTGCCTTGCACACAGTAGACTTATTTTTTCCCTAATAAATAAGGAAATGCTAGGTAAAAGTAAGGAAGAAAAGTTTATCATATGGAGGAAAGTTTATTTTGTGTTACTCTACAATGAGAAGTAGAACCAAAGAGCAATATCACAAGGAAAAGAGCTCCAGCTCAACGTAATGAAGAGCTTTCCAACATTTGGAGTTGTTCTAAAGCAGAATGAGTCCCCACGTTAGAGTGAGCTCTGACACTAACTGCACTCAAGCAAAAGATGAAGGGCCCTTTTCCAGGATTTCTACAGAGACAATTCAGAGATTGACTAGGAGGTTATAGACTCAATGACATATACCTTTCCTTGCTCTCTGAATATTTATTAACAGTCACCTGTTGACCACCTAGACTCTTGATTGTCCTAGATTTATGTTGTCCATTTGTGTTTTATATATTTATTGCCTCAAGCCTGGTCTGCCCCGAACTGTGCATTGAAACTGGTCCCTAACTTTCTTCTTCCCGTATATTTTTCAGTTACTCAGACTGCCAAGAATATTTCATCAACAGGTGAACTATAAGCAATCAGACATGAAGCAACAGCCATCAAGAAATAGTAAAACAGAAGTAATTATGCCATGAGAAAACCTCTTATGCATTTTCACCTGGACGAGGAGCCCATCCTAAGCAGGGGCAGGCTCAGAGCTCAAGATGGGCCATACCACAATTGGTGGTTAGGTAAGCAGATTTTACCTGCTGGAGTTGCAGTGTCTGAGTAAAATATAGAGTCTGATAAGATTGAAGTAGGGCTCTGAAACTTTACTGACTAACAAAAAACGCTTCTCTTACTCAGAATGCTAGGTGAAGTTTGGTATAGGCACATTCTTTCTTGAGTGGTGATGATGATAATTGTACAACTCTCAGGTCTTAGCCAAAACCGTGAGTAGTAGAGCTGCAAATAAACTAAAAGGATGTAGCAGGAGTGAAAGGATAGGGTCTGGGTCCCAGAACTCAGGGATCTAGTCCTCATTCCCATGAACGCATTCATTGAAGCAACAGCTGTTGGCCAGAGCTTCTCAGGTATGACAAGAACTTGGAGCATGAAGGGCATTACAGAAGTGTCTCTTGTGTCAGGGGAAGAGTGGGGAGTTGGGAGAACATTGGTCTTGGAGAGCAGACAAGCCTGGAGGTGAAGCAGGTCTTGGAGAAGAGGGAGAAGATTCTTCCACCATTGCCTCTCATCTACTTGCTAACCACCCAGAATCTTTCGCCTGCTTCCCCTTTATCCTCTTCGCAGCCTTCCCCAGTGTGTAGAGGAAGATGGGAGATAAGAGAGGAGAATGAATATTTAGGGATTGAACAAAAGGCATGTGAAGTCAGATTGGGTAGAATAAAGCAAGTGGAGAAAGAGATAAGCAAGAGTTTCTGTTCTGCTTCTGACACTGACTAGGAGTGTACCCCCAGGTAAATCATTGCCCTTCTAGAAACTATCTATGATGTTGGACTGAGGATCCCTGGAGAGTCTGTGGTTGAGGGGTCTCTGTTCTGCTGAGCCTTATACTTTTCCTTGTGATCAGATTTAATGTCTCAACCCTCGGCTTATTCACATACTGATTATTCCAGACAGTTGAAAATCTGGACAGTTGAATTTCTGTAACATTTTGCTTGAAATCCAGGATTCAACATCATTGTTTCTTTAGGGTGAGAGAGTGGAGTTGGAGAAGAGTGGGAAGGTATTTTGATTATTTTAAATTACTCCTTCAATCCTCATATACTAATAGGATTGACTCTCAAAACCCTGTTTGGGAACTGTTAGGTGGACCCAAGCTTCGACTGGAAGGCAGGCAATGGTTCCCATATTTCTCATGTTCATTCACTTGGGTTTCTTTATGTGAAAAGAGGAGTGCTTCCCAGAAATAGCCATTTTTGTTGACTGTTGCTAGGAAATAAATTCAGACACCACAGCATTTAACATATACCATGGGATGGAAGAAATTAGAAGATAGTCACCCTGATTTCCATTAGAGGGGAAAGTCCGACTCAAAATAATTTAATTTAGGCTAGCCCACTTCACATATAAATAAAGTGAAAAAGCATTAAATGTTAATGCCAACTTCTTTTAGGGTTTTGGAAAGCTTGCCAGATAAAGCAAAAAAAAAAAAAAAAACCCCACAAAACTTCATTTCACAGTGATGGGGACCCAGTCACACCAGGGGTAGGGCAGGCTCCTGGCTGAGTGAGGCAATTGAGTCTTTTCTCAACATGGGTTTAGACTGTACTGATGCTCAAGTATAGTTTGTTCTTCAGGGCCAGAGTGCTTACTTTGATTGACTCACTAGCAAAGAAAGCAATGGGGCTGCAGCTCCTTTTGGTGCAAGTAATGAAAAGGAAACTAGAATTGAAGGAGTTGAGTTAACTATTACCCCCAGGACTAATGCCCACACTCCCTGTTTTCCTCCACCCCAGCACCTGCATTACTAAGAATAATAAGCTTCAGCTGCCCAGTGGGCTGGAGTCTAAAGCTCTGCTCATGACTGTCAGACTCAGACTTGGCATATGGCCCACTAGCCTAATAAAGAACCTAAAAAATCTAGAAATGGGAACTTTCTCAAGAAGGGGTATGGAGTTTCAGAACAGGAGGCTTAGAGAAGAAGGTGGGGAAACCTAAATATAGAAACCCAGGTTGGGAGTGGAAGGAAGGGTGCATAGGGGATTCTCCATCCACACCCCACCCAAAGCCTCCATTTCAATGTGACTTTCTCGTGAAACTCAAGGTGTAATGTAGTAGATAATATTATTTGCTAGAAATCAAATTCAGGGTGAGAAGTGTAATACTTCCCAGGATGGTCTGGTAAAATGATCGTGCACATTGGAAGCGTGAACGTGTGAGGAAGGTGGCAAGAAGACATTTAGAGGACGTCTTGTGGTTAGGAGACTGTGGTAGGCTGAATAAAGCCCCCCAAAATATATGCAGGTCCTGCAAATAATCGTATATGGCCAAAGGGGCTTTGCAGATGTGATTAGTTAAGGATCTTGAAATGGAATGATCTTGGATTCGTTGAAAATGTAATCACAAATGCGCTTAGAAGAGGATAGCAGAGGGAGATTCGACTACAGAAAAGAAGAAAGCAATGTGACCATGGCAGCAAGGATAAGAGCAATGTGGCCAAAACTAAGAAATGTTGGCAGTCACACCAATGTGGAAAAGACGAGAAAATGGATTCTTCCCTGGAGCCTCCAGAAGGACTGGCCCTGCCAACATTCTGACTTTAGCCCAGTGGAACTAATTTTAGACTTCTGGCCTTCGGAACTGTAAGTAAATAAATTTGTACTGTTTTAAGCCACCAACTTTTGGTAATTTGTTATAACAACCCTAGATAAACAATACAGGGATGATGTAAATGAGGAAGGGAGAGAGTATACCGTTTTATCAGCTGCTTCAATTAGGAAAATGTGGAGAAGAGATAAAAGAGATGTTCAGACTGCTAAGATAAAGGCTTTAGGAGAAGTCAAATAAGGAGGCGCTGTTTCAAGGGCTACCTCCAGGTATGTAGAGGTATTGATAATGAGAAGAAAGGTTTTTTAAATGAAAATTTGCAGCTGGGCATAGTGACTTATGCCTGTAATCCCAGCACTCTGGGAGGCTGAGATGGGAGGATCACTTAAGGCCAGGAGTTCAAGACCAGCCTGTGCAACATAGCGAGACTCCATCTCTACAAAAAGATTTCAAAAATTAACCAAGTATGGTGGCATGTGTCTGTGGTCCTAGCTACTCTGGACGCTGAGGTGGGAGGATCACTTGAGCTCAGGAGTTCAAGACTGCAAGTGAGCTATGATCATGCCACTGCACTCCATCCTGTGCAACAGAGCAAGATCCTGTCTCTATTTCAAAAATAAAAGAAAGAAAGAAAAAATTTTTGTTTTTCCGTGCTTCTAAAATGAAACTCATACCCATTCTGGCATGTGCTCAAAAGACTAGGAAAAGATAGGCTTCTCAGTTAAAATGTATTTCTGACGGACCATCATTTCTTTGAATGGAACTCTAAGTAAACTCAGAGGTACCTGGATTTTATACCACGGATTTTGTGCTAATTTATGTGCCATTTTGGAATTCAGCCTCAAGAGGGCATTTTCATCATGACTCCAAATAATTGGAAAAATGATGGAAAAGAATGTCACATTCATTAAGCGTCAACTGTAATTGTTTTGGATTATCACCACAAAACCATAAAGACAGAACAGAAATAGACCATATTAAGGAGAAATCACATTTTAGAACTCAGTATTTTTGTCAAAAAAAAAGCATACTTATATGCTATTATACTATTTATGAACACTGAAGATTAAAACTTCTCCCATATGAAGCTAGAACTTAGTTGTTAACCTGTCTCAATGAAGACTCTTTCTTAAGGAGAAAAGAGGTCAGTGGCACACATCCATGGTTTAGCTGAAGGCTTTGGCCAACTCCATCCCCAGAGACTAGGTTCCCAGTGAACCTGCCTGACCATAACTTCTAGCTTCTTGAAAATGAAAAAATGTATAGCAAGCACTATGAAGGAGCCTAAGGGAGAAACGATGACTTTTAGTCACGATTAGGGCATGTTCCTGAAATGAGACGTAAGAATGGGTAGATTTGGAAAGACTAAAATAGTGAGAGGATTGGTATTAAGAGTTATTGACAGATTTGATGACAGCCTGTCTCACTGCCTTAGAAATATGGCAAGGCAGTAAAGAGTTTAGATTCATACATTGAATTCCTAAGCCCTAATCATCAAGGTGGACGGAAATAAAAAATGGCATAAAGTGAAAAACACCAAAGCATAGCTTGCCTTTTTGTGGTAAAGACTTGGAGAATTCACCATCTTTCTCATTTTACTGAGAACACAGACTCTGGAGGAGGGGATTAAATGTTGATAGTAATACATTCATCCTCATAGAAAATTCCAGATTCCTCAGTTCCTCATTTTCATCAAAGGTTGATTAACAGCTAGGCTGAGTACAGTCTGTCTTCTGTGGCGCCAATAGAAATCTTATCCACCAAGCAAAAAGGAAAACAATGGAGTGAGTTGGAAGTCAGAAGAGGACCTAGAGACACAAAGAAAACATGGTCCTCTCTTGTGACGAATGTGGACTTCATGAAGAAAAAGACATAACAAGGCAGAGAACATTAGTTGTCAGAATTCAAGCTAAGACTCCTACAGAAGGAGGTGAGAACATGGGAAGACTTCAGGTCCCAGGGTCCTGATGTAGAATGGGGATGGAGCAGAAGGAGCCAGCCATATTTTGGTGCAATTCGGTCAGATTCTCCACAGAAATACGTAGTAGTTTAAAAAATTAAGTGAAGAGGGCTAATGAAGGGATTGTTTCAAAACTGTGGAAGGAGTCAAGAGATAAACAAGGAAGGATGAAGCACCAGGGAACTGTGGAAAACCCTTCATTCCCCCAAGGTTTGGAGGGGCAAAGGAGGTGTCTTAGTTTGAGCTCTTCTAGAAATAAGCACTGAGACAAGAATTCCAGGGTGAAAAGTTTACATGGCAGGTGAAGAAAACACCAGCAACATGCATCTAGCCAGTGATCATGGTAGGCAATGGAACTTATCACCAAAGCACACTGTGGGAGGTGGTGCAAAGCATAAGCCATAGGATCATCCACCCTAGCCCAAAGATCTACTGTGGCCCTGAGCAGGCCCAGGCACGGTATGGAGAGCATCCTCAAGGAGGAATGACCCAGCCTGGAGTGTTGGAGCCCAAACAGGGTGAAAAGGGAATCCATGGTATGGGAGAGCCCAGCAAGGGGAGACACAGTGCCACCTGGGCAAAGTGGGTAACAGGAACAGGCAGCCTGGAATGAGAAGTCAGAGCAGAGGCAGAGAGAGGAGGGAACCACGTGGGGAAGGAGTGAGGAAGAAGATGGGAGGTGAGTTTCATACTAGGGGATTGATCAAATAATGAATGTAGTAAGGATCTAAAAGTGAGGTTTCTCACTGTCAGAAGAAGGATAAATAAAAGAAAGGGATAAGACTAGAATGAATCACCATGTAGTGTTGTATCAGAATTAATGGCTTGGGTGTGAACTCATGGATTTCTAGGTAGGATAGACAAATATAGAGGCAGACTAATGTGTATGTGGATGCATATATACACACATTTACATCTGCTTATACATATTATATAAGTATATATTTGTATTCACACATACACATATATGCACACACATTTACATCTACATTTATATTTATACACATATTTATCTATTTATCTGGATAGATATCTATCCCTAGCTCTGTCCACTGATAGGACCTAGGAGCAGTGAGATTCCAATAGCAATGAGCAGAACTAATGCCTAGGTCTTAGCTTCTACAACCATCTCTCAAAGAAACCAGGGCTCTTGGAGAAGCAGCTGATTCCAGCACTGGGACAGTGAAAGCTCAAACTGAGGATGGACTAGCTCATTCTTCCAGGAAGCAAGAGTGCTGAAAGAACATTGAGGACATGGTGGAAGAACACAAGACCCAGTTGGAATGGGCTCCTGCTGGCCAAGGAAGGGGCAATTTCAGTATCAAAACAGAATAATGATAGTAACAAATTTTTATCTATTGAATAAAGTAGGATGCCATGATGCCATACAGATATAAACGAACAAATAAATAAAATTTTTCACAAGGAACAGAAGATTTACAAAGTTTCAAAGTACTTTCCCATAAAATCTTTATTAAAATATAAAGGGGACAAGAATTACTTTGTGGTGGAGAAGGTTGACACACACCACCTTAGTCAAGTGATGACAATGAACATTATCAGTAATGTAACAAATCGAAACTGTGAGCTGCCTGATAGGATGCAATTAAAAGAGTGCAATGTCACTTCTGTGTTATTTCTGCCAAAGATGAAGAACCTGATTTTAATCATGAAGAAACATCAGACTGACCCAAACAAGGGATGTTCTACAAAACACCTGCTTCTAATCTTCAAAAGTGTCAAGGCCGTGAAGTCTAGACTGAGAAACTGTCCAGACTGGACACTACAGAAACATATTGTCAGGCCTCTGAGCCTAAGCTAAGCCATCATATCCCCTGTGACCTGCACATACACATCCAGATGGCCAATTCCTGCCTTAACTGATGACATTGTCTTGTGAAGTTCCTTCTCCTGGCTCATCCTGGCTCAAAAGCTCCCCTACTGAGCACCTTGTGACCCCCACTCTGCCTGCCAGAGAACAACCCCCCTTTGACTGTAATTTTCCTTTACATACCCAAATCCTATAAAACGGCCCCACCCCATCTCCCTTCGCTGACTCTTTTCGGACTCAACCCACCTGCACCCAGGTGAAATAAACAGCTTTATTGCTCACACAAAGCCTGTTTGGTGGTCTCTTCACACAGACGCACATGAAATTTGGTGCTGTGACTCGGATCGGGGGACCTCCCTTGGGAGATCAATCCCCGGTCCTCCTGTTCTTTGCTCCATGAGAAAGATCCACCTGTGACCTCAGGTCCTCAGACCGACCAGCCCAAGAAACATCTCACCAATTTCAAATCCAGTAAGCGGCCTCTTTTTACTCTCTTCTCCAACCTCCCTCACTATCCCTCAACCTCTTTCTCCTTTCAGCCTTGGCACCACACTTCAATCTCTCCCTTCTTTTAATTTCAATTCCTTTCATTTTCTGGTAGAGACAAAGGAGACACATTTTATCCGTGGACCCAAAACTCCGGCACCGGTCACGGACTGGGAAGGCAGCCTTCCCTTGGTGTTTAATCATTGCAGGGACACCTCTCTGATTATTCACCCATGTTTCAGAGGTGTCAGACCACGCAGGGATGCCTGCCTTGGTCCTTCATGCTTAGCGGCAAGTCCCACTTTTCTGGGGGAGGGGCAAGTACCCCAACCCCTTCTGTGTCTCTACCCCTTCTCCGCCTTTCTGGGGGGCAAGAAACCCCCGACCACTTCTCCTTCACCCTTAGCGGCAAGTCCCACTTTTCTAGGGGAGGAGCAAGTACCCCAACCTCGTATCTCTGCGCCCCGATCTCTTATTTCCGCACCCTGACCCCTTATATCTCTGCACCCTGATCCCTTATTTCCATGCCCCAACCTCTTATATCTCTGCACCCGATCCCTTATTTCCACACCCCAACCTCTATATCTCTGTGCCCCAATCCCTTATTTCCACGCCCTGACCTCGTATCTCTGTGCCCCGACCCCTTTCCCGCTTTTCTGGAGGGTAAGAACCCCCAAACCCCTTCCCTCCATGTCTCTACTCTCTTTTCTCTGGGCTTGCCTCCTTCACTATGGGCAAACTTCCACCCTCCATTCCTACTTCTTCTCCCTTAGCCTGTGTTCTTAAGAACTTAAAACCTCTTCAACTCTCACCTGACCTAAAATCTAAGCATCTTATTTTCTTCTGCAATGCCGCTTGACCCCAATACAAACTCGACAGTAGTTCCAAATAGCCAGAAAATGGCACTTTCAATTTTTCCATCCTGCAAGATCTAAATAATTCTTGTCATAAAATAGGCAAACGGTCTGAGGTGGCTGACGTCCAGGCATTCTTTTACACATCAGTCCCTTTCTAGTCTCTGTGCCCAGTGCAACTCGTCCCAAATCCTTCTTTCCCTCCCACTTGTCCCCTCAGTCCCAACCCCAAGCGTCACTGAGTCTTTCTAATCTTCCTTTTCTACAGATCTATCTGACCTCTCCCCTCCTGGCCAGGCTGAGGTAGGTCCCAATTCTTCCTCAGCCTCCGCTCCTCCACCCTATAATCCTTTTATCACCTCCCCTCCTCACACCCAGTCCGGCTTACAGTTTCGTTCCGTGTCTAGTCCTCCCCCACCTGCCCAGCAATTCACTGTTAAAAAGGTGGCTGAAGCTAAAGGCATAGTCAAGGTTAATGCTCCTTTTTATTTATCAGACCTCTCCCAAATCAGTGAGCATTTAGACTCTTTCATCAAATATGAAAAACCCAGCCCAGTTCATGACTCGTTTGGCAGCAACCCTGAGACACTTTACAGCCCTAGACCCTAAAAGGTCAAAAGGCCGTCTTATTCTCAAAATACATTTTATTACCCAATCTGCTCTTGACATTAAATAAAACTCCAAAAATTAAATTCCAGCCCTCAAACCACACAACAGGATTTAATTAACCTAGCCTTCAAGGTGTACAATAATAGAAAAAAGTTGCAATTCCTTGCCTCCACTGTGAGACAAACCCCAGACACATCTCCAGCACACAAGAACTTCCAAACGCTTGAACCGCAGCCACCAGGCGTTCCTCCAGAAGCTCCTCCCCCAGGAGCTTGCTACAAGTGCCAGAAATCTGGCCACCAGGCCAAGGAATGCCTGCAGCCCAGGATTCCTCCTAAGCCGCGTCCCATCTGTGCGGGACCCCACTGGAAATCGGACTGTCCCACTCACCTTGGCAGCCACTCCCAGAGCCCCTGGAACTCTGGCCCAAGGCTCTCTGACTCCTTCCCAGACCTTCTTGGCTTAGCAGCTGAAGACTGAAGCTGCCCGATCGCCTCAGAATCCCCCTAGACCATCACGGACGCCAAGCTTCGGGTAACTCTCACAGTGGAAGGTAAGTCCGTCCCCTTCTTAATCAATACGGAGGCTACCCACTCCACATTACCTTATTTTCAAGGGCCTGTTTCCCTTGCCTCCATAACTGTTGTGGGTATTGATGGCCAGGCTTCTAAACCTCTTAAAACTCCCCAACTCTGGTGCCAACTTAGACAATACTCTTTTAAGCGCTCCTTTTAGTTATCCCCACCTGCCCAGTTCCCTTATTAGGCCGAGACACTTTAACTAAATTATCTGCTTCCCTGACTATTCCTGGACTACAGCTACATCTCATTGCTGCCCTCTTCCCAATCCAAAGCCTCCTTTGCATCCTCCTCTTGTATTCCCCCACCTTAACCCACAAGTATAAGATACCTCTACTCCCTCCTTGGCGACCGATCATGCACCCCTTACCATCCCATTAAAACCTAATCACCCTTACCCGGCTCAATGCCAATATCCCATCCCACAGCATGCTTTGAAAGGATTAAAGCCTGCTATCACTCACCTGCTACAGCATGGCCTTTTAAAGCCTATAAACTCTCCTTATAATTTCCCCATTTTACCGGTCCTAAAACCAGACAAGCCTTACAAGTTAGTTCAGGATCTGCGCCTTATCAACCAAATTGTTTTGCCTATCCACCCCGTGGTGCCAAACCCATATACTCTCCTATCCTCAATACCTCCCTCCACAATCCATTATTCTGTTCTGGATCTCAAACATGCTTTCTTTACTATTCCTTTGCACCCTTAATCCCAGCCTCTCTTCGCTTTCACTTGGACTGACCCTGACACCCATCAAGCTCAGCAAATTACCTAGGCTGTACTGCCGCAAAGCTTCACAGACAGCCCCCATTACTTCAGTCAAGCCCAAATTTCTTCCTTATCTGTTACCTATCTCAGCATAATTCTCATAAAAACACACGCGCTGTCCCTGCTGATCGTGTCCGATTAATCTCCCAAACCTCAATCCCTTACAAAACAACAACTCCTTTCCGTCCTAGGCATGGTTAGTGCGGTCAGAGATCTTACACAAGAGCCAGGAAGGCACCCTGTAGCCTTTCTGTCCAAACAACTTGACCCTACTGTTTTAGGCTGGCCACCATGTCTCCTTGCAGCGGCTGCTGCCGCCCTAATACTTTTAGAGGCCCTCAAAATCACAAACTATGCTCAACTTACTCTCTACATTTCTCATAACTTCCAAAATCTATTTTCTTCCTCATACCTGATGCATATACTTTCTGTACCCCGGCTCCTTCAGCTGTACTTACTCTTTGTTAAGTCCCGCAATTACCATTGTTCCTGGCCCGGACTTCAATCCGGCCTCCCACATTATTCCTGATACCACACCTGACCCTCATGACTGCATCTCTCTGATCCACCTGCGTTCACCCCATTTCCCCACATTTCCTCCTTCCCTGTCTCTCACCCTGATCACACTTAGTTTATTGATGGCGGTTCCACCAGGCCTAATCTCCACACACCAGCAAAGGCAGGCTATGCTACAGTACCAGCCACTAGCCCGCCTCTTAGAACCTCTCATTTCCTTTCCATCGTGGAAATCTATCCTCAAGGAAATAACTTCTCAGTGTTCCATCTGCTATTCTACTACTCCTCAGGGATTATTCAGGCCCCCTCCCTTCCCTACACATCAAGCTCGAGGATTTGCCCCCACCCAGGACTGGCAAATTAGCTTTACTCAACATGCCCCGAGTCAGATAACTAAAATATCTCTTAGTCTAGGTAGACACTTTCACTATATAGGTAGAGTCCTTTCCTACAGGGTCTGAGAAGGCCACCGCAGTCATTTCTTCCCTTCTGTCAGACATAATTCCTCAGTTTAGCCTTCCCACCTCTATACAGTCTGATAACAGACCAGCCTTTATTAGTCAAATCAGCCAAGCAGTTTTTCAAGCTCTTAGTATTCAGTGAAACCTTTATATCCCTTACGGTCCTCAGTCTTCAGGAAAAGTAGAACAGACTAATGGTCTTTTAAAAACACACCTCACCAAGCTCAGCCACCAACTTAAAAAGGACTAGACAATACTTTTACCACTTTCCCTTCTCAGAAGTCAGACCTGTCCTCAGAATGCTACAGCGTACAGCCCATTTGAGCTCCTGTATGGATGCTCCTCTTTATTAGGCCCCAGTCTCATTCCAGACACCAGACTAACTTAGACTGTGCCCCAGAAAAACTTGTCATCCCTACCATCTTCTGTCTAGTCACACTCCTATTCACCGTTCTCAGCTACTCATACATGCCCTGCTCTTGTTTACACTGCCGGTTTACACTGTTTCTCCAAGTCATCACAGCTGATATCCCCTGGTGCTATCCCCAAACTGCCACTCTTAGCTCTTGAAGTAAATAAATAATCTTTACTGGCAAGGCTATGCTGAACCTCCTTAGGCACTCTCTAATTAGATGTCCCGGGTCCTCCCAATTCTTAGACCTTTAATACCTGTTTTTCTCCTTCTCTTATTCCGTTTAGTTTTTCAATTCATACAAAACCGTATCCAGGCCATCACCAATAATTCTAAATGAAAAATGTTTCTTCTAACAACCCCACAATATCACCCCTTACCACAAAATCTTCCTTCAGCTTAATCTCTCCCACTGTAGGTTCCCACGCCGCCCCTAATCCCGCTCAAAGCAGCCCTGAGAAACATCACCCATTATCTCTCCATATCACCCCCAAAAATTTTCGACATCCCAACACTTTACCACTATTTCGTTTTATTTTTCTTATTAATATAAGAAGACAGGAATGTCAGGCCTCTGAGCCCAAGCTAAGCCATCATATCCCCTGTGACCTGCACGTGCACATCCAGATGGCCGGTTCCTGCCTTAACTGATGACATTCCACCATAAAAGAAGTGAAAATGGCCTGTTCCTGCCTTAACTGATGACATCGTCTTGTGAAATTCCTTCTTCTGGCTCATCCTGGCTCAAAAGCTCCCCTACTGAGCACCTTGTGACCCCCACTCTGCCCGCCAGAGAACAACCCCCCTTTGAATGTAATTTTCCTTTACGTACCCAAATTCTATAAAACGGCCCCACCCCATCTCCCTTCGCTGACTCTCTTTTCGGACTCAACTCACCTGCACCCAGGTGAAATAAACAGCTTTATTGCTCACACAAAGCCTGTTTGGTGGTCTCTTCACACAGACGCGCATGAAACATATCAACTAAATGCACAGGGCTAATGTTGAAGGCGCTCTGAGGATTGGATGGTAGCAATGTATCAATGTTAATTTTCTGAAGGCTATACTATGGTTAGGAAGGACAGTGTTCTTGTTTGTAAAAAATACCATTCAAAGGTGATAGGACATTAGATCAGAAACTTACTCAGGAAAAGAACAGTCCTTTTGCTGTGCTTCCAACTGTTTTATAAGTTTGTGGCTATTTCAAAATTTAAAAAAAAAAAAGAAAGAAAGCAACTGTTCCAAGCAATGTAACTATCTTCAAGTACAATGTCAAATTTGTACATGCTAGCTAAGGTAATCAATTCCCTGCTCCCCCCAAGAAAACACAGTGAGGTATTTTCAGTTGCTGAATATCAAATGTTTATTCTTTGCCTTCTTACTACTGTTAAAATCTCTTTGATAAGTGGCTCCTCTTAAAACTGGATTTGATTTCACAGAAATTTTGTGAATTATTATTCATCTTGAGGTGTCCCATGCTGGGGATGAGGATGTGTCGAGGCACAGCTTGGACAACCAGGCCAGGTGGGCCACCATGAAGGTTCTCCTCCCCATACCCCACCCCACACACAGAAACCTGCAAACAACTCAGGGAACACCTGTGCAAAGCCAGTCAGGTTGTCCAAGTCAGCTGAAAACAGAACACCATACTAGATTCAAATTACAAGTTCAGTACTGTACTGTACACATCCAGCATTACACATGCTTAAGATAATATAAGTATGCATAATGACATATCGGGTCTCACTTGTAAACTATAAGCACACAGTTACAAAATGTTAAACTACAACATAATCCCAGTTTACCTAAAGTTACAAATGTTGTTGCATCGACATTGGCTGCTTCAGAAGCCTTGGGCATGCAGACAGGAAGTAGAGAAAATATTCCAGCTAAGAATAATCATATTCCACATATTTAAGAATCTTTCTAGCCAAATCATATTCTAAAGAAGGCTATCTTGAAGGGCCAGGGCCAATTTCCAGGCTGTGTGGTTTTTATGAGAGGGAATTGTGCCCTGACACATATGTGCTCTTCACAGATCCTGGAATTATGAATGCAGGTAGACCACTGTGATTCCCAGGGTGACTTCAGCCTCTGGGAGCAAGAATACCTAGTGGCCTCTGGCTCAGGGGAGTCTCTCAACCCTGGAATTCCACCCAGGTCTGGAGGGCTGCTCCAGGCTGATGGGGACCATTTTGACCTGTCAAGCCCAGAGGCACCATGGGTATAGTCTGACAGCAACCTATAGTAACTGCAGCTTTCAGGCTAAATGAATATTCTGCTCTACCCCATGAGAATGCTGGCCCATTAAAGATGATTTTGTTTGCAATTTTAATATGATCTACAAAAAGAACTAAACTTGTAATTAATAGCACCATGAAAACATAGATAATGGTAGAAAATAGGATAATAAAATAAATTTGCTTTCAATTCCGGGCAATGTTTCCTACCACTAACTTGAACAAAGTAAACCATTTTAACTGAATTTGAGAAAAGAACATGTCTTTCTGGAGCAAAAATATTCTTGTAGGGAGAATATAGGCAAATATATTCATTATGAATTTTATATACATATGTGTGTATATATGTATGCATAGATATATAAAACTATTGAGCAGCAGAGGAAAGAATGTAAGACATAGCTCTCTATTGAGAGTGGCTGTTGGGCTGTCAAGCAGTCATGTAGAAGTATTTTTAAAAAGAAAATTGAGGGCACAAGAAAGCATCTAAAGTCTTGGTAAAATGGTCAACTGGGGTTCAGCAATTGAAGGAGAGTACTGAGTATGTACTAATGTACAGTTCACATCAACATCTCAGAAATAAAATAGCTCCAGCTTTGAAGCATCTCCCTTGACTGATTAAAAGAGGAATTCTCATCCCTACAGAAAGAAGAGGTAGTATGATAGTGAAATGCGGACAGATGCTGGTCCTTGGCTGCTCATTTGCTTTGCAGATTCAGTACCCCTGGCATCTTTAAAACATTTTTCTTGTAAATGTGTTTGTTTTACTGGCTGATGCACTGCTAGGAGCAGATGTGGAGACAGGGATTCCACTCCCAGTGAGCACACAGGAGCTGGGCTTTCTCCAAAGCTGGTTGCAAGAGGGTGTTTGTTTTGAGAGGACTCGGCAGTACCAAGGCAGTCTGTTAAAATCCCCATTGACTGATACAGTCATTCTTCCAGATTGAACAAAACACCAGCAGAAGATGTATGTAGTTAAGTCAGACTCTCCGTGGTCCCGGAAATAAGAGAATCTTGCACTTCAAGTTGAGGAAAACTGGCCAACGTGCTTCATGCCTGGGTGCCAGAGTTCCATATTATAGGGTCACATCTGTAACAAAAATTCAGCATAAATTATCTAAATGCTCTCCATGTGCCAGTTCCCTACAAGAAGCTTTCCCCTCTCCATTGCCTTTCATACACACAAACACACACGTGCACACACACACACACACACACACTCACACACACACCATGCAAACTCATCTTTATGCTTCAACACCCAGCACCAGTTCCCCATTTCCAGAGAAGTTTAGCTCTCGACTCCTATAACAGACATTATCTAAACTCATCACTTTGAAACTGTCCACCTCTGATTGCAGCTGCTGCTGGGGCAGAAAGCGCTGCATGGGCTGACTGTTCTAGCACAACAGCCCCACTGCATTTCACTGCTTTTCTGCCTCCAGACTTTCTCTGAAGACTCATCCCAAGTAGGCTCATCCCAAGTAGAGGCACAGCTCAGAGATGAGGGAAAGCTAATGCCCTCCGCAGGCAACCCCAAATCAGTGAGGATGGAGCCAGTGGTTGCCATCCTTCAAGAGAATGATTCTGGGAGGCATCTGTACACTTCTCAGAGGTCCAATGAAGTCAGGCCTCTGTGGCCTGGAGCTGAGACCTTGATAATAATGCGCCCTTCATTTGCTTCTCCTTGTTGGCTGTCTCACTCTCCCTGCCCCCTCACCCCTTCTTCCTGGGATCACCTCCCAAATAAACTACTTGCACCCAAGTCCTTATGTCAGGTTCTGCTTGTGGGGATCCAAACAGCCAGAACACATTAAGCAAAGAGATTGAGAGATCATATATTTTTTAAACAGCAAAGTAATGAAACATAAGCTCTTTGCAAGTGTCAAAGCTAGGTATTAACTGTCTAGGGAACCAAAAGAGTCACTGAACACTTTGAGCATCAATTTCTGTCATCTAAAACATGAAATGTGAACTCAAGGATCCTTTTTAGCTCCCATCCCATGCTATAATTCCATGACAACGCAAGCTATGTGTGTCCCCTTTAGATAATCTGTAGCCACTGAGGGGTGGAAAAATGCAGTGGCTTCTGTCTCATTACACATCGCACATCATTCGAACCTCAAGGGCATAAGACATGAATTTTCCACAATGGAAGCTTCAAACTTTCTGGGTGCTCCTCAAACTTGGCAACTTTCAGTTTTCTGACTCTTAACAGAAAAGGTCAAATTTCCATGTTACTGAGACTTCTAAAGCCATCCAAGTTCTCTAAACTTGCACACTCTTTACCTCAAAATAACCAGATATCTTCATCAATTTCTCCTTCTTCCCTCTAGCAGTACCAGCACAGATCTCTCTTCCTAATCTCAGTCCAAAATTAGCATATATCTGTCCAAATTCCCCAGAGTGCCTCACTCAGTAACTCACACTTAACTGATGCTCAATAAACGCTCATTGAATGACTGAATGAACCCTTCAACAAAAAACACTTAGAATCATCCCAACTTTTGAAACATCAATGGGAAAATTGCCTTGATACTATGGTGGTTTATGAGCTGTTTGTGTGTTTAGTTTCAATAGTGGCTTACAAACCTATTGCTTGTTTGTTTTCAATATACTGCAGAAAATATAAATCTAGTTAAAAGTGAGAAATCCAGATTTTCACAGAAAATTCTAGAATTAGGCCTTGGAGATGTTTTCCTTTCCTTTAAAATTAAAAAAAAAAAAATTAACATTCCAGGCTTACTGTGAAGAAACCTCTTCCCTTCCCAAACCCCCAAATGGAGTCATACCTGTGAGTCTAGATTTTTTGGCTGTGTTCACTGCTCTCATGAACATGTATTCACCGTTAGGGTCGTGCACACTGGATGAATACTTCTGAAAGAAAAAGCCAGAAACATGCTTGGTCATCTTTTCTTCTCCATCTCTTTGTTTTTTGACTGTTTTCTATTCTTTGTTGAAGTGGTATGTGACAAAAACATGATAATGTGACTTAGGTTCCTGGCTTTAGGCTAAGTAGAAAAACAATATGAAAAGGGCTTTACATAAAAAGAGCTTTCTACTGAACTTTCTTCCTCGTTTTTGCCTTTATTGTTTCTTTCCCAGCAGACTTAGACCATGGGCGCTATCTCATTCTCTTCCTTCTTTATGTCTCTTTCCAAATTCCACTCTCCCACAGATATACACTGGCCAATGACCACACTGTGGATATACTTGAGTACTAGCATACTCGCGTAATATGCAGAGTGGTGTCAGTTCTTTGATTGAGAACCTGTAATGCAAGAGACCAAAAAGAATATCCCCCAGCACAGGGAGATTTTTGTTGTTGTCATTGTTGTTTATCTTTCTAAATAGCTCCTCAGTGGTTTTCTTTAAAAGCAAGGAGTCTAATAACCTACCATGTAAAAAAGTTGTCAATTTCCTTCTCAGCTACAATTGACACCTTAGAAGGCTTTCTTGCTGACTGTTTTTAACTTACCAGCTAAGCAAAACTTATAACTAATTGTTTCATCTCTGCCCTGCCTCTCAGGAACCTTGGATTCAAATTCGCAGCCCATGCATAATAATTTTTTAAAAATCAGAGTCATCTATTTTGATGTTTTAACCTTCCTCCTGACCTTTAGTCTTCTCTTGACCTCAATTTCCTCATCTAGTTTGAACAATAATAATAATAATGTAACTCTCTGTAAGCCATCAAGTCAAGTCCTCTTTGGAATGTGTGGGCTATAAAACAAATACATAAATTTCTGTTCCAAGTGATTAGTTTAATTAGTAGGTATGTCTTGGGGGGAAGGAATTGTCTCCCTGTTGGTCAAATTACTCTGACAAGAGCCATGTGTACTTTTGATGAGGAAATAATCACTGATGTGCATCTGTAAAGCAGATACAAGGAAAGATAGAAATCGCTTACCTTTTTTGTAAGCCAACAAATAAGTATGCATCCCAAAATGCAGACTACAACAAAGGCTGCACATCCTATGGGTAACCAGAACTTCAGCTGGCAACAAAGTTGTGATTCTGGATTGGAAAAAAAGGTATGTTAATGAAAAATTCTGCTGAACCACAAGTTCTCTTACCAAATTTAAAAGAGCTATTTAATCAAATGAAGCTTTTCTTTATTATAGTCATGAAATCCAGTAAGTGGGCAAGTTATTAGACTAACATCATCTCAGTATTATGGCAAGGATCCAGGAACTAAAACTTAAAAGATTATGCATATAATGTATTTACAAATGTGGTTAATAGAAAGGGCTTTTCTGCCTATATTTTTATAAAAGAGGTAATAGTAAAAGTAATGTTATAAAACTATGATTTTCAATCATCATACTTCATTCCACAAACACAGTGCAAAACCAAACCTTAAATCTTAGGTGAATAGAGATAATACCCATTATTAAGCCATAAGTTTAAGTATTTGTCTTAATGTTTTTCCTGATTTTTAATAGCATATGTGTTTAAAAGGCAATATGATCTATTTCTGACTTAGCAGTCTATGGGATTACATTGCATATTGCTGAATAATACTAATTATGATTAATAGTAAATCATCACCTGTATATCTTCATTATAAATGATTACCATCAACTGCATCTAAGTGAACTCCAACACAAAAGATATTTATTTGTCTAATTGATTTTATTAGTGAGAAAAGTTGTCAAAACATATATATACTCTTAAGTTTGGAAGATGAAAGCAATGTCTTACCATAAATATGCAAATATCCTCCTGTAAGAGTTACTTTAAAAGGAGGAGGATCAAAAATTGATAGGTTGCAGAAGTAATAGTTGGCATGAGAATGGTCCAAGTTGTATAGAAAAAAAGAGACACTGTTGTTGGATAACTGAGAATGGCAGAATTTCAGACTCTTAATGGACACTGTGTTTCCACTTCCTTTTGTCTTAGTGAGATCGCAGAGTATTTGCCCCCCTTTCAGCAACTGCATTTTAAATTGCTGGACAATGTCAGGATATTTGCATAAAATTTGTACACCTCCGTTGTGAAATATAAACATCTCATAATTGGCAGAACCATTGATTTCTCCTGCATAAAAAGAAAGAAAACAAAGCAAAAGTGACATTTTATAATGTTGCCCTAATAATTATATTTTAACATAAAAGCAATTTATTCAATGCATAAAGTCATCTCTGTTGCACCAAAATGAAACAGCTTCACATTCTCCCTCCACCCCTCAAGGAAGAACATAAGATAAAACTATGTCCTAGAGAAAAAAAAATCCTAACCAGAAACTTGCTTGTCATATGTGAATATAGAATATACTAAATATTAAATAATATATTTACATAGTGTGTATGAATCAAACTGGTATGGCCTCTGTCCTTTGGTAGCTTTCATATTGGAGGCAGATGGTAAAGGAATAAATATGTAGTAATGCAACATAATTTGTGATAGGAATGGAGTACTATTTAAATGAAGGTGGTAGAGTCAGGTGGGTTATAATTTTGATTATAGAATCAGAAAATGCCGCCTTGAGGAAGTGAGTTTTAAAATTGGAATTAAAGGATTAGTAGCACTTAGCTAAACAGAGAGATATGGGAAAAGTTGAAGTTTAGGAAAAACTTCATTTATTAGTAGGTATATCTTGGGGAGAAGGAATTGTCTACCTGTTGATCAAACTACTCTGACAAGAACCATGTGTACTTCTGATGAGTAAATAATCACTGATGTACATCAGTAAAGCAGATAAAAGGAAAGATAGAAATTGCTCACTTTGTAAAAGTACGAAGTAGTTTAAAAATGAATAATTGTATATATATTTTATATATGTATGTATATTACATATTATATATTAAAATATATGTATTATATGTATATGTATATTACAATATATAGAGACTATGTGTGTGTATATATACAAATAATTGTATACATATACATACATATATACACACATACATTATGTCCTCCTGCTAAAGAGTAAAAGAACAGACTAATCATTTTCAAATGACAGAAATGTATTTTCTCCAAACCTCATCCACTGAGAACTGAATCAAGGCCTGATAATAAAGATAAAGCCCCAGATTTTTGTTTACTTTTTCTCTCTCTTTCTTTTCTTTTCTTTTCTTTTCAGAGAAAAGGGTTTACTCTGTTCCCCAGGCTACAGTGCAGTGGCATGATCCTAGCTCGTTGTAGCCTCCACTTCCTTGACTCAAGGGTCCCTCCTGCCTCAGCCTCCCAAGAAGCTGGGAATACAGGCACACACCACCATATCTGGCTAACTTTGAAAAAGAAATTTTGTAGAGACAGGTCTTGCTATGTTGCCCAGGCTGGTCTTGAACTCCTGGCCTCAAGCAATCCTCCTGCCTCAGCCTCTTAAAGTGCTAGGATTACAGACGTGAACCACCATGCCCAGCCCCACTTTTTCATTTTCTGAAATAAATTTATGCTTATAGGAAGCCAAGGTTGTTTTTGCAAGCTACATGGGAATCACAGAAGGAAAAAACTGAAATCACCTTGGCCTGGTGGTTGCAGATTCTGAGTTATTAGACTATAAATTCAAACTGCTCATTGCCTTCTCTTTCTTTTTGTTTTATTTTCCTTTTTAATATGACAAATTTTCATGCTGAAATTGTTTGGGAAAATTATTAGTATGCTGGTTTTTTCCTAAGTTTTGAAATCTTGGTCTTTGTTTTTGAGAAAACTATGTAAGTGTAAAAAAATTTTAAGGAAAAAAATTACCTAGTTCTACAGTGAAATAGAAATACTATTTGTATATTTTTGCTCTTTATCTTGCAAAAACATACTTATTATTTATAGCAAACATGTTATTTTGTGTTCTGCTATTGTTATTTTATGTCATAAACATTTCATTTTTAGTCATCATAATTATCCTTTTTAATGACTATATTATTGGCCAAAATGTTAATCTATCATAATTTGTTAAAACTAAAATACTAACGTTGGATATTGGGATTATTTTCAGCATTTTGCTTTTATGTAAATATTATGACATTTGGTCAAAATGTTTAAAAGTTATAATACTATGTATTGCCATTTTGCTTTCTGAAATTTGTAACAGGATTAGCATTATGCAGGAGGGGCTATTTGTCACACCTCTACTTACACTAGTTGCCTTAATTTTATTTAAGATACACAATTACTTATTTTCTTAATGACCCTGGGCTTCAATTTATATTTTCCCTATATATCTTCAATTTGGGTGATTTGATTGTGAAAATAAGCACAAGTGTTCTAGTCTTCAGTTATAGCAGTCCCTATTATTCAAACTAATTCTCACGCCAAAACAACCAAAAATGTTGAACAAATGTCCAAAAATATTATTAAAAGCATTAAAGAATGACACAAAGGAGGAGAAATTACCAGGCTAAATTTGAAGAGAGAACCAGAACCCCGAGAGACAGGCAAAGCTTGGAAGCTGCTTTTACTCGGAAAGCATTGCTGTTCTTTCAAATTCAAACTTTTGTTTTTATGTCTCAACTCCCAGAATCTGCAGAGTGAGTGATCTAGCAGAAAACCCTCTCCCCAATAAATTGGGACCCCAAAGAGTTACATTCTTGGAGCACAGGTAAAGAAATAAACCAGACCTCATTCAGATTAGATGGTCCAGAAAAATCTTCTGGACTTCAATGGTTAGAAAACCTCAATCCTTGAATTTTCTTTAAGGAGATTTGCATTATTATTACCCTTCAGCTTTTGAAAGTAAAAATGCAAACTATTACAAGAAGAAAAGGTTTACATCCTAGGCCTCAAAAAATTTCATACAAATAATATTCACATTCAATGGCAAACACATCACAAAAATAATGAGACATACAAGAAAACAAGGGAACAACAGAAACAACAAACTACAAAAACAAACTCATGATTTATATACCTGAATTATCAGGTCCCCAAAATAAAGTAATTAAGCTTATTATGTTTAAGCAAATAAGAGAAAAACTTGTAATAATATCTGTAGTACACAGGAAAATTTAAGTCAACTAATTTGAAAAAGAACCTACAAGAATCGGCCAAAAAAATGCACTGAGATTTAAAACTCAATAGATAAGTTTAATATATATTAGACAGAGTTAAAGAGAAAATTGGTGAACCAGCAGATAGGTTGGAAAAATTAGTTAGAACCCAGTCACACTCCACAGATTCAAGAATCCCAACAATTCACAAGCATATTTTTTAAAAGTATGCACACCTAGATGTATCTTAGTGAAAATCCTAAAAGCAGCCAGAGAAAAGAGACTGATTACCTTCCAAGGAGCAACTATTAGACTGTTTCAACATCAACAATAAAAGCCCTGATACAGTGGAATTATAACATATACCTCCAATGTGCTAAAAGAAACATCTGTCAATATAGAGCACATTGTCTAGAAAGATAGTGAAGGTATATGTAATTTGAAACTTTTCTAAGTGAAGTATACATGTTTTGATTTCTTCCATAATTACTAAAAAATAGAAATAGTTAATATAATCTGAATTAGTATCACAAAATTCAGCCTAATGGTTTTGTCTAAAGAGGGAGAAAGAGTTGGAATCAGAAGGAAATAGGGGTGCTGACAGTCTTGTATTTCTTGACCTGTGGTGATTATGAGGGTAAGATAGTATGCTTTAGCATTATTCATTAAATTATACATTTTTTTCACTTTTCTATATGTATGTTTTGTTTTATAATAACAAGTATGTTTAAAAGCATACAGAAGGAAAATAATACTTGCTTCGTTTTAAAAACTGGAAGGAACAATATTATCCAGAGGCAAAGAAAAAAAAACTGTTGGCATGAGAACAGGTGCAGTCTACATTAGATTAAAACGTAGGGTATTTTGCTTGGGGCTTTATTTGTCTGACAGTAAAATATGTTGCCCCACTGTTGCTTTGATGCGTATGTCTCTACCGTCTGCTGCAGAAGATAAAATCAGTGGACGGGTTCTCAGTTCCTTTAGAAATGTTCACAAAAAATTTCCCAGAGACTTTAGAATGGCAGCAAGTAAACCACAATGATCTTGGAGCCAAAGCGTCTGTGGTCACCATGTATACACAGACATAGACGCATTGTCTTCTACTTCCGAAGATGATTTTCTCAGCAGATTTTTCCCCCATTGTGCCCGCACTGTGGCAAACACAAGAGGACATGAATGGTTGGCGGTGCAGTGTGGTGGAAGTGCATTGCAGTGGATCCCAAGGAAACCAGAGGCAAATTCTGGCTCTGCCACTAGCAAGGCTCTGTGGCTAGGGTACCCCTGTGGAATTCAGCCTCCTCATCCGTGAAATGAAGAAGTGAAACAAAAACATCTTAATGTTATTTCTAACACCTGCTTTCTCTGGATTCAGCATCAGAATATATCCAGATAAGACTGCAAACAACTGAGAGAGCTAATTCTTTGCTGTTGGGTAAGTCTTCCAAAGGGAAAACAATGTTCCTGTTAACCACTTTCTGTCTCAATATCATAATGGGCTATTCCAGAAAGTCAGAATAAATTAAAATAAAGGAGACTGTCTTTCTTGCCCACAAAAGTATTTAGGTAGGACCAGGAATGCCGTGCCTCAATTTTTCTTGAATGGCATGTTGAGAGTGTGTGCCACTGACATCAGCTGAAGATTTCAGAGTGTCATTTCTATTGGACACTCTTTTTTTTTTTTTTGAGATGGAGTCTTGTTCTGTCACCAGCAGGCTAGAGTGCAGTGGTGCAATCTCAGCTCACTGCAACCTCTGCCTCCTAGGTTCAAGCGATTCTGCTGCCTCAGCTTCCCAAGTAGCTGGGACTACAGTCACATGCCACCATGCTCAGCTAATTTTTGTATTTTTAGTAGAGACAGGGTTTCACCGTGTTGGCCAGGATGGTCTCCATCTCTTTACCTCACGATCCGCCCACCTTGGCCTCCCAAAGTGCTGGGATTATAAGCGTGAGCCACCGCACCTGGCCTGGACGCTCTTAATTACTCATTTTTTTATCTTTAACTTAAAAACTACCTGGATCGCCTATTTATTATGAAATGTAGTGATCAGAAGGCTGACTTAGGTTTCCACATATCCAGTGTTTAAACTTTCCATCTGGAAAACCGCTTGACAGCTCTAAGTCTGCAGTTCGAATGTTTTTAACTATAGCATTTAATTAATTATTTCATAACTATTTTGGCAGATATAGAACAGATATGCTTGCTATAGCTTGAATGTTTGTCCCCCTCTGACTGACACTCATATTGAAAATTAATCCCCAGTGTAATAGAATTGGGAGGTGGGGCCTTTAAGAGATGATTGGCAGAACCCCCATGAATAGCTTAATCCAATTCATGGGTTAATGGGTTAACAGATTAATAGGTTATCACAGGAGTGGGTTAATTATCATGAGAGTTAGTATGTTATAAACAGCCAGATTGGCTGTCTCTCAAGAACCTCCTCATCATGTAATCCTCTGTACTGCCTTGGGCCTCTGATGAGTGTCCCCACCAGAAAGAAGGCCCTCACCAGATTTCGCCCCTAGGCCTCAGCCTAGACCTAGGCCCCTAGACCCCTAGACTTAGGCCCCAGCCTCCAGAACTGTAAGAAATACATTTCTTTTCTTTATAAATTACCCAGTCTCCGGTATTCAGTGATAGCAACAGAAAATGGACTAAGACAATGCTCAAATGACAAATTACAAATTCTTCTTAGCCTTTGGTAACATTTGAAAATAGTATTAAAGGAGACTGCCCCTTATAACCATGACTAAAGCATTTAATGGATAGACAATTTAAGGAAGATCTGAATACGTTAGTTTCTTATAACTGCAAAAGCATCTAGGATCTTTTCTCCATCCTTCTTGGATGTTCTTATCTCCAAGTCTAATACTCAGCCTGGAATGCTGGTATGATAGATAGCACCACTTTTATAGATAGTGTCTGCTCTGATTGGTAAGGTGTCAAATCTATTTGGTCAATTCTGTTGCCATACCAGTAGTTAAAAATTGTCAGTGTTCCCCTTACCAATCTCTCTCTTCTTGTTCTTTCTTCCTTTTTCTCATGTTTGCCTTTTCTTCCCATACCACCTTTAATATAAAATCTTCTCCAAAACATCCTCTCTCATACTATCTTTGATATGCTCCTCATGCTTCCTAACATACCATTTCCATTGCTAATAAATTTCATCAACACTTCATGTTTCAGGCATCCTATAAATACCCTCAGCTTTACACTTTTTGTTTCCTGTAACATGATTCAACCTCTTCTCAGCATCATACACAGTCAGATCTGGTGACCTCTTTTGTGTACATACAGACAACTGAAGGCCCAGACAGATTAAATTATTTGCCCGAGGTCACACAGCTTCCTGGGTGCATGAAAGATTTTTGGTTCAATCCACAGTCAAAGTGTCACTAGCAACAATCAACAGAAGTATAATAGAAGCAGGCAACCACAGGAAGCTAGACAGTGGTCACTAACAACTGAGTGTTACAGGACCAGTGCTAAAAATCTGTGAGCAGGAAGAACGCCTAATTTCCAGCACCTCTGTTTTATGTCCAACAGAATCTATCCACTTCTCCTCCATCTCAGCTTCAACTGGTCCAAACCATTGTCATCTCTCTCTGGGACTACAAGAGCTTCTGCTTTTACTCCTGCCCATTTACAATCCATTCTCCACAGAGAAACCAGAATGACCTTCTTACATGCATAATCCAATAGAGTCATTGTTCTGCTTATAAAACCTCCAGGTGCTTCTCATTCCACTTACAGTAAAATCTAAGTTCTTACCCTGGTTTCCCATGACTTGCATGACCTCTCCTACCTCTCCCCATTTTATACCAGTCACACACTACACCACAGTCACACTGCCCTTCTTTCTGTTCCTCAAACACACAAAGCAGGTTCCCAGGGCTTTTAATTTCTCATTTCTCCACCTAGAACATTCTCTCTGATTTTCACATGGCTGCTTCTTTGTCATCGTTCAAGAGTAATGACACTTCTTCAGTGACCACTGGCCACCCAATCTAAAGAATATATCCAGGTCATTATCTAGTACATTAACTGACATAAAGCATTTATCACTGTCTGAAATTATCTGGTTTATCTGATTGTTTTCTTCTTTATTGTCTGGCTACTCCACTCTAAGCTTTAAAACCAGGGACCTTGTTGGTCTTATTCACAAATCCATCCCAAGTATCTACAATAATACCTGGTGTGTTGTAAGCTGCAATCAGTATTTATTGGATGGATGAAAGCATGGTTGGATGGGCGAACAAATGAATATATAGACGGTGACATTTTAAATCTGAGGAGATGAAGCACAGGATTTATAATATAAGAGCCAAAAGGGCTTCTAGAAATGACAAGTTAAACCTTTCATTTTGCATTTTCCATTTGCATTTATCAAATTAAACTAGAGCCAGAAAAGGTGACTATCTTGCCCAGGATTACATAGCTCATAGCTGGGGCATGATCCCAGAGTTAGCTATGCCATATTATTGCTTTTCTTCTGGAAACAAGTGTATGAAGATACACAATCATGCATACAAGACACTACCCCAACTGAGATGTCATGTTCTAATGGAAATTATCTGTCTGAGCTTTAAAGAAAAACTTTCTTTACCTTCAAATATCCACTGGGTTCATAAATACTTATTTAGACAGTTGATAATTCTCTTGGCTCTTATATGTCTGTGGAGGGCAGGACAACTTTGTTCCATCCAAGTGAGCAACAAACCTGGTTGCTCACTTGGATGTCCCAAAGCGCAGCCATTACATTTGCCCAATATATGACCAGGACAAGAACCCCTGGACCAATGGTTGTTCTAATATACCAAGATGTTTTATAAACACAGCATGTTAGTGGTTTGTGATATAAACATCATCTTATATCTTTTAGCACTTAATATGTTACTAAAATCACAAAAAGGAATATGTGGTCTTGGATCCTGGTGATGAGTCTTAAAATCTGAATATTAAACATGAGGTTTTGTTTTGCTACCATATCTGTTTACTTTTTATTGGAAACCCTAGATTATAATCAGTCTGGAGAACAGGTACTATATTTTCTTCATCACATAGAATACTGTGTCTAACAGGGCATATTCTTCCCAGTAGAGGCTCAAGACTGTTAACTGCTGCTAACAATAATTTTTATAGGCCGGGCGCAGTGACTCGCCCTGTAATCCCAGCACTTTGGGAGGCCGAGGCAGGAGGATCACGAGGTCAAGAGATTGAGACCATCCTGGCCAACATGGTGAAACTCCGTCTCTACTAATAATATAAAAATTAGCTGGGCGTGGTGGTGTGTGCCTGTAATCCCAGCTACTCAGGAGGCTGAGGCAGGAGAATCGCTTGAACCAGGGAGTCAGAGGTTGCAGTGAGCCGAGATTGCACCACTGCACTCCAGCCTGGCAACAGAGCAAGACTCCGTCTCAAAAAATAATAATAATAATAATTTTTATAATATTACTGTTGATATCAATAGACTAATGTTTTCAAGAGTAAAATAAAAATCTTTATATTAAGTGATCTCTTTAGGTTTTCAAAATTTATAAAGCACAAGAACATTTTCTTCTTCTTTTGGGGGACTATTAAGAAAATTTCTGAAGAAAAGGTCATTCACCTGAGAATTGCACTATAGTGCAGATGAGTTCATTTGCAAGTTGATGCTTTTAATATCTGGACTACTTCATTTCACCAGTATAAGATGCTCATGCCCAGACCCATCCTGCTGGGACTCTTTGCAAGCAGTTGTATTGTTCCTGGTTGAAAATCCTCTGGAGGAAACATTTAAAGAACCCACTCAGTGCAGAGCGTGCAAGATATCAGAAATGTAATTTTATTTTCTTTAACTCAGACTTCTAACCACAAACCTCCACAAAGGTCTCAGAGTGATGGAAAGATAAGATGTCCTGAGTTTGTAATCATTGATAGTGCTTATTAAACACATTTTCTGTAATCAAACAATGATAAGTGTTAGCTTAGCACAGCACATGAATGTGACACAAGAGGCAAAAGTCTAAAAATTGCAATGTTTATATTAGGTTTTAGTTATATTTGATGTTTTACTAAGAAATTCTGGCATTAAAAAAAAAAGTACTTCCTACCACTTTTCTCACCTTTCATAAAAGCAATGTCATGTCTTATGAGTCTACCAGCTAAAACCTTTAGATCCCTGGTTAGTAGATTTTTATATATGCATCATTTCTAAACTTACATTGCTATTCAAAGGCACCCATAATCTAAAGAAGTAATTGAGGCAAGGAAGGGAGGGAGGATAGACAAGATAAACCCAATCTAACCTAAATGCCTAACATTTGGAGAAAAAAAAAAGAAAGCAAAAAAAAAAAAATGGGAAGAAGAAAAGTGAGGAGAAAAAGCCAAAAGAGTGCTCATGAACACACACACAATGTGTGCATTGTTTTACTCTCCAAGGAACTCCATAGGGGGTACAAAACAACCCTTTGGTTCTCTAAGTGTGTATAATAAGAAAAATGAAAGATTGATTTTCTCCTAGTTAAAACTGATTTCTTCATGAAAAATGAAAAAATCCCAGTGGTATTATAAAACTTTGTATCAATATTCACAAAGCAATTAATTTACAAACAAGTTATTTTGTTAGTTACTTCATTGCCTTTGATTTGAAACTATTGTACTAGGGAAATCATATGAGATTAAATGAACCCAACTCTCTTCCACAGAGTGGGAGGGAGAGAGGATTTTATCCACACCTCTGAATACCCACATTGCTTGCCATTGCTCAGCTACTGTGCAAAACTCCTTGGGCACATGGACAGGGTGTTCACTGCCTGAACTCATTTGCACCTATGGCTCCAGCTCTCATGTCTACCCCCAGGAGCCCACATTTTCTCTCCAGCCCAAACTTCTAGTTCCTTGTTTCCAAATTCCTTTCAACATCACTATCTGGTTTTACCCTAACACATCATGTATAGCCTTTCCAAACTGAGCTCAGTACAGTCATGCGCTGCATAAATGACATGTTGGTCAACGATGGACTGTATATATGGTGGCGGTCCCATAAGATTATAATACAGAAATTTTTAATGTCCCTTTTATGTGTTTAGTTACACAAATATTTACCATTGTGCTACCATGGCCTGCAGTATTCAGTACAGTAACATGCTGTACAGGTTTGTAGCCTAGAAGCAATAGGCTACTCCACATAGCCTAGGTAGTGCAGTAGGCTCTGCCATCTAGTAGACATCATTGCGTCAGTACGCTCGATGATGTTCACACAACAAAATCACTAAGGACACATTTCTCAGAATGTATTCCCATCGTCAAGTGGCACGTGACTGTATTCATTCACCAAATCCAAACCCTGTCTTTTCAGGGAGTCACTAGTCTGACCCTAGGAACCTCAGAGTCTTCCTCATTTCTTCCTCTCTCTGATTTTCATCATCCAATTGGTCACCAAGTCCAGTTGACTCCAGCTCATGAATATCTCTTAAATTCAATTCTTTTTCTCCATTCCCATTGCCAATCCACACCTTTTTCATGTCTTCCCTTATCTGTGGAAGCATCCTCTTGACTGGCCTTCTCAATACTGATCTCTCTCCTCCCCATCCCTCCTCCATGCTGCTCCCAAAATTATGTTTCAGAAAAGCATTTCACTCCCCAGTTTAAAAGTCTCTATTAGTGTTCTATTGCTTATAAGGTGTTTTAAAATATATATATCTGGCTTGACACAAAATGCTTTCACAATCTCATAGGCCATCTATTGAAGCCACACTGAACTTTTTGGCCATTTCTTTCACACTTCTGTTCTTTACTACTAGAATATGCTTCACATTTCATTATTTCTGTTACCATGAACTAAAATATTTGATTACCCCTTAATCTGAGAAGAAATTCTCATTCACTCTTCAAGAACCATTTTAAATGTCAACTTCTCTCTTGAGATATTTATTTCCAAGACCACCAGACAAAGACTCTTATTTCTATGCTCCCAATAATACTTTGTTTAGGCCAGTATATTTTAGCACATAGCATCTTGGATCATAATTATTTTTGTCTGTCTTCCTCATTTAACCATGAGCTCCACAAAGATAAGGACTGCATTACAGTTGCCTAAAAAATCCCAGGACCTTGAACATAGTGGAAGCTCAATCATATTAAATAAAAGAATTAATATTAACAGAAGAATATAAAGGCTAAGCATGTTTGGTAAATATCTTTGTAATGGGCCAAGAAGAGGAGTGGGAAAAGGAGAGCAAAGATCCTATTTACTGAAGATTGGGAGATACTTATTTCCCAGTCAAAAAGAAAAGACTCACGGGAAAGGGAGACCCTCCTCTCCCAAACACACACTCTGACCGGAGAAGCTGAGCGTCTGTTTGTGGAGAAGTTTCCGACTTTATCTGGAGGTGAGTCAAGTTAGAGAGCCAAACGGAGCAAAATACAGGGGTAGAGGAAGCTGCAGAAAGGCTCTGGGAGCTCAATGGGTCCCCAAGCAGCCCATTCTTGCCAGGCACCACAGGGATCCATCTGGAGGGTGGCCAGAGGAGCAGGGTATAAAACTCCACAGGGAGAAGGAATTCTCTAGCTGAACTTTGTAACTATTTGAACAGGGCAAGAAGTCTCCTGGCCTGAACTGGGGGGAGGCCGTGAATCCAGCATGCAGATTTCACATGCAGGGGAAAAACTAAAGCCCTTTTCTTTCACAGCTGGGAGGCAGAAAGCCTCAGGCAAGTTTTCAAGCCAGTCTTGCCCTTTGCCTGGAAACAGACTTGGGGCGGTTAGAGGAGGCATGATTAGAGTGAGACCAGCCCTTCCGTTTGCATGGGATCTGGATGAGACCTGTGACTGCCGGTTTTCCCCCACTTCCCTGACAACCTGCATGACTCAGCAGAGGCAGCCATAATCCTCCTAGGTACACAACTCCAGTGACCTGGGAATCTCACCCACATCCCCCACAGCAGCCACAGCAAGACCTGCCCAAGGAGAGTCTGAGCTCAGACATGCCTAGCCCTGCCCTTCCCTACCCACCCTGGTTAGCAGAACACAAAGGGCATATAATCCTGGGAGTTCTAGGGCCCCACCCACCACCAGACCCTCTCTATACTATTACAGCTGATGCTTTCTGGAAAGCGCCACCTCCTGGCAGGAGGCCAACCAGCACAAAAATAGAGCATTAAACCACCAAAGCTAAAGGCCCTCATGGAGTCCATTGCACCCTTCGCCACCTCCACCAGAACAGCACTGGTATCCATGGCTGAGAGACCCATAGATGGTTCACATCACAGGAATCTGTGCAGACAACCCCCAATACCAGCCCAGAGCCGGGTAGATTTGCTGGGTGGCTAGACCCAGAAGAGAGACAACAATCACTGCAGTTTGGCTCACTGGAAGCCACATACATAGGAAAAGGGGAAAGTATGATATCAAGGGAACACTCCATGGGACAAAAAAAAAATCTGAAGAACAGCCTTCAGCCCTAGACCTCCCCTCTGACAGCACCTACCCAAATGAGAAGGAACCAGAAAACCAACTCTGGTAATATGACAAAACAAGGCTCTTCAACACCCCCAAAAAATCACACTAGTTCACCAGCAATGGATCCAAACCAAGAAGAAATTCTTCATCTACCTGAAAAAGAATTCAGGAGGTTAGTTATTAAGCTAATCGGGGAGGGACCAGAGAAAGGTGAAGCCCAATGCAAGGAAATGCAAAAAATGATACAAGAAGTGAAGGCAGAAATATTCAAGGAAATAGATAGCTTAAAGAAAAAACAATAAAAATTTCAGGAAACTTTGGACACAATTTTAGAAAGGTGAAATGCTCTGGAAAGTCTCAGCAATAGAATTGAACAACTAGAAGAAAGAAATTCAGAGCTTGAAGACAAGGTCTTCGAATTAACCCAGTCCAACAAAAACAAAGAAAAAAGAATAAGATAATTTGACACCAGGGTACACACACTTACTTAATCTCTTCACCTAATAATCTAGTCCAATCCTCTCATTGTACAGAAACTAAAGCATCAGAGCTAAAGAGATTTGCTACGAAATAAAAAAACAAAAAGAAGCTTTTAACATTAAGCTAGATATGAAAATGAATTTCAGGTATTTATTTTCCTTCTAGGTATATTGGATATATTATCACCTTAATACTTAAAGTAGTATTCACATTGGTGCCACATATGTGTTCTGTGATTGAAAGGGTTATTATATATCAAAAAATTATTTTAAAGTGACTTAGATATGAAATTACATTGTACATAACACACTCATTTCCCTAGACATTTTCATTCATCAGCCATCATGTATTAAGCTGGGCTGTCATTGTACCTGGGTTCTTCTCTGATGAAGTCTAAATTCTTAATGATTTTCCCATCACTTATCTGCCTGTAGAAATGTACAGAAATGGATTCACATATAGAAGTAAATTTCATCATAATTAAATAAGTGCAAATAGGCACATCTATGAGATTTTTGCATTAGTCCTAGATAGTGCAAAGTAAACAGAACTTTAACTGTGAGTGCAGTAGACAGCTTGTTGTTGTTATTGTTGTTTTTGCATGTACAGATTCTTTGTTGCAAAGTCCTAGAAGAACACAAATACAGGCTGTAAAAAAAATCTATTTATCAAATTCAAAAAAGTTACCTTTAAATGATCATTAATTGCTTATTGAAAGTGCTGTGTCTGTGTCAACATGACTCAAATAAACAGATCCTAACAACACTCGTGGTCAACTGGATGGAAACTCCTGGTCTATCACCCTATTTGGGGACAACGTGTTTCTTTTTTTTCCTCAAGCAAAGTAGATACAAGCATCATTATGTTATACATGAACCAGAAGGAAGTTCATATCCCCAGTTTCTGACTCTCTAAACTTGCAAATCTTTACCTGTTTTGGTCAACCTTACAGGCCAAACTATTGAAAAAAAAAATCATTTCTTGACTAACACTTTCAATTTGTGTGACATATCCCCTACATACTTAAGTTCCACTTTCCAAAATATAATTGTGAATTTTTATAAGGTTTCAAATGCCATGTTTTTTTCACTTTGAATGACCAAAAAGTGCCATTTGACAGACCTAGTTTATTAGAACAGCAGTAGTACTGAGATGCCATTTACAGAGAAATTGTGATCTTTTCTTCAGTTATTGCAAGCTACAAATGATTTTAAAACTCATTTTTAAAAATTTGCAAAGCCCAGTAAGTCATTTTGCATATAAAACTCAATATTCTTAGAGTAGGGAAGCAGTATATGTTGTAGATTTTGCTGTTTACAACTGTGAATACTGGGATGAATTTTTTTAAGCCAAATAATGCTATGAATCTTACAGTGAGTAAATATAAGAATTTCAGTCCCCCCTACATGCCTGCATTTTGTTTCTACCAAGAAATGGGAATATGCTACTAGTAACTTAAAACTGAAATATCCATTTCATCTGAAGGAGTTGTGGTTAACAAGCAACAGCAAGTTGTGAAAGCCATTTTGTTCACAAATGATGAAAAAATAAGGGACTCAAGATCTTACATAAGAATAAGAGACATTTCTAGAAAGAGTGGGGAAAAACAGCATAAGGTATGATTAAACAAATACTAGGAAAAAAATGACTGAAATGAAGAATAAAGCTTGAGTCTAGAGATTGAAAACTTTCACCCAGTCTTAAAAAAAATAATAATAAATTAATAGAACAGCGGGGCGCGGTGGCTCACGCCTGTAATCCCAGCACTTTGGGAGGCGGAGGCGGAGGCGGAGGTGGGCGGATCACGAGGTCAGGAAATTGAGACCATCCTGGCTAACACGGTGAAACCCCGTCTCTACGAAAAATACAAAAAAATTAGCCAGGCGTGGTGGCGGGTGCCTGTAGTCTCACCTACTTGGGAGGCTGAGGCAGGAGAATCGCTTCAACCCGGGAGGTGGAGGTTGCAGTAAGCCGAGATTGCGCCACTGCACTCCAGCCTGGGCGACAGAGTGAGACTCCGCCTCAAAAAAAAAATTAATAGAAACACACAGAAAGAGAAACAGAGGGAGAGAGTTACACATATCCTGGAGGAATTCCTGAATTCCAATACTGAAGTAAATAGCTTTCAAGATTATGAAATTCTAGAGTTTTTTTTTTTTTTACAAAGGAATGAGAGTTAGACTACCATCAAACTCTTCACCCACAACCCTAGAAGCCAGCAGACAGTGGAGGAATATCTGCAACCACTAAGAAGAAAGGCTGCCATCCAGGACTCCTATTCCCAGGAAAGATATCAGTCACTCATCAAGGTAAAAGGAAGACACCCTTACCTGTACTGGAATTCAGAGAGTTGGGGGTATTTAACGAAAATAAGAGAAGTCTTCTGATCATTAGATTAGAACAGAGATCACAAGACAGGAGCAGATGTCCAGAATGATGTTGTCATTGAACGTATGTGATGTAAGTGTTAAGAAAGGATTCTTGAAACAGAAGAGAAATACTGTAAGAGGAAACCTAGCAATGATCTGCAACTGTAAGTTTTAAATTATTTCCACAAAACCCACGTATGGAGCAGGGTGCACTGTCTGGGGGAAGTGTGAGAGTGGGAAAGGAAGAACATTCTTAAGTTCTCATATCAGTGCAGGGGATGGGGACTAGGCACATCAGACAAAGGCATTTTCATTATTTTCATACAATGATAAACAAGTAGACATTCAATTAAGATTCTTTGAACATGTCAATTACTTAGTAAATTAAGAACTGTAGTCGACCTTCCAAATTAACCGGAGGCAAAGAGGAGAGTCAAAAGAAATTTCATCACACCAACAAAAATAAAAGAGAAAAAGAGGATACAACAAAGAAAAATAAGTAGTAAATAAACATAGAAATAAAATCAAGTAGAGGCTTATGCTGACTGGGAATGGCCTGAATTCATCTATCAAAAGAAAAAATTGACAACTGGGATTTTTGTTAAATCTAACAAGAACACTCTGGAAGGGGGTGCTGTCAGGAGATGACATTTACTCAGTCGTGGAGAGGCTAAGAGGGGCTCCAAGGTCAGTCATCTTCACAGACTTCTCTCAGACGCTGGAGACACTGAGGGGCTCTTTTCCCAAGTGGAATTCAGGAGTCACTAATGGAATGCCTCAGTGACAAAGGAAGGCTCAAAGTGGCCTTGAGGGCTATCCTCCCAGCTTCCTCACAGAACACATCATAATACATGCACGTTTATTAGACACCCTCTGCCATCAGCCCTTCCCAATCTGGTGTATTATCCACACTGCTTTTAAAGTAGTCTTTCTAAAACCAGAATTTGTCCCATCACTCATATGGTCCCTGTTGCCTATAAGGTCTACAAAGAGGGTCTTCAAAATGTAGTTAGACATTCACATTTTTCGTAGATATTTTTATAATTAAAAGTGTCCTATTGCTCCAAGTTCATTAAAAAAAAACAAGACTTTGTTAAATTCTACATTGAGATCCATCAAAGACTAGAAATCAGCAAGATTCCCATCCTTCTTAATTCACAACCAAATAACAAAGGTGATCAGAATCATTGAGATTTACGTTCCTTTAGATTTATGTTACACCTCCACTACTTCAACACAGTTTAGAAAGAATGTAGATGTTGGAGTCACATTAGAGTTCTAACTTTGGTTCTGCCACCAACTACTGTGTAACAAATCACTTAACCTTTCCTGGTTGGAAATTCTTCAAACACTGACTAAAGGTAAGAATGCCTACATCTTCATGGCATGAGAAAGCCTATGTAAATTGGGAGGATTGAAAATACAACAGAGGACAAGCAAGTACTTAGTTTACTTGAGTTTGGCTCTTTTTCTTTAGAGCTTTTACATGGCAGTTTCTGGATACATGCATTGTGGAGATATTTTAAATAGGATCATTGCTAGCAGATTTATTGTTACCATTTAGCCACTCGTGCCTCAGGTTTGCCACATGCCAAACAGCATGCCACATCTCATGGCTTTCTTTATAATGAGAGTGAACATTGGTTGTATTCATTTAGAATCTACGATGAATATTGTTCCAGAATACAAATTATTCGTCAGCTTAATCTGGAAACTTAAAACAATCCTACCTAAGGCTGGATCTCACCTTCCACAGAATTGACACCGATGCTACTTTAATTCTCCTGAGCATAATACCACAACCAGAACTGCCCAAATTGGTTTGGCCTAGTTGAATGATTTTTATCAATACAAACAAACCCTTCCACGAATGGTACCAACGTTCTTGGAAGAATATCCAAAATCTGGAACATAGACTATATGGTCTGAATGGTCTGGCCTCTACTTTCCTTTCCAGCCTCACCTTGGACCAACTTGGACCAGTTGGTCATCTTGGACCAAGCTCAGCCTCTTCCCTCTTTGTGCTCAGGCACATCTGTCTGCTTTCTTCTAGTTCCCTAACCTTACCTCATTCCTTCCTGCCACAGGCTCTTTGCACTTGTTCCTTCCATGGTATGGAACGTTCTTCCCTACCTTCATACCGTTCTCCCCATTGATTGCTACCTTGTCCTTGAAATCTCCGCTCAAGTGCCACTTGCACAGGAAAGACTTCAATGAACCCTGCTCCTCAGCTACACCTCCACACCCACCCAGTCTAGTCAAGCTCCTTGTTACATTCCCTCATATAATTGAGTTTTGCCTGTAATTATCATTAATCAATGGGATTATTTGATTAATATATCTCTCTCTACCATGCAGTTACCTTCCAAAGAACAGGGGTTGACCTGGTTTTGCTCATCCTTGTACATACACCATCTGGCACAGTACCTGCTACCAGGCAGGTGCTCAATGCTACATGAGTAAATGGATGAATGAAGAATGAATATAAATTCCAAAGCTGCTCATGTCATTCATGCCGCTAAAGGACTTCATGAGATTCTAGAAAAGGCATAAACCAGCAAGTAGCCCAAAACTGTCCTTGTGCTCATTCTACATTCCTCAATCCTCTTAACTGCACTTAACTCACTTTGAGCCAGCACAAGATGAAACATTTGATCAATTTGATTTCATTTTTTTTTCATTTTTTGTAAGAACAGTAAGGTCTATTTTTTTGCCACTGAAAAAATGTATCCCTAGATAGGATCATACCTACTAAAAGTTCTGCCTTCACTTTTAGTTTATTTGATTATTTAAGTTATTTAATATTACTTAACTTTCCTTTTTTCAACCTCAAGAATAGGGCTCAGTGTGAAAGAGAAAACAAAAGTAGTACAAATTATATACAGTAAAAAGCAGCAGAAACACGTGTATTAACTTACATTGTATGTAGCATTATTTAAATTGTCCATATAGAGTCTGCTATATGCCATTCAAGAGAAGGAATCAGGGACTCCAGAATGATCTTTTTTGTAAGGTCTACAGGGGCTAGGAAGTATTTTTACATTATCCTTTCCTCCTTGGCTTTTTAGGGTGAACTCTGATACTTAGTGTCAATAAAAACTCTATGGTGCCCTGGACATTTCAGATAACAGATCATCCAGGTAAGATTAAAATCAAAATCCTTCTTTTCAAAGACTTCCCATTTTATTTTCTACCACAGAAAGAATTCCCAGTCCAAATGCCAGAGCTATTTAATTTTCATTCTGTTGACACAAGTCATTTTGCCTTTCATCTTTCTCTAAGAACAGTAAGCCACTCTGCTAGTTTATCCACTGACAGGTAACTCCAAGCAGGTAATTTAAAAATTTAATGGTCTGATGAAACATGTTTTTCATCTCAAGACACAGTATCAAAGGCAGCAATGCAAACTCAATGCCATCCACAGTGACATGAGTGACATGGTGCCCTTGGCCATATCCTGAAACTATTCCTACTTTCAAAAACCAAAACCACTGTCTTTTGGGTGCGTAATTTTTCTACCTTTGCTTTTTCTTAATGTTTACTTGAATTATAACTTAATAAGAAATATTCAATACACCACTTACCTGTTAAAACTTTAATGCGCAAGCAGAAGAGAAAGAAATACCAGAGGCCTGACTTCATGTTTGCCAGAAACAGTTAACAGTCCTCGCGTTCAGTGTTCAAAGCTGACAGTGAATTCAGGCTCTCGGTTGTTTTCTATTTGCTGGAAAGGAAGTGGGTTTTCTGGGAGTTTATGTAGTGTCACGCTTACCATCAAATCAAGGGGGTGTTTCTTCTTTGATGCCAATGGCTATATGAAAGGCATTATTGCTTATGACATGAGTTAAACAATGCATGGATTATTGATGATTTTGAAGACAGAGGAAAACATTACCCTTATTCTGGTTCCTATAAAACAAGTTAAAGAGATTATGCCTGTATTTTTCAGAACCACCCTACTTCTCTGAATCAATAGTTATGGGGGTTAACAGGACCTAAAAATACTCACATGATGAATAAAACATATATTTTGACACATTTCTATCTTATGCTAGGTGCTCCAGAGATAAGAAAGCCTTTGAAATAGGACAAGAAACAAACAAAATTATTATAGAAATTGAAGTGAAAAGATCTGAAAGAAGAGCATCATAGGAATCTGAGAAATGATATTTATGTGGCATTCATTGTAGATTGCAATGTTTCAAATGATGGGGTCAGTTTTAAACTAACTTAAACCCTGCTCCTCATATTACAGCAGAGTCTGTAGGAACCAGGGATTCCTCACCTACGGCTCAGTGAGACCAAGAATGTTTAAAAGCCTGCCGTGGTCTCCCCATCCCTGCAGGGAGGTAAAGTAGACAATAACAACAATAACAATAATAATTACATAGATAATTATATGTATATGTACTTAAATGTTTTATATGAAATAATATATCTTAATGCAAAATGTAAAAAATTAAATGTAATATATTTTATATATAAAATATACCTATTTTTATATATGAATATAGCTAATATTACATTTATATTATGTTTTATATGCATGTAAATGGTTACTGTTTGTATATATATTTACATTATAACTATAGTTTATACATACATTAACTCATTTAATCTTCTTAATCATCCCAATGGTGACCACTAATCTCCCATTTTACAGATGAGGAAAACTGAGGCACAGACAGGTAACGAACCTGGCCCAAGTCATATAGTAAGTGTCAGTGCTATGATTTAGAGAGTCTGGCTCCAGAGTCCTCACTCTTAACCGAAGCAGGTAGAACCACCAATACCAAGGCCTGCTGATCCCTCCATCCAGAAGTCTGAACGCGCTTCCAAGATGCTAGATCCAGGCTGGACTTCCCTTAGCCTGCAGAAATGACATTTAGATGAGAAGCTGAAATCAGCTGGCCAGGGAAACCAAGGTGTGAGTCCAAAAGGTCCAGGCTCTGAAACAGATTCCAGGTTTGGGGCTTTAGGCCAGCCACTAGGAATGCCAGACCACAGCCAAGGGGTCTGCAAGGTAAGGAGGAGGCTGATCCTGCAGGGATCCCCCTAGCTGCTGAAGCTTCCCCTAGCTACCTTCTGTAGGGCTCCTGGGTCTCAGCAGTGGGTGTGAAGGAAGCTGTTTGAGGGACTGAGCTAGCCTGAGAAGTAGAGCCTGGGCTGCCAGGACCCCTGGGACCTTGCTACCCCAATCTCCTCCCTTTTCACTGTACTCCCCGTAGCATCATGAGGAAAGGCTTCCAGCCCCACCGGCACTGTGCTAGAGTCCTTTCCCAGCACACAGGCAGGCAGTGGAGAACAATTGACTTCTTCCAACCTAGGTGAGGCCTAGCTCTGGAACTGAGTATGGGGAACTTTAACTTCACTTGAGAAAAGCTGTCATAAGTTCTAGAGCTCAGGGCTGTTGCACAGAGAAAAATACAAAGCAGAAACCTAATAATAAATATGCAATGAGGACATAGTGTGTGCCAGACACGGGGCTCCACGTGCATTGTCTGATCCCGTTCTCAAACAACTCAGCGAGGGAGAGTCTGTTACTTATTCTCATTTCATAGATGAGAAAACTGAGAGTTAGAGAGATTCAGTCATTTGCCCGGAGTCACAGAGCTGATGAGCAACGGAGCCTGTTCAAATCCAGACAGTGAAACTCTGGATTCCAAACTCTTAACTACCCCACCACACTCACACACTTATCCTCATTTATTTGGCTAGAAATTACTGGAAGCATTACTTTTTTTGGTCTCCTATTTTCATGGTGGAAGGATACTTAGGTCCTAGAGGAAATTCCAAGATAATTTGAATGCAAAAAAAGATGTCCTGGTCAATTGGAGGTGTAATGTTTCTACCTCAAGGGGAGAAAAGTTGCACAAGTTATGGTTAAATTCAGCTTTAGTTCAACTGGATATGTGTGGTTTTGTTTGATATGTATCTCTTTGCTTTTTCCCAACCCTCTCGCTTCTCAGTTTGTCAGACACTGGGTGGTAAATTGATCCGATAGTGGAGAAGAGCTCACTTCTATGTAAACAATGTTTTATGTCAAAGTCCTGTTTCAATGATCCTTCCCATGCCTCGCCTTCTCAAAAATCTTGGTCAAGAATACAAGTACTTGTGGTTTAAAATATTCAGAACTGCTTTCACGTGCCTGGAAAATTAACTGGGCAAAAATTTCCATTCACCTCACAGGAAGTGCTTTTAGTTTGCTTTTAATTTTTTTTCATTCCATGACTTAAGATGGTTTTGATTTGTGTATGCAGACGCCTGGGGTGAGGGTGGGGCATGGAAAGTTGGTTACATTAAAAGTGTTTTTTATTTCTTGCCTCCTGGGCACCAGAGTTCATCATGCAGCATGCTTGCTTTTCTGAAGGGCCGTAGGTGAATGTCTTTCTTTTGCTTTGCTTGCAACTTACTGAAAGCAACATTTGTCTGAGTAGAGGAGCTCAGACACCAGCATGGTTGAGTCCAAGCAATAGGGTTAGAAAGTAACCCCCAAATATCTAGGCTTCACCTAAGCTTGGTTTGCCATTCTGAAAGGGACAAGCATCAAAAGTGAGAGGTCCTTCCTAATCACAATTGCTTCAACTCCTACCTTGCCTATACTGTTGAGTGGTACCACCAACCAGCCTTCTCCCTTTTCCTGCTGATTCACCGATAAACCCCAATTACTCTACTTCCTAACTGTCTCTCAAGTATTTTTTCCTCCTCGCTTGCCAAGGTCACTGACTTAGATCAGGCCTCTGTCATTTCTATTCCCACCCTTGTCCCATTTTGGTCTGTCTTCATGCTACAACCAGAGTAATCTTTGTAAAATGTAAATAGAATTCATCTGTGTCCCCGCCCCACCCAGGATCCTCCACTGGCTTCCTCTCTTAGGTAAGGCCCACACCCCTTCAAGATTCCTTATGAAGGGCAACTCCTTCCCCAGTTCGGCCTCATCTCTTGCCACATTTGTTCTTTCTTCCTTCTGTACCAAATGTTTCCATCACGTTGAATGACATGAAGTTCTCCAAATTCCCCAAACTAACTCTTCCTTCTACTGCCAGGAGCCATCATTTTGTCTGTGCTTCCCCTCCTCACCACTCTAGCCTACCTTCTTTGGCAGATATTCCACCATTCTTCAGGCCTTTGCTTCCATACCCATCGATTCATCAAAGACATCAAACCAATGTCATTCACTCCCAACCACCCCCATAACTAGTGTCCATTTAGTGGCTTTTCTGCAACCTCCCAATGCTCCTCTGTGTCCCCCATCCTAGAAATCATTATGTTATCGGTGGAAGGTATCTTAGTTACCAGCAGAAAATCTGTACAGGTCTGCAGCAACCTCATTTCTTGCCTCTTCAGAACAAAGAATTTGACTGAGAAGCATAAGGCAGAAATACAGACCGAGGCAAGTTTCAGAGCAGGAATAGAAGTTTATTTTAAAAAGCTTTAGAACAGAAAAAAGGAGCATGTGCTTGGAAGAGGCCCAAGGTCAAGTGTGGTGTTTAACCTTGATTTTAGGACTTTATAGGCTGGCCTCTTTCACAGGATTCTTCCCTTAGGGTGGGCTGCCCGCATGTGCAGTGCCCTCCTTACCCTTAGGAGGTGAGCACATGCAGTGTGTTTAGGAAACTGTACGTGTGCTCATCTGAGGCTTTCTTCCCTTTTCTGGTGGTGTGCCTCCAGAGGCCATTTTGTCTCTTAATGCGCAGGCCCAGGAAGTTGCTTCTACCTGGTACCCGCATTCAATTAACACTTTAGTGCAACAGGTGTGGACCATCAGGAAATGACCTCTCCCTGGCACCAGCTGCCAATTTATCACTTTTAGAGAGGCAATGTGATAATTGCCAAACCATCACCCAGCATTCCTATGAGTGGGGGAAGAGCCCTCTCCTGCCCAGCTCATGCTTGTCTAGCTACCTGTAACAATTGTAACAATTATACCACTGTAATGGCCTGTTTGCTTTCCAACAGCTTCTACTAAACTGTGAGAAACATCAGAACAAGAACTGAAGATGTCTTCGGGTTTTTTTGTTACTGTTTGTTTGAGACGGAGTCTCACTCTGTCACCACGCTGGACTGCGGTGGCAACCTCTCAGCTCGCTGCAACCTCCACCTCCCGAGTTCAAGCGATTCTCCTGCCTCAGCCTCCCGAGTAGCTGGGGCTACAGGTGCATGCCATCATGCCCAGCTAATTTCTGTATTTTTAGTAGAGACGGGGTTTCACCATGTTGGCCAGGATAGTCTCGATCTCTTGACCTTGTGATCTGCCCGCCTCAGCCTAAAGATGCCTTCTTTGCAAGTATGTTTGCAATGCTCCACAACTATTTATTGAATGAACAAGTGTTTGAAGAATCCTTGACTTTTGGAGGAACCATATGACCTTGGGAATGCTCACCAATGACAATTTTTCACTCTGAATCATAATGTGAGAGCAGAAAATTATCAAAACATGTTTGTATTTCACATTGAAATTAATTGAATAAATATATAATTCATCATCCTGATTCATCTCTCATCACTTGCCCATCTCTAATCATAAAACAAAAGTATATTCCATTTTGACAGCCAAATATTTTCTCATTTAAAGTTATTAATTAATCCATAAAGCCCAGAAAACTGATTATATATTTCCATGAGGGGTGAAAAAAATCAGCATGAGATGTGACTGCCAAATGGTATGATTGATATTTTTAACAAATATACTGCCACTTATTCATGTTGGCCTTCATTCCAATGATAGTATATTCCTCAAAACATAAGTAAGGCACCTCTCTGGATCCCATTCCTTCCAGCCTCTGCAGAGTTCAGGCTCCCTTAGTTCTGTCTTTGGCTCCTGAGTTACCATTCTACAGTTCTGTATTCATCTGTTCTCACACTGCTATGAAGAAATACCTGAGACTGAGTAATTTACAAAGATAAGACATTTACTTGACACACAGTTCCGCATGGCTTGGGAGGTCTAAGGAAACTTACACTCATGGCAGAAGGCACCTCTTCATAGGGCAGCAGCAGAGAGAATGAGTGCCAGCAAGGGAAATGCCAGATGCTTATAAAACCATCAGATCTCATGAGAACTCACTCACTATCATGAGAACAACGTGGGGGAAACCACCCTCATGATTCAATTACCTCCCATCACGTCTTTCCCATGACACATGGGGATTCTGGGGATTACAATTCAAGATGAGATTTGGGTGGGGATACAGCCAAACCATACAGCCAAACCTGCCCCTGGCCCCTCCCAAATCTCATGTCCTTACATTTCAAAACACCATCATGTCTTCCCAACAGTCCCCCAAAGTCTTAGCTCATTCCAGCATTAACCCAAAAGTCCAAGTCCAAAGTCGCATCTGAAACAAGGCAAGTCCCTTCCACCTATGAGCCTGTAAAGTCAAAAGCAAGTTACTTACTTCCTACATACAATGGGAGTGGTATGGTTTGGCTGTGTACCCACCCAAATCTCACCTTGAATTGTAATAATTCCCATGTGTCAAGGGCAGGGCCAGGTGGAGATAACTGAATTGTGGGGGTGGTTTCCCCCATACTGTTCTCATGGTAGTGAATAAGTCTCATGAGATCTGATGGTTTTATAAATAGGAGTTCCCCTGCACAAGCCCTCCTGCCACCATGTAAGACATGCCTTCACTTCTCCTTTGCCTTCCGCCACGATTGTGAGGCCTTCCCAGCCATGTGGAACTGTGAGTCCATTAAACCTCTTTCCTTTATAAATTACGCAGTCTCAGGAATGTCTTTAGTAGCAATGTGAGAACAGACGAATACAGGAGGTACATGCATTGGGTAAATACACGCATTCCAAATGGGAGAAATTGGCCAAAATGAAGGGGCTACAGGCCCCATGCAAGTCCGAAATCCAATAGGGCAGTCACTAAACCTTAAAGTTCTGAAATGATCTCCTTTGATTCCATGTCTCATATCCATGAGGTGGGCTTATAAGACCATCAGATCTCATGAGAATTCACTCACTATCGTGAGAACAGCATAAGGGAAACTGCCCCCACGATTCAATTATCTCCCACTTGGTCCCTCCTATGACCCATGGGATTAAGGAGATTACAGTTCAAGATGAGATTTGCGTGGGGCACAGCCAAACCATGCCACGTTGCTTCTCTACAGTTTATAACCAGCTAGAATCACACACATACACACACACACACACACACACACACACACAGCTTCAGCTGTACATTGCCGCTAGGGAATATGAATCCAGTGTAACCATCTCTTCTGATTTTTTCCAAAGACACATGAAATTCTAGTCTTTGTGGGAAACATCCCCATTTTTAAATTTTGGAGCTTATTCAAAAAGTTTAAAATACACCATGAGCCAACATTATAGGAAGCAAACAAAACATATCTAAAGATCCAGTTTGGCCCATGGACTATTCATTTTTAACTTCTGCTTTAAAGGATGACACTCAATTGGCAGTACATACATACATATATATATATATGCACATAAAATTCAAAGACCTTTGTTTTAGACCTGACTCTGTCACTTACCAACTGTGTGGTCTTGAGAAAGATGCCTAACCTCTCTGAGCGAAAGTTCACTCATTTGTAATCACAGAGGATCCTTGTGAGGACCAAAAGGTAATGTATATGAAAGCTCTTAAAAACTATTACATAGGCCGGGCGCGGTGGCTCACGCCTGCAATCCCAACACTTTGGGAGGCCAAGGCAGGCGGATCACGAGGTCAGGAGATCGAGATCATCCTGGCTAACACGGTGAAACCCCGTCTCTACTAAAAATACAAAAAATTAGCCGGGTGTGATGGTGGGCGCCTGTAGTCCCAGCTACTTGGGAGGCTGAAGCAGGAGAATGGCATGAACCCGGGAGGCGGAGCTTGCAGTGAGCCGAGATCGTGCCACTGCACTCCAGCCTGGGTGACAGAGCGAGACTCCATCTCAAAAAAAAAAAAAAAAAAAAAGTACATAATGCCAAAAATATAGTTATTATTATTTTAAATTTTCATGACTCTTTAATCATCATTGATATTTTTGAAATATTGTATTATGTTTGGACTCATCCCAAATTTTTGTACTCAGGATTAAGACTGGTTACCCTCTTTCAGAAAAATCATGAAAATAGTAACATTGGTCTTCTTTGAGTGGCTGTTCAGAGTAAGATTTTAAGATTTTAATAACCTCTTCCCAGTAATTGATGTATTTTTAGGATATAAAATGATAACTTCAAACTATGCAATGCATTCCATTTCAAAACTGCTGTCTTTTTTCTTTTCTTTGGAAGCACCTTAAATGGCAAAAATAACCTCTTCTCCAAATCCAACTGAAAGCCTAAATGGCCTTCACCCAAGGAGCTTAGATAGGCTGGAACACTACACTGGAATTTGGTAGAAATTATAGAGATTAAGTCAAATTATATTAGGTTTCTTGGGTTATGCTTTGTGTGAATGGATGACACCTACTGGTATAAACTGAAAATTGGCTTTCTCTTTTCAAAAAGAAAAATAACTGCTCATCTCTCAGACCAAGAAGGGAAAAAAATCACCTCCAGCAGAGTCCAACACTGTTAAAAGTGTAATCACCAGATGTACAAGCCAAGGATTTTGTGAAATCATGAAAAAATGTTCATGATACAGTAAATGAAAAAAGCAAGCTATATGTACAACATATATATAAGCTTAATGTTTAAAAATTTTATATAAAAATCTATAAAGAAAAATATACAAAAACAATATATAGAAAAAGGGAAAGGATAGGCACCAGAATGTTAATTTGCTAATTAATATGCTAAGTATAACTAATGATTATTTTTCCTTTATGTTTTCTGCACTTTCAAAACCTTCTCCTATGCCCATGTAGCAATTCAGCAAACAAAATTCAGATGTAATTTTGTTTCCACCAATCAGATGTGCCAATACCTCACTTGCTTTTGGAACTGCATTAATGGCAGACAAGTGGTAGACATCTATTTTGCTAGCACAAATGGTCACAGCAGGATAGTCTTATAGCCAGTTGATTTGAGACATGGCAGCCTCTAACAATGGTCATGGCAGCCTCTAACAATGGTCATGGCAGCTTTTATTTTTATGATAAAAACCATGTAAGTCTGGGGGCTGGGAGTTATTTCTAGAAGCTAAGCCCAATAATCTGCTTCTCCAGCCCTTCCAAATATTTTGTAATATCTGGCAACAAATCTTTTTCTGGTTAAACTAGAGAGAATGGTTTTAGGTTTCTTGGGTTTTTTATTAATTTATTATAACAGCAATAAACAAATATTCTATGTGTGAGTGTGTGTCATTGTTTTTTCTTCCATAAAGTTTTACAAAATTACCTTAAGTATGAGGAAGCAGAATACCTAAAGCACAAAGAATGAAAGTGTTAAAATAACTCAATAAATTATGGCCAGGCAATGCCCTTGTTGGTGGTGTTTTTTTAAAAATATCCATTGTCACCTAATTTTTTTTGCCAAATGAACCTGAAAATCATGTTTAAATTTTCACAAGTTCTCCCTGCCCAATCTTTCTGCTCTCCATATTCCACTGGAATTTTGATTCCATACAGTGCTGAGTGCCTAGACTTCCACATTACTACTTGAGATCCCAAAAGCATCCCACAGCTTAGTAATTCATAGCTTTTACAAGCCATTTTATTTTAAAAGTTAGATGAAGATTTAACAGATGCCATTATGAGTGCTATAAGAATGTGCATATGTGAAACTTCATACTTTTTATCAATGTACACCTTTATTTCTTAATCACTATATCATATATTGAATAGACTTTGGTGGTTTTAAGAAATTAACATATAACAAGAATTGTCCCAGCTGGGCGTGGTGGCTCATGCCTGTAATTACAGCACTTTGGGAGACCAAGGCAGGTGGATCACTTGAGGTCAGGAGTTTGAGACCAGCCTGGACAACATGGGGAAACCTGTCTCTACTAAAAATACAAAAATTATCCAGGCACGGTGGCGAGTGCCTGTAATCCCAGTTACTCGGGAGGCTGAGGCAGGAGAATCTCTTGAATCTGGGAGGCAGAGGTTGCAGTGAACCAAGATTGCATCACTGCACTCCAGCCTGAGCGACAGAGCGAGAGACTCCATCTCAAAAAAATAAAAATAAAAATAAAAATAAAAATAAAATTGTCCCCATTCTTAAGTGTTGAACCACTTGAGAAGAGGGGCAAGGATCTCACAGACATTTAGGGTTAGACAGGGAATTATAAGAAATGATGACTGAGATAAGTAATTGTCCAAAAAAAATAGAAATGGTTGAAGAGTTTAATGGAGAAGATGGAGTGACAGATCACAATGTCTTGGTGATTAAGGCAGGTAAAAGAGATAATAAAGACAGAAAATACATTAACTCACATTTGTATGGGATGGTACAGTGTGTGTAACACCTACACACGTTATACGGTAAAAACCAATGACCTTGCACAAAATGGATATTATCACCTACACCTTGTTAGAATGGAAACCTAAGTCTCAAAGAAGTTAAACGGTTTGCCCAAATTAGCTAAGCCAGGACCAGAACTCATATGTACTCACTTCTAGATTAGTGCTGTTACAAGTGTCTAGAAAGAAAAAGAGAAACAAAGGGGTTAGGCTTGCTGAAGTTTATCCTGGAGGCTTGGTTCTATCTTAGACTCTCTGAGTTTACATTTTCCTGTGCCTAATGAATACAATTGTAAAAACTACTAGACACAGTCTCCCCTCTGTTGACCATTGATCATTTCCCAAATTAGAGATGCACTGAAGTGTCCAGACCTTTCTTATTTTACCTCTTAATAAGTCATTTGATATAAAAAATAAAAACAGTTTTGGTAGATGTGGTTATAAAGCCATGAAAATTAATATCACACTCTATTATCCCAACCCCCATCTTAAGTCTTTAGAATTATTTTATGACAGGTACACTAGATTTACTATCAAGACACTGTAAACCCAAACTGGACCTCCAGCCCAGGGGATGAGCAGTTTCTTCATATAGCATACTGAATCAAAATCTCCAAGGAGCACAGGTCGAGTGAGAATTGTCAGAGTGAAATTAAAGTTCATCCAAAAGAAAACTTTTTTTAGTAAAAAAGAGTAAAGACAATTACTAGGACTGCCACACATTAAACCATATTATAAAGTTATAATAATTCAATCATGTTAGACTGGAATAAAGATAGACAATTCAACAGAATAGACTATATATCCAGAACTAGGTATTTGTGTATATAAAAATTTAATGTTTGATACCATCATTACACTGGATGGGGTTCAGTTGCAGATAACAGAAACCATTCTCTCTAGTTTAACCAGAAAAGGATTTGTTACCAGATATTACAAAATATTTGGAAGGGCTGGAGAAGCAGATTCTTGGGCTTAGCTTCTAGAAATAACTCCCAGCCCCCAGACTTACATGGTTTTTATCATAATAATAAAAGCTGCCATGACCATTGTTAGAGGCTGCCATGTCTCAAATCGACTGGCTATAAGACTATCCTGCTGTGACCATTTGTGCTAGAAAAATAGATGTCTATCACTTGTCTGCCATTAATGCAGTTTCAAAAGCAAGTGAGGTATCGGCACATCTGATTGGTGGAAACAAAATTACATCTGAAACATAGCTGCAAGGAACCCCAGGAAAGCTCATTTTCAAATTTTCAGCCACTATAATATAGGAAGGCTCACTTGGATGTTAGAGTGGAATTTGAGCAAGTGAATTCTAGTATCTACCAAAAATAGCATTTCACATCAGCTAGAAAAGAAGAGTTATTTAATAAATGATGACAAAGCATTTGGGTAGCTAGTTTAAAAAAGATGTATTTAGATCTATACCTTACACTCTACATCAAAATTAACTGCATATAAATTAAAAAGTTAAATTATAAAATTCACATTAATAAATGAAAGAACATAAAGAAATATTTTCTACATACACAAGAAACCTCGTAGAGAAATGTTAATAGATTGGATCCAAAAGGAATTTTGTACACAACATACAATGATTATAATTCAAGAGAATACTTACAGGAAAGAGGCAAAGGATTAATATTTGTCATATTTTAAATCCTCATGCAAATTTACTGAAAAACATTAAGACCCCATAGATAGATATGCAAAGCACTTGAATGTGAAATTGACAAAAAAGGGAAAATGTAAGATGTGCATGAGTATGATAAATAGTTAAAAATAGAAAGAAAAATGGGTCAAAAGATAATATCAAAGAAAAATTCGAGAAAAAACTATTTTATATTCATAAAAAGTATAATTCACAATGAAGCTTTAGTAGTAATAAATCTTTATATTTGTATAATATGTCATTGAAATCTATGAAGTAAAACTACCAGAAATATATGTAAAATTGGTGGAAACAATCATTATGAGAGATTGCATTAAGTCTGATAATTTGCATAAGCAAAATGTATGGAGAATTTGAATAAAAATGCAAAAATTTGATTTATTAGATACATATTAAACTTCTAGTTTATTAGAAAACATATCTGCTTTTCCAACACATGGAACATTTATGAAAAGCAACTATGTATTAGAACTCAAAGAAATCCTCAATATAAATTCAAAGGCAGGAAATTTATATCTTTATTGATCACTATGCAATAAACCTAAAAATTAGTAAGAAACATTTAAAGTGTTAAAACATAGCTACTTGACAATTTCAAATATCCCTCTCTAACACTATGGTCAAAAGTAAATAGGCAGGGCGTGGTGGTGCACACCTGTAATCCCAGCACTTTGGGAGGCCAAGGCAGGCATATCACTTGAGGTCAGGAGTTCGAGACCAGCCTGGCCAACATGGTGAAACCTCGTCTCTACTAAAAATACAAAAATTAGCTGGGATTGCTGGGGCATGCTTGTAATCCAAGCTACTCAGGAGGCTGAGGCAGGAGAATCATTTGAACCTGGGAGGCGGCGGTTGCAGTGAGCCAAGATACGGCCACCACACTCCAGCCTAGAAAACAGAGTGAGACTCCACCTCAAAAAAAAAAAGTAGTAAATTGCAATTACAGACTACTTGGAGAAAGTAGGGTAATAAAACATAACTTACCAAAACAAATTAGATGTGGCCAGCCCAAGTTATAATTGAGAAAAAATGTATTCATACACCTTTGGTTCTTTATATTATTTAACAAGAATGAAATGACACTAATGAGCCAATCATTTAAATCAAGAGATACAAAAAGAAAAACTAAATAAGCCTTTAAAAAGTAGAAACATAGAATTAATATATATTTACAAATGGAAAAAATACTGAATTAGGAAATAGAAAAAATTGTAAATAATAAAACAAAATTCCTGTTTTCACTTTTAAAAATATTAATTTGAGCAAGACTCTCTTAGCATGAGGAAAAGGAAAATATATATGCACAATATTAAAAGAGAAGAAAATAATACAGATACTGATCGATTTTTTAAATTTTAAAGAAAATACAACACAAAATACCATGTAACTTTTAAAAATATGGTTGAAATGGCCAATGTTCTGGGACACAGAAAACTGACACAGAAATAAAAAACTGAACAGACTCACAAGCTTGAAAGAAAATAGGAATAGAACTAAGAAACTAACCCATACAAAAGGGCTGAACCCTGACTATTCTACAAATGAGTTATTTAATGACTCAAAAAGTAGAAAATTCCCGTGCTATTTAGACTAGTCGGGAGCACTAGAGGTAAAAATGGAAAATTTTCAGGTTATTTTGTGAATGACAAAATCTAACAAGCTTAACTCAAAAAAAGATTAACAAACCAATCTCACTTATGAATATAATACATTCTAAATTAAATACTAAAAAATCTAGTCCAGTGGTTTCTTAAGGAAATAATTCACCAGATAGGATTTACTCCCAACATGCAAAGATTGCTTAATAATAAAATGTCTGTATCTCAGTAACTTTGCATGATTTTTAAAAAGAAAAATCTGTGAATACATCAGAACTAGAAGGATATTTCCTAGCCTGATGAAAAGTCATACCACATATTACCAGACATTGTTATGTTTACTTATGAAACACTGAAGGGATCCCCTGAGGTTAGAAGGAAGGCACTACCCCTATTGTTTTTCAATATCCAGAAAGAAATTTACAAGAAATAATTATTATACCTTTTTAAAAAGAGAAGAAACAATTATCAGATGTTTGCTCTGATGTCACTGATTACCAAGAAAATCCAAGAGAATGAATAAGAAAGTTTAGTAAGGCAGCCAAGGACAAAGTAAATATAAGAAAAGCCAAATGTCAGGGGGAAAATGAATGGTTAGAAAATTATAAGGGGGAAAATAACAATAAACAGGTATAGTTTATATCAGGAAAACTAAGAAGCTTTCAGAGGGACATTAACAGAAGATTTGAATAAATGTAAGGCATACAATGCTTCTCAATGAGAAGACGCAATGTTATAAAAATATTAATTCTCTCCAAATTATTTTATAAATATAATATTTTTACAACCAAAATACCAATTGTATTTATCACATCTGGGAGTCTGACAAAATGATCCAGGAATTCTTTGGAAGAATGAAGTTAAGAATAACCAAGACAATTAATGGGCTAGAAGAAGAAGTGATGAGTGGTTGAGCCTACGAATAGGCATAAGAATTAAACTGAACACAAAATCCAAAACCAAATCCTAATAATACAGGTATTCAGTAAAATGACAGATGCATAGAACTTCAAGTCTGTGGGAAAAATACGTATTTCTCACTAAACAACGTGTTAGGAATAATTAGCCAAACTTTTGGGGAAAAAAATGGAATTAGAACTCTACCTCGTATAATACGGCAAAATAAATTCATGAATCAAGATGTACAAAAATGAAATCATAAATAAATTGGAAGAAAATTTAGATTAGAAAAGTATTCCCTAGCTGCTTGGAAGGATGAACTCCTTCCTCGTTATTTCTCAGACATTCTCCTTATCTGTATTGATAGCCTTTTTTTTTTTTAAGCCATAATCATGTGCCAAAAAAAGGGCATATTTAAGAAAATATATAGATCTTCATCTATATATTTAGAAAGGTATTTTGAAACCTAAAAACAAAGGAAATTTAAAAGAAAAACCTTGATATGCTTACTTCCTAAAAACTCACACATATTCCTGCATCAAAAAATTTAAAATTAAAAGTAAAATCGTGAAGGGAGAAAAAATATTTGCAACTTATATGACAGCCAAAGGCCAATGAGATCAATACATAAAACTTCTTACAAATTATTAATAAGATGAAAAAAATTTTTAATTAAAGTCTAAATAGGCAATTCACCCACACGCATAAAAAGCCTAAGTAGGCAATTCCCAAAAGAAGAAAGGCTGAAGTCCAAAATATACATTAAGACAAAAAAAGTTCAAGCTCACTAGTTAGCAAATATGAATGAGATATATGAAACCACAAGATTCATTTTTTTCTATCAATTTTGGAAAAAATTAAAGACATTGAAATGATATTTAAAAGATATTCAATGATGTTCCAAGAATATTAAGTAAAATCTAATGTTCAGTTTTAGTAAGGAAATAAGTAATGGACATTTTTATCCACAGCTAGTGGGAGTGAACATTGATACAACCTTCTAAACAGCAATTTGGTAGCAAATATCAGGAGTCTTAAACCATATCACATGATCTCCTGACCAAGCAGCACCCTGCCAGGGGGCCTGATCCATCAGTTTATCAGACATTTCCAAGCAGGTCAGGGTCCCCATTAAAGTTCAAGTTAGGACTCCAAACCCATATACATAAATGCTTCTATATCTACAGTATAAATTACCTTTACAGACGTTCCCGATTTACAATGAGGTTACATCCAAATAAACCCATTGTAAGTTGAAAATATCCCAAGTTGAAAATTCATTTAATACACCTAACCTACCAGGCATTGTAGCTTAGCCTAGTCTACCTTAAACATGCTCAGAACACTTTTATTAAGCCTACATTTGGGCAAAGGCGTCCAACACAAAGCGTCCAACACAACACTTTATAATAAAGTGTTGACTATCTCATTAAATTTATTGAATACTGCACTGAAAGTGAAAAACAGAATGTTTGTATATGGGTATGCACCATTAACATACACAGCTGAAGGCACACTGGGACCTGAAGGAGATGTGAGGCATTGAACTAGTTAATTGCTGGATAATAAGGATACTACAGGGATAGGTCACCAATTCCTCTCTCTTCTGCTGAGCGTCTGTAGAAGGCAGTGGGGCATTGACACTTGTTGATGGCTTAGCAGGCACAGTGTTTTTCAGAAAGGTATCAAGAATCGGCTGCTTATCCTTGAGACAGCGTGGCTGACTGGGAGCTGAGAACTGCAGCTTCTGCCCAGCATAACAAAAGAGTATTGTACCACATATGGCTGGCTCCAGAAAAGATCAAAATTAAAAATTTGAAGTTAAGTTTCTACTAAATGAGTATGGGTTTTGCACCATCATAAAGTCAAAAAATCCTAAGTCAAACCATCCTGAGTCAGGGATCATCTGTACAAACATCAGACATCCATATGTTGTCTTACCTCCCTCACAGCCATGTGGAAGTTACCTTCCAAACGGTTGAATTTTTTTTTTTTTTTTTTTTGAGACAGAGTCTTGCTCTATCCCCCAGGCTGGAGTGCAGTGGCATGATCTCGGCTCACTGCAACCTCTACCTCCCAGGTTCAGGTGATTCTCATGACTCAGCCTCCCAAGTAGCCGAGATTACAGGTGCGTACCACCACGCCTGGCTAATTTTTGTATTTTTAGTAGAGACAGGGTTTCGCCATGTTGGCCTGGCTGGTCTCGAACTCCTGACTTCAAGTGATTCACCAGCCTCAGCCTCCCAAAGTGCTCAGATTACAGGCATGAGCCACTGCACCTGGCTAAATTTTATTTTTTTAAGTGTTTAGTGTCAGATGGACAAAGCCTGAACAGTATGTGCCAGAGTACATACCTATTCCAGCTTTGAAAATTTGTCTGGGAAATACCCTTAGAAACATACTGATAGCCTGAAAGATAATAACAGCAAAACAAATAGAAAATGTAATTGGAACTATTCTACTTATCCTTCTTAGACTGAGGGAAAGAGACTCTGAAATATATTTAAGATAAAGATGTATAAGAAACAATAGCAACTTCTAAATGTGCTATATTTTTCATTGCTCTAGTAGCCTTGTTGCTATTATATAAAAAACTAAAAAATTAATGCTGTGTGTTCCTATGGATGGGGATGGCCTGTGTCTGCATGTTGCATTATTTTATCAAACAAGTGATTTTTTTTTTTTTTTGAGACAAGCTTTCACTCTGTTGACCAAGGTGGAGTAAAGTGGCACAATCTTGGCTCACTGCAACCTCTGCCCCCGGGGCTCAGGCAATCCTCCCACCTCAGTCTTCCAAGTAGCTGGGACTACAAGCATGTGCCACCACATTTGGCTAATTTTTTTTTTTTTTTTTTTTTTTTTGGCAGAGACAGGGTTTGGCCATGTTGCCCAGGCTGGTCTTGAACTCCTGGGCTCAAGCGATTTGCCCACCTCGGCCTCCCACAATACTGGGATTACAGGCATGAGCCACTGCACCTGGCCAACAAGTCGTATTCTTTACAATTTATAGATGGCTTCAATTTCCCCCTAAAAGATGCCAGTTGACAGCCTATAAAGCATTTTATTTTTCTGCTAACAAATGTATTTTCAACAATGCTAATTCTTATCATGCAACACAAAAGCACCTACTGAACCAAGGCTACATAATGATAAACAAGATGTGTATAACCCAACATAAAGCAATACTGACTTTAAGATCACAGAGAATATATTAGTGACAGATTTCCATTGTAAGTGACCAAAACCCAAATGGCTTAAGAAAATGAATTATTGACTCATGAAACTTAAACTCAGGAAAATCTAGCTTCAGGTACAGCTAGATCCAGAAATCTATCTTTCCTTGTATCTCTTTTTTGCTGTTTTTTGTGTTGACTTCATTCTGAAGCAGGTTCTTCCAAGAATCTCTATGCTTCTCTCCTCCCAGCTGTGCAAGCTCAACAGCTTATAAACAGTATAGCATGCCAGGCGCGGTGGCTCATGCGTGTAATCCCAGCACGTTGGGAGGCCAAGGCGGGCGGATCAACTGAGGTCAGGAGTTCAAGACCAACCTGGCCAACATGGCAAAATCCTGTCTCTACTAAAAATGCAAAAATTAGCCCGGCACGGTAACAGGTGCCTGTAATCCCAGCTACTCAGGAGGCTGAGGCAGGGGAATCGCTCGAACCCAGGAGGCGCAGTTTGCAATAAGCCAAGATCGTGCCACTGCACTCCAGCCTGGGTGACAGAGTGAGTCTTAGTCTCAAAAAAAAAAAAAAAAAGTGTAGCATTGGCAAAAGGCCTAGGTGTGATGCTCTGGACAGACACAGGTCACATGCCTGTTTTTGAAATAATTCCAGTAGCAAAAGAGATGCAGAACTCTGTTCAGCTAGGCCTGCCCACGTGCCCATCCCTGGAGACCAGGAGTGAGATCTGCTCTACGCCAACCACATGAACTATGAGACAGGGGAATAGTGGCCCCTAAAGGAAAATCTAGGTGCTATTACCAGAAAAGAAGGAAAGAAATGTTGAGCAGACAAAAACAGCAGAGGTCTGCACAGATGGGAAGATGCTTTCTTTATGCTGACACTGGGGATAAAATAAATGCTCAAAGAAGGCACAGTACAAAAACTTACTCAGGTAGGATATATAGTGAAGCTTTTAGACTAAGTCGTTGCCAGTGATTAACGGAAGCTTTTTCTTAGTCATTTCATCTTTCAAAATAGAGGGGAAACTGGGAGTCTGGAATTAGCACTCATTGTTTGACTGTTCAAAGGCCTGGTATAGTTTGATGCTCAGGTACCTCATATTCAACAAGAAATGAAAACCTTGGAGTGAGAAGGACCCTCTTTCACCCTCCTCTGTGCTGTGGGATGCCAAGGCTTACAGAGCACCACAACTCCCCCAGCCTCTGGCTTCCGCTTGCTCTCAGCTGCTGGAGTTCTGGCTGGAGACGGAAGGGCGGGAGGAAAGTGAGGCTGGAGTGTTTGTTCCCAAGGCGACCTTCCTGCAAAACCACAGCTCCTTTCAGGGAGCCTTCTCGCACAGCTACGGCGACCCTTGCAGCTCTGCCTGGGTTCTGGTAAGCATTCTCTCCCTGACCTTCAGATCTGGAGGTGGGAACAGCTTCCTGCTGTTGCTTGCCCTGGGATGCTTCTGTACCTTCTTTAGCCCTGCTCACACCTTGGCTAATCATCATTGATTTGATTATACTCTTCTCAGTCACTCGAACTTGAGTTTATTGCCTGCTTCCTTGGAGCGGGAGAGTGGCCCAATTGAGTCAAGAACAAATTTTGTAAAGAGATAAATATAGTAAGTGCCTGGCTATCTATTGTTATTTCAGGGATGAGGCAATACAAAGGCCTTTAGCTCACTGGCCTTCTCACCTATTGATCTACTCACTAATACGTGAATTTCCTTTAAGTGGAAACAAAGCCTTTCATTACACTGCATTTACATAGCGTATAAACTTCCCTGACCTCAAATTGCTCCACTATAGAAATGACTGATATCAGATTCTTTCTTGAGGAATAGCACTGACCATAAAGGGAGATAGAACAGTGAAGTTCAGAATCTGATTATGACAAATAAGATGGTGATGACCAGGCACGGTGGCTTATGCCTGTAATCCTAGCATTTTGGGAGGCCGAGGCAGGAGAATCACTTGCGCCCAGGAGTTCGAGACAAGTCTGGGCAACATAGGGAGACTCTGTCTTTACCAAAAATCTAAAAATTAGCTGGGTATGGTGGGGTGCTCCTGTGGTTCTGGCTACTTGGGAGGCTGAAGGGGGAGGATTGCTTGAGCCTGAGAGCCATGCTTGCACCACTGCACCCAGCCTAGGTGAGAAAGCAAGAGCCTGTCTCAAAAAAAAAAAAAAAAGATAGTGACAACATAATGAAGAAAGGACCCAGAAAAAACCTACAAGACTATGCATACCAAAGAAAGACTATGTGTACCAAAGACGGACTTTTTCAACTCCTAATTTTGAAGGCTGACTCTAAAGCTAAGCATCTCTTCTTTACCAACCTAGAACAAATTAGATTACCCACAATATGGGCTGAATCCTGTCCCCCTCAAAATTCCTATGTTGAAATTACAAGTCCCAGTACCTCAGAATGTGACTGTATTTGGAGATAAGGGCTTTAAAGAGATAATGAAGGTAAAATGCGATCATATGGGTGGGATCTAATCTAATATGACAGGTGTCCTTATAAGAAAAAATTAGTACACACACACACACACAGAGAGATCATGTGAACAACACAGAGAGAAGATGACCATGTACAGCCAAGAAGAGAGGCATAGAATAAATCTTTCCCTCCTGACCCTCAGAAAATCCAACCCTGACAGCACCTTGATCTTCCACTTCTAGGCTCCAGCATTATGAGAAGTTTCTGTTGTTTAAGCCACCCAGTCTATAATACTTTGTTGTGGCAGCCTAACAAATTAATACACCCACTCCCAGAGTTCCCAAGGTAAAGACTTACTCAAAGAGAAAGAAAAAGCTGAATTTCTCTGCCAGACCAAAAAAACCAAATCAATCCACTGTGTCAGCATCCTGAAGCTGCAACTTGTGTATATCAACCTAAGGCAAAGTCATGGCCACTTTCTTACCTACCAATCCATCAATAGCTGCCATCAGATGCATCTTTTGGGACAACAAAATAATTAGCACATTTATTTGCCAGCCATTTGGGGGAATTGATGTAGGGCTGAACCACTGACTCTTCTACCAACTAGTGGGACAAAGCTTCATTTATAAGCAAGGACTTGGCATTTTAGAACTCAATGTGTCATCTCTTCCTGCACAATGATACTGTATTAAGGTCTACTTACTGGGTAAAGAGGTATGGAAAGTCACTAATAAACTCAACTGATGGTAAAAGAACAAGAACTCAAATTACAAAATGAGGTAAGATAAGATCCCTGAATCATAGAAGTCAGTTCCTTACCTGACTACCAGGTATTCTTACTCCAACAAAGGTTATTGATAGATCCTTATTGGAGACAGCTGGATCTCTTTGAAGCCGTAGCCTGACCTAACCCAACCACCTTAATTTGCAGGATCTGCTCACTAAGGTTTAGTCTATTCAGTTTGTTGTTGGTCGCTGCCCTATATGAACAGGGGAAGTTTAAACAGCAGTGGAGAGCAAAGCAAAGAAAGAGCCTCAAACAATCATATACTTTTTTTCTCTCCATAGGAATAAATACTACCCAGATATCCCCTGTTTCCATTGCAATTACTAAAAGGTAGTGGAATCTTTTGTGAAATTTGTGCCTGGGAACCCACTGCCTTAGAATAAAAGCATCAAGTAGGCTTGGGAGTGAATCTAAAAAATAAACTTAAGAAAGAAAATCAGGCTGGGTGCGGTGGCTCACGCCCATAATTCCAAAACTTTGGGAGGCCGAGGCGGGCGGATCACCTGAGGTCAGGAGTTGGAGACCAACCTGGCCAACATGGTGAAACCCCGTCTCTACTAAAAATATAAAAATTAGCCAGGCGTGGTGGCCGGCGCCTGTATCCCAGCTACTCGGGAGGCTGAGGCAGGAGAATTGCTTGAACCTGAGAGGCGGAGGTTGCGGTGGCCAGGATCGTGCCACCGCACTCCAGCCTGCGCAGCAGAGCGAGACTCCGTCTCAAAAAAAAAAAAAAAAAAATCAAAACCAAATTGCTAAAGTTTTAGAGATCTCAGACTCAATGATTAAAAAGTCCTGGGTAATAAAAGTCATTTGTTTTATATTGTCCTATTTTAGTTTCAGTTTCCAAAGATGTTCATTTTTACTTGACTCACTGAGGAACTGTGTTGCTAACGATCATGGATACAAATGAGTTTTTCCTTCAAATATATAAAATGAGAAGTTTTCCTGCATCCTTACATGTGATTTTTATTAGACCCAGTGCCCAGGAATTCTTCCAGTGAAATCCAACTTGATTTCAAAATAGAAAAACTGGATTCCCTTCACAGACTCTTTGCTTGGCTACAAACTGTTGAAGCAACCGTGCTTCCTTCAGAGAGGCGGGTTGTCCAGTGCAGAGATGAAGAGCTGGCTGCAGAGACAGGCCTTTCGGGTTTGAATCAGGCTTCGCAGTCTCTCGAGCTGCAGGTTCGTGGGCAAGCAAGGGAACCACTCAAGGTTCAACTTTCTCATCTGTAAAATGAAGATCATGACAGTACCTATCTCCTGTTAGTTTGTTGTGGGATCGTGTTAAATAAGTTAACATAGTAAAGCATTTCGACTAATGTGCTAACATAAACCTAGTATGACATAAAACCTAACGTTTTATTTTCTCAATAAGTACTAGCTGCTGCTGCTTGTTGCTGTAACAAAAAAAAAAAATAACATCTAACTTCTCACCTCTTATCCATCAAAGTTGTCTCAGCTCTGTTGCCTACGCCATTCAAACAAACAATGGACTTGTAATGCCCATGTGAATCAAAGGGTGGCCTGTCTGGTAAACAGCTCCAGCTGTCTGTCAGGGTCCCTGAGCTGGCGCTGTGGTGGTAGTGAGGTTTTGTGGCACAAGTTTTCTGAGTGGGTTTTGCTCTGAAGATGCAGAGGTTGTTTACTTTTAAAAAAAAAATCTTTTTCTTGCTCTACTTGTAAGATTTAGTAAAAACATGAAGCTATTCGTTACTTTGTGTGCTCCAAAAGCTAAATATAGAAAGAAGACAACTAATATTATGAAATGTGAGAACGGAGAAGAGGTGTGATGCAGCTAAATGCAGAACTTGACATTATTTTTAGGTTTGAGGTCAAAAAGTTTGCTTATGTTACCTCCTAGTGAGAAAAACTCCGTTAAAGCTTTCCTTCCTGTCAAACTCCATCCATAACGATGGTGGGAGAGAAGGAAACCGAGTAATTACTTTCCCTCAAATCATTTTCAAATTGCTGTGTTGGATATATTTATTTAGAGTTTCAGTGGCAGTGTTTTTCCTAAATGCCCTCAGAATTTAATGCAATAATATCAGCCTTTCAAAGGCATAAATTACGCAAACCAGATTTTGGAAGTTTCATTTACTGCCTCATCAGTGCATAAAATAGCGAGAACCGTATGCACCTGGAAACTCCACCTGTCTGGTCCAAGGGAGTCAAGGGTAGAATGACATGGGAAAGTTTCCTTCAACAGAGAATAGTACCCTCCAATTGCCCAGAAATTGACACCAACATTGTCAAAGAAACCGTGAAGGGATTCCAAAATATCCAGGGAAATGTCCTGTGTGTACACAGGTCCTGTGAAAACGTCAGTCGCAAGCACAAGGTGGCAGATGCTGCACTCTGATTGGTCAGACGTACTACGCCCAAAGTTAGAGGCCGGCAGTGTGATTGGTGGGTGAGGAGAGCCGAACTTTGGCCAGAGGGAGGGAGGTTAAAACGGAAATAGTGAAAGGGAGCAGAGAAAGGACAAGAGGGACAAAAATAAAGTAAAAGGAGAAGAGAGAGAAAGCAGCAGCAGAAGAAGAGGACTGTGAGAAGAAATGCAATCTTACTAGGGAAAGATTTAATGAGGGGGAATTGGTTTATTGAAAACACCCAGGCTTGTTTTCCTAGGGGCTTCTATGAGAGGACATTTCTGAAACTGAGAATTGATCTCCCCAAGTTGTAAACACTGTCATAGTCCCTGAATGATTTTTGTTTCTTTGTTTTTGGTGTTAATTATTTGTTTTTGCTATTTTCCAGTGCCGCTTGGACTATGATTATCTTAATAATTGTATTTTTAATAAATGTGCCCTTATGTTTTATTTTAAATAAATTGTAAAACTTTCATATCAGTAATTGAATGGAAAGCCAATATTATTTGCCATGAATAAAAGGTAATGACAAAAATAAATAAAACAGAAACAATACCTTAAATTCTATCCAGATCCTAATAACAGAGAAGAGACAGATATAGATCTACATATAGATATATATCCTAGTGTGTTAGGGAGACATTAAATGAGTCTAGGTCTTTAATATAATCTAAAGGAAAAAAAGAGAATCGAAATGAGAAAAAATATTTTCACTTGGTAAGTGAATGTTATTTAATGCCATATCCAAGTAACACCTGAAGTCATTTTTCCTTAGACCTCCAAAAACAGGTGTTACCCATCTCACATTTTAGAAACTGCTGGGTCTATGAGCATTTTATTTCATAGAAAACACCATGCTCTTAATAAATTAAGACATTATTTTCTTAGACCAGCCACCAGTGTTACCAGAATTTAATCTGAGCACCCCTCCAAGAGGCTAATCTCCTCTGGGAGTACTAAGGCTTTATGGGGGCAGGACGAGAACCAGAGTCAGGAAAGGAGCCAACCCGGAAAAATGCTGTCAAGGAGTCACTGGGTCCCTGGATGAGGTCCTCACCACTGCATCTGCCCCTGGCACACACATGGCTTCTGAGCACTTGGAAGTGGCTAGTTTAAACTGAGATGCACAATGTAAAATATGCACCAGATTTTTGAAGACAGTACAAAATTTTTAAATCTCTTATTAATAACTTTATGCTGATTACATATTAAAGCAATTTTTAGATATATTGCATTAAATAAAATATTTAAATTCACTTATTTCTTTTTAACTTTTCAATTATTTTATTTTGAACTAATTTTCAACTTAAAGGAAAAATTGTGTAAGTTCCCACAGTCTTCACCTAGCTTTCCCTTAAGTTAATATCTTACATAACCATAGTACAATGATCAAAACCAATAAATTAACATTGATACATTAGTATAAACTACAAAGTGTACTCAAATTTCACCAATTTTTCCACTGGTGTCCTTTTTTCCCCAGGATCCAACCCAAGATACCACGTTGTATGTAGTTGTCATGTCCCCTTAGTTTCTTCCAATCTATGATGGTTCCTCGGTCTTTGCTTGCATTCATGACCTTGACACTTTTGAAGAGCACTGATCTGTTATCTTGTACCATGTCCCTCAATTTAGGTTTGTGTAGTGTTTTCTCATGATTGGAATGAGTGTGTGCATTTTTGGCAAGAGAAATCACAGACGGAAGTGTCCTTCTCAGATCATTCTATCAAAGGGCTCATGATGTCAATATGTCTTGTTACTAGTGATTTTTACTTTTATTTAATGTGGCTACTACAAAAATTTTAATTACATGTGTGCCTCACATTATAATTCAGTTGGACAGCGCTGGCTGACACCATACTACAGGTAAAATAATAAGCATGTGACTTAAAAGAACATGTTCATAACAAAATATATGGATTTAATCATCGATATTTTCCAGACCCTTTTTATTTCAAAACCTTTTAATACTAATGAACCAAATGTTTATCGAGAGCTTACTCTATGTCAGACTCTTTTCTAAACACTTTGCATGTGCTGAATCATTTAATCCTCACACAACCCGATAAAGTAGATGTTCCTATCATCCCTGCTTTGCAACTGGGGAACCTGAGATGGTAAAGAGGGTTTAAGTGGCGTAAGGCCCTCACACAGCTTGCTAAATGGAAGATCTAGAATTTAAACACAGGAGAATTCCAGAGCCCATGCTTATAACCACTACACTTTTTTTTTTTGAGACGGAGTCTCGCTCTGTCGCCCAGGCTGGAGTGCAGTGGCGCAATCTCGGCTCACTGCAAGCTCCGTCTCCCGGGTTCAAGCCATTCTCCTGCCTCAGCCTCCCTAGTAGCTGGGACTACGGGCGCCCGCCAACACGCCCGACTAATTTTTTGTATTTTTAGTAGAGACGGAGTTTCACCGTAGACAGGATGGTCTCGATTTCCTGACCTCGTGATCCGCCCGCCTCGGCCTCCCAAAGTGCTGGGATTACAGGCGTGAGCCACCGCGCCCGGCACCACTACACTTTTAAAAGTTACATTATCAGTTAATTCAGGGGACCCCAACCCCAGGTACCAGTCTGAGGCCTATTAGGAACCGGGCACACACCAGGAGGTGAGCTGCCTTGAGCTCCGCCTCCTGTCAGATCAGCAGCGGCATTAGATCCCATAGGAGCAGGAACCCTATTGTGAACTGCACGTGCGAGGAATCTAGGTTGTGCGCTCCTTATGAGAATCCAGTGCTTGATGATCTGAGGCAGAACAGTTTCTTCCTAAAACTATCCCTCCTCCAACCCCTTACATTCGTGGAAAATTTGTCTTCCATGAAACCGGTCCCTGGTGCCAAAAAGGTTGGGGACTGCTGAGTTAATTCAAATTCCACAACTCAAGCTTTATCAACTGTAAACTGTTTCAACTTTTCTCTCTTTTCCTGCATGACACAGAGTGGGAGAACTGATGTTTATTAAGTAAGCTTCTATACACTGTGCTAAGAATTTAACACACATTGTCTCATTTAATCCTCATAGCGGTTCCATTTTACAGATAAGAAATCTAAGGCTTGGCCGGGCACGGTGGCTCACGCCTGTAATCCCAGCACTTTGGGAGGCCAAGGCGGATGGATCACCTGAGGTCAAGAGTTCGAGACCAGCCTGGCCAACATGGTGGAACCCCCGTCTCTACTAAAAATACAAAAATTAGCCGGGTGTGGTGGTGAGTGCCTGTAATCCCAGCTACTCAGGAGGCTGAGGCAGGAGAATCGCTTGAATCCGGGAGGTGGAGGTTACAGTGAGCCAAGATCGGGCCACTGCATTCCAGCATGGGCGACAGAGTGAGACTCAGTCTCAAAAAAAAAAAAAAAAAGAAAAAGAAAAAAGAAATCTAAGGCTTAAAAAGTAGCACGTGGCAGAGGCTGGAATCCATTTATTTGACTCCCTATTTTTCCATCATATGCACGTGCTCTCCAATTGGCCCAACTGCTTAAGTGTTTTTATTTACTAATTTTGAAAAATCAGTGCTCTGCTCTGGGGATTCCATCAATCAGCAGCACTTCGGCCTATTTTAGCAAAACATTATCAGTTTTCCTTAAAAAACTGATAATGACCCTGATGTGCCTTTTCAGACACCAAAGGAAGAAAACAGTATCACCTTAGTGCAAATTACAAAATTGGTTAGGTTCCAGGTATGGGAAGCTCGGTCATTTATGTAAGGGATATAAGATAACACTTAATTATTCAGAATGTCTGATAGAGAAAACAGAGCATTTGATCTCCTTGAAGTTAGCCAGCTTAATTCCTTTTACACATAGTACAAATACTTGGTATCCACAGCATGGAAAAATGATTCAAAATGGAACTGCCTGTGGTTGAACACAGAACTTGTTCTGTTCATCGATACTCACTCCAGTCAATGAATGACAGAATCTTCTTCAATAAAAGAGCAGAACTGGGCACCACTTCTTGGAATTGTGCCACCTAAATGGATACAGGCAGAAGTGTGGCCCGGATGGAATATTCCAATGACTCCGGAGACCATGCACAGAAATGCGGTTATTTGTTCACTTGGGTTGCCAAAAAATTTTATAAAAAGTAACAGGATTATTACAATTTACTGAAATATGGAGAAATGTTTCATGAAACTAAACATCCTTGAATAAGGTGGGAGTGCGATATCTCATATTATTATGGATTACAAAGAAAAGAAACCAATTATTTCTACGGGTTTCCTCCTCTGAAATCCCAAGATTCCTTCACCTCAGAGCTTTCTACAGTTCCCAAAGAGGCCAGGAGAGGGTACTGCTGAATCATACTTAATTCCCCAAACCCACAGCTGTGCAAATGCTTTTGTTTCTTTTCTGAAAAAAAATAAAAATAAATCATGAACTGGCCCCATAGGCATGCGTGCAATGCAGTGTAAGGGACAAGGTTTTTTTTTAAATTTTTTAAACAGTTTTATGCACAGGCTTAGAGCAAACGTACTGAATTACCGTACTGCCAACAGTAGCAAGTAAGTCTCAGCAAGAAGAGATGGACAAATTGTCTGATGTGATGATGTCTGCCCCATGAATTGTTCTCTTGAGAGGATTTTGTGTTTGCATTGAAGGAGATGCCTGCCTGGAAAGCTGCATTTTTATTTTTATCGTGTGTGTGTGTGCGTGTGTGTGTGCGTGTGTGTGTGTGTGTGTGTGTATAGCTTTGCTTTAGAAGGAAGGAAGTGAGAGAGTTTCCATGCAGAGATTTGAAAAGGAAACTGATGTCCTTGGAGGATTGCAATAGCCTGCAGAGGGCAAGAAAGTCAGCTGAAATTCATATACATCGTCCTCATCTTGGTCCCATTCCCACTTCCTCTAACTGTAAACACACATCACAGTCATCCTACAAAGCCTACTGAACTAGCAATAGGTCCATGCCCCAGAGAGCAAGATGAGTAACTTTTAAATAAAATATGTATTCCCCTTTACAGGAAAGAAACAAAATGAAGTGGTAATGCCTGCTGAGAGCAAAGCATGACCCCAGCACCTGAAGAGAATGGACAGATGAGATGCAGGCATGTCCCAATTCACAGTGAACTTGGGTTCTAAACGTTCGTTGGCAGGCCTGTGTTTGGAATTGAGAGAATTATGAAGGCTGGGTACAGTCCTAGGACAGCCAAGCACATTCAGTCCATTGGCTGGACTATAACCCTGGCAGGGAAGCAGCCTGCTCTGAGCACCACCTTCATTCATAACCTTCATTTGCTCTCAAAGGAGTGCTTGAAAGTGGGGATTAGCCCCATTTCACAGATGAAGACTGGGATCTAGTCAGCTTGTGTGATGTCGGTGCAAAAGTAATTGTGGTTTTTGCAATTACTTTTGATGGCAATAATAACTTGCTCAAAGTCCAACAGCCAGAAAATGGTGGCGCTCGGCCAATTGATTTCAAATCTTGTGCCCTGTCACTTCACTCACTTATACTCATTGAGGGCTTTCAATGTATCAGGCACTGCTCCAAGTGTGTCACATGGATGATTTCATTACACCCACAATAGGAGTAACAGACAGGTACTCTTATTCCCATTTTACAAATGAGGAAGCGGAAGCACAGAGAGGTTTAGAAAGTTGTCCGTGCTAGGAAGTGATGATGCATGGTTTCAAAACCAGGTCATGGGGCTCCACCACTGTTGCTCTGAACCAAACCAACACCCAGGGATCCTTCCAGACCCTCCACAGGTGCTCAGGCATTGGCAGAGTTACAAATCTTCAGCCCAGAGGCCATAACTGCCAAATGGGAAAGGACAAAGGTTTGCCCTCCCTGTACTGGATATGAGATTGGGTAACACTTGCTTAGAGCCTACGATTTGCCAGGTTCCATGTTTAGTGCTTTATATATATGATATCATTTGGTTCTCACAGTAGTCCTGGGAGAAAGGAATAGTTGTCCTCTTAAGTAGAAAAACTTGTGCCAGAAAACTTACTTACCCTACTCAAGGACATACAGTTAATAAATAGCAGGGCAGGACCAAAATGTAACATCTGTTTAACTTGGAGATATTTCCACGAAATATTGTTAAAGGAGAAAAGCAAAATGCAAAAGTGTGCATACAATATACATATATAAAGAAATACGTTATTATCAGAAAAGTACAGAAGGATACATTTAAGGTTGTTAATCTGGGATATGGGAGAAGGTGGGATAAGGATGTAAAAAGTACATACATCACACATTTATGCATCTGCAAAAACTATGCACGTGTGTAAGTATATGTACATATAAAAAGTTATGAAATTTATGCAAAAGTTATAATAAATAGAAATGAATTAATTTTGACTAATTAATAGACATTTTATGAAATTCAATAGCCATTTCTAATAAAAGTTCTTAGTATACTTTATTGTTATGGGTGTGTCATTTAAATCCTGGATTATTAACAGAAATCAAAAGTAAGCATTACATTGAACATTAAAACTCTGGGCATGTTCACCTTAAAATCAGGAACAAGGCTAGGAATCCAACTATCATTCTCTGTTATTCAACATTACTCTAGAAGTTCTGGTTCATACAACACAAGAAAAGGAAGTATAAGGTGAAAACTTTAGAAAGGAAGACACAAAATTACGCATGCAGATAATAATGTTATTAAAAACATATCTATACACACACTTACATATATCAACACAGCACTGCCTTCATACCACATAGGACCAACCCTGGGTGTGTTAGTTAGGGATCCCTGGAGAAAAAAAACCAATAGGATATATGTAGATATACAAAAGGAGATTTATAATAGGAATTGGCTCACACAGTTATGAAGTCTGCAAAATCTCAGTATGCCATCTGTAAGCTGGACAACCAGGAGAGCTGATGGTATAGTACCAGTTCAAATCTGGAGGCCTGAGGACCAGGGGAACCAATGATATAAGTCCCAGTCTAAGTACAAAGGCCCAAGAACCAGGAGCACTGATGTCTAAGGGCAGAAGAACATAGATGCCCCAGCTCAGAGAGAGCAAATTTGCCTTTCCTTGTTCTCCTCAGGCCCTCAATGGATTGAATGACACCCATCTGCACTGGTGAGGGTGACCTTTCCTATTCAGTCTACCAACCCAAATGCTAATCTCTTCTAGAAACAACCTACAGAGACACCTAGAAATAATGTTTTACCAGCTATCTGGCCATCCCTTAACCCAGTCAAGTTGACACATAAAATTAACCAGTACACTTGGTTATCATTTTTAAATTGGCAAAAATTATTGGTACCGTTTTACCTTCCTTACAACCTACAACCTACTAGTTTCTACCTCCCCAAGTTTAGTGCTATTACATTCCTCCAAACACTAAAATTACCATATTCCTCTTTTTTCTACCCACAATCAAAGCTATTTTCCCCGTAGGTAGAGAAAAAATGACCCTCCCAAACTTTTGCACAAGAAAGTGTGAATAGCCGTTAAGATCCTCTTACTTTCCCAAATGTTTCTGTATATTTGTTTTTTTATTAATAAATTTTATTTTTAGAGCAGTTTTAGGTTCACAGTAAAATTGAGTGAAAAGTACAGACAGTTGCCAAATACCCCTGTCCCCACACATATACAACCTACCCTACTATCAAGATTCCCCACCAAAGTGGTACATTTGTTGCAATCAATGCACCTTTATTTGACACATCATTATCACTCAGAGTTCATGGTTTACATTAGGGTTCACTTGGTGTACATTCTATGGGTTGGGACAAATGTATAATGACATATCTCTACCACTGTAGTTTTATGCAGAATATTTTAACTGCCCTAAAAATTATCTGTGCTCTCCCTATTTATCTCTCCCTCGTCCAGCCCCTGGTGACTACTCATTTTTTTATTGTCTCTGCAGTTTCGCCTTTTCCAGAATGTCGTATCTTTGGAAGCACACAGTAGGTAGGCTTTTCAGATTATCTTCTTCCATTTAGTCTTATGCATTAACTTTTCCTCCATGTCTTTTCATAGCTTGATAGCTCATTTATTGTTAGCACTGAATAATATTCTATTGTCTGTTTCCCAACAAGAGTAAAAAAATAAAATAAAACATTTCATTGTCTGGATGTACTACAGTTTATTTATCCATTTGCCTAAAGAAAATCTGGTTGCTTCTGAGTTTTGGCAATTATGAGGGAAGCTGCTATAAACATTCATGTGCATGTTTTTGTGTGAATGTAAGTTTTCAATTGATTTGGTAAATACTAAGGAGCATGATTGCTGGATCTTATGGTGAAAGTATGTGTAGTTTTGTAAGAAACCTCCAAAATATCTTCCAAAGTGGCTGTATGCATTTTGCATTCCTACCAGCAATGAATGAGAATTCCTGGTGTTTTACATCCTCATAGCATTTGGTGTTGTCAATGTTTTGGATTTTGGCCATTCTAATAGGGATGTCATGGTACCTCATTTTGTTTTAACTTGCTGCTTCCTAACAACAGATAATGTTAACTATCTTTTCACATGCTTACTTACAATCCATGTATGGTCTTTTGTGAGATACTGTTCAAGTATTTCATACAATTTTAATTGGGTTGTTTATTTTCTCATTGTTGAATTTTAAGAGCTCTTTTGGATAACAGTCCTTTATCAGATGTGTCCTTTGTCATTATTTCTCCCAGTCTGTGGCTTGTCATCTCATGCTCGTAACATTTTTTTTTTTCACAGATAAGTTTTGAATTTTAATGAAGTTCAGCTTTTCAATTATTTCTTTCATAGATTGTGCCTTTGGTGTTATATCTAAAAAGCCATAGTCATACCCAAGGTCGTCTAGATTTTCTCCAATGTTATCTTCTAAGAGTTTTATAGTTTTGTGTTTAGCATTTAAGTCTATTATCCATTTGAAGTTAATTTTTGTGATGTGGGAGACCTGTGTCTGGCTTCAGTTTTTGGTTTTTGGTTCTTGGTTTTTGCATGTGGATGTCCAGTCTTTCCAGCATTATTTATTGAAAAGACCATCTTTGATTTGTTAGATTATCTTTGCTCCTGCTAAAAGAAAAACTTTGACAAATTAAACTTAACAGAGTTAATCAGGCAAAGGATGATTTGTGAACAAGAGAAAAAAAGAACACTTCAGGCTCTACAAAACTTTTACCGGCTTGCCTGAAGAATGTTTACCAGCTTTTATCATTATGAACAAGATAATCATGAAGTAAGTGAAGTCAACAGAGCATTGAAAATAAACACTTGTCCAAACCCATAGAATATATGACACCAAAAGTGAATTACCTTAATATAAACTATGAACTTTGGGAGTTAATGATGTATCAATGTAGGTTCATCAGTGGTAACAAATGTACCCCTCTGGTGGGGGATGTGGATTGTGGGTGGGAGATTGTATGCATAGGAACAAGGGGAATACGGAAACTCGTACTTCCCACTCCATTTTTCTGTGAACATAAAACTGCTCTAAAAAAATACAGTTTATTAGGAATAACTTTTTTTTTTTGAGATGGAGTCTCACACTGTCTCCCAGGCTGGAGTGCAGTGCATGATCTCGGCTCACTGCAACCTCTGCCTCCCAGGTTCAAGTGATTCTCCTGCCTCAGCCTCCCGAGTAGCTGGGACTACAGGCACCTGCCACCACACGCAGCTAATTTTTTGTATTTTTAGTAGAGATGGGGTTTCACCGTGTTAGCCAGGATGGTCTCGATCTCTTGACCTCGTGATCTGCCTACCTCGGCCTCCCAAAGTGCTGGGATTACAGGCATGAGCCACCACTCCTGGCCAGGAATAATATTTTAAAGTGGCACATAGAAGGAATGATAAAATAAAATAAAATAATTTTTTAAATGAAGTTGTTGAAACTGTGAGCACTGTTCTTTCTTGTCACATTTTTATTGGTTGAAGCACATTTTTCAGTCCCATGGGTCAGTATCGATTTATAGACCTTACTTGAATAACTTGGAACATTCAAGAGCACACACACAATGATGTAAAAATCACATGAGACTTGTGGGTAGGTCATCAAAATGTTTTGTAATCAGATAGCTGGAATGACTACACAAAGTTTACCAGGCCCAGCCTCAAAACTTGGGCATACGTGCGTTGACATGGCCAGCATTCTACGGGGGTGGAAACTCCAAGCTGGATCTGGGTAGACTGTTCCAAGGTTAATAACTGCTCCATTTTATGAATTTCTGAATTCTTTATTGTTGCTCAACCAAATATTCAGCAATTATAACCCAGTTCTTTCTATTTTGACCACTAAAAGTATTTATGGTCCATGCTCTTCACATTATAACCTCTCAATTTTTGAGGAATGATATTAAGGCTCCAAGTAAAGCAATCCAAATCCTGCAAACTTTTTTCTGGTTCTTCCCCACCACAACATTTTTCTAGTTCATAACAAAAGAGTTAAGGAGACAAGCTAAAAAGAAAAAGAGAAAAAGGAAGGTAAGACTAGGAAGTAGTAAAGATACAGGTAAGGTGACTCTGCAGAGCCCTAAAGGTGTAGTAAACACAGCTAACATAGCTTCTACTTGTACTTCCTAGACTCTTGAATTTCACAAAGTAAATTTTCAAAAATAAATAAATCCATCAGTAGAAAGCTTTGTTAGCTTTCACTTTACCAAGTAATGGCATTAAAATAAATAAATTTTTAAAAATAATAAAGATATTAATATAAACTACCATGATAAATTTATAGAAAGAAGGAACATGTTTAATGTCAAAAAGTAGGATGAATCTATTCTCAAAAGAATGACAGTTCTTTACACTGAATTAAAATGGCACTACATCCACTTGCATCACTACATGAAAATGTTTTTCTCATTTTACTACAGATGAATGAAAAGCACTTCTCCACAGCCTGGACTTTAAATGCCCTTAGGCTACTCCATTGCAAGCATGAAATGAAACAGAAAAGCCCAAGGTGTTACAAGCAGAATATCGTTTCATAGTGCTATGCAGGAAACATTCTGGCATGTGTAGCTCTGCACAGTGGGCAGACTCTTCTTCATTTAAACTCCCATCAGAAAGTTGAACTACCAGCCTTCACCAAGCTTTGAGTAGATGCAACTGATTTTTGTATATTGATCTTGTATCCTGCAACCTTGCAAAAGTCATCTGTTAGTGCTAACAGTTTTGTGTGTGGATTCCTTTTTTTTTTTTTTTTTTTTTTTTTTTTTTAAGACAGAGTCTTGCTCTTGTCACCCAGGCTGGAGTGCAATGGCATGATCTTCGCTTACTGCAACCTCAGCCTCCCAAGTAGCTGGGATTACAGGCACCCACCACCACACCCAGCTAATTTTTGTATTTTTTTAGCAGAGACGGGTTTTCACCATGTTGGCCAGGCTGGTCTTGAACTCCTGACCTCATGATCCACCCACCTTGGCCCCCCCAGTGTGTGTGGATTCTTTCGGGTTCTCTGTATATACTATCATGTCCTCTGCAAATAGAAAGTTTTCTTTCTTCCTTTCTAGTCTGGATGCCTTTATTTCTTTTTCTTACCCTGGCTAAAACCTTCAGTACAATGTTGATTAGAAATGGCAAAAAGAGATATCCTTGTATTGTTCCTATTCTTAGAGGAAAAGCTTTTATACTTTCACTGTTATTAGCCATAAATTTTTTATATGTGACCTTCATCATACTGAGAAAGTTCCATTCTATTCCTAGTTTGTTGAGTGTCTTTTATAATGAAAAATGTTAAATTTCATCAAATATGTTTTTCTGCACCTATTGAGATGATCTTTTATTCTATTAATATGGTGCATTACATTGATTGACTTTTGTACATTGAACCAACCTTGCATTCCTGGGATAAATCTCATTTGGTCCTGTATAAACCTTCTTAATGTGTGTAATACTTCTTATATGCTGCTGGATTCAGTTTAGTGTATTTTATTAAAGACTTTTGCACCAACATTCACAGGGGGTATTGACTTGTAGCTTTCTTTTCTTGTGATAATTTTGTCTGCTTTTGGTATAGGGTAATACTGGCCTAAAAGAATGAGATAGAAAGTGTTCTTTGGGGAGAAACCATAGCACAAAACAGTGAATAAACAACAGAAAGCTCTCAAAATGAGTCAGAAAAATCAAGAGAAGTTGTGTCTTGTTTAAAAAGTAACTGCACCAGGCATTTTGTAGGCTATATTGTAAACAAATGCATTTGCAGACAATAAGAATTTTACTCAATTGTTAGATACAAGATATAAACTAGACACAAGGAAATGACCATAGTAAGACAGACAATACCCAGTATGGCCTGAAAGCTAATTCCTAATGGGGAAAACTGAAGTTCAATATAAAAACCTCACTGTAGATTATCCATTATTTGTTTAATATAATTATACTTGGAGTAAAGCATAATTATAAAAATGTATAACATTTTTATTTCATAGTCACAGTTTAGTTGTTCTCAGTGAAACTTTGTGACAGAAATTGTGAATTGTCTCTCCATTATCTCCTCTCTTTTTCTTCTTTAGTAATAGGAAGATTTAGCTGGACACATAACTATTCAGTCAAACATTTCTCAGTCACCCTTGCAGCTAGGTGTGAGTAGGTTCTGGCCAATAGGAAGTGGGAAAACATGATGTGCAACTTTCAGGTCATGTCCTTAAAAAACAGGAATTTGCTCTTCCCTCTTCCCAGTCCCTGCTTGTTAGAATGTGGAAGTCATAGTGGAAGTTAGAGCAGCCATCTTAGATCACAAGTTGGAAGCCACATGTTAAGCATGGCAGAGCAAAAACGATCCAGACCCCCAACTTCACTGGTCTCCTTCAATCCTTTCACTCAGGTAGTCACTAAGTAAGAGAGAAATAAATTTCCATCTTGTTGACTGCCAATTTGGCCTTTGTTACTGCAGCAAAATTATTAATAGCATCCTAACTAACACAACCTCTGTCTAAAATTGCAGGTTAAAAAAATAAAACCTGGAGATATTGTTGAAGTCTAATTTTTTTATATAACAGGCTGTAGCTTTCAACTATAGTTACAATTTTGTATTGTAAAACAAATGAGCAAAATGACCAGATAATTAATATTCTTTTTCTGTAATTTATTTTTCTCTTCTCACTCTTGAACATACTTTAGTCAACTCTCTTCTTCTCAGCCCTCCACCAAAATTACTCTTGTCAGGATCAACAGCGACCTCTAAATTATGAAATTCAATCATTAACTTTCAACCCAATTTATATTTGACCTGTCAGTGTAGACACATGTGTATTTTCTCCTCTTTGAAACACTTAATTTTGTTTGCAGAGCACCTTGCTTTCCTGGGCTCCCTCCATCCTCACTAGCTGTTCTTTTTTAGCCTTTTCCTCATCCCCACTACTGCACAGAGTGCTTCTCAGCTCCTAGAACTCTCTTTCCTATCTGCATTCACTTCCTTGGTGATCATATACAGTCTCATATCTTTAAATATCATACAGACGGTGCAACTCCAAAACCTTATGTTCCACCTACTACAGTGTAAACCCTCTGAGGGCAGGGATCCTTGTCTGCTTCTTCCCAGAGATGCTTTGTATCTTCAGTGCCTAGAACTGGGCCTGCCACAGGCAGGTGCAGCAGTAAGCTAATTGTGGAATGAATAAATAAGTAACTACAATCTGTTTTGCTTCCTAACTGATCTCTTTAAAGAGCTTAATATTTACTTTCCCCCTTGTAAGTTTTATTAGAGGGCAAGGAAAACCCATAAACTTGCTTAGCATATTGAACATATGCAGCATAAATTTCAACTCTGAATTCCTGGGGGCACAGACAAGCTGTGTATCACTCTCACTGCTCTTGCCAGCTATGCAGAGAGGGTGATGACGATGTTCTGTGTTGGTTTGAAGAATTTATAGCACTGCGGAATATGGAAAGATATGCCAAAGTCAATAACAGGCTTAAAGAAAATGAGTGCTTATTAGTATTCAGTTCTTCATGTCTGTGAATTCTAATCCTCAATACAGATTCTTTTAGGGTCATAAACAATCCTCAAAGACCAGCACTTTTAAAGGGTGTTTACAGGGTCTGCTTTGTTTCTGGGTGTAGTTAACCACCAATTGTACTCAGTGAGATACTAGGGCACTCAGAAAAGAGCACATGTGTCTAATTAGAAGTATTATCGGTTAAATGCAGGCTCAGTTAGTCCCAATACAACCTGTGCTTACCCAAAACTGAGCCCAGGGACTGCAACAAGCTCTTCCCTTTAAAAGCCATGCTAATAGCATGCACAAGTTTAATCTCTTGGATTCTGAGTGGTCTCTGAGTGAGCAGCTTGGTGTAGGTGTCTTTCTATGTGTCAGTGTGCTTATTTGTGTATGTAAGTCCGTGCCCAAGAAAGTATGTCTGTGTCTACGTTCTGAAAATATTCTGCTCAGATCTCCTGGGGAAAAAGAAGAGCTATTAGCTGAAAATCTGTCTGTGAATAGAGAAAGCAGAATGCTCAGGAGAAAAAAATATTTCCCCTCTGGGAACCTAGATTCTCAGAAAAGGTATCTTCAGAGCTTATATTTGACAGATCATTGCCAATGTTTTGATTTGGCAAAGTAGACCTACCTCCCATATCTTAGAGAAATGGAGAAGGTAAGAAGAGGTAGTGTTGTGTGCCATGGTGGTTTGCTGCACCTGTCAACCCATCACCTAGGTATTAAGCTCCACCTGCATTAGCTATTTCTCCTGATGCTCTCCCTCCCCTGCCCCACCAACAGGCCCCAGTGTGTGTTGTTCCTCTCCCTGTGTCCATGTGTTCTCATTGTTCAGCTCCCACTTACAAGTGAGAACATGCAGCATTTGGTTTTCTGTTCCTGTGTTCTGTTCCTGAGGATAATGGCTTCCAGATCCATCCATGTCCCTGCAAAGGACATGATCCCATTCCTACTTAAAAAATTTAAATCCCTAGGATTTTAGAAGTACAAAAAAAACACTGGGGATAATCCCCTGTGATCCTTCTCATAGGGATGAGAAAATGGAGCACAGAGAGGAGAAGTAATTTGTCCCTAATCACACAGCCACTTGGTAACAGAAATGGGATTAGAAACTGGGTCTCAGGTCCAAGTCTATACACTAGACCAAGTGATCCAAAAAGATCTACACATGAAGATTCATGGTCTCCCAAAGTGCTTATTATGAAAACATGGGAATCAAGATCTCCCTTTCAACATCAAGAGATTTTGTGATGTTCAAGTGTAAAATTATTATATCCATGTATTAGTCAGGGTTCTTTGGGGAAACAGAATCGAGAGAGAGGGAGTAAGAGAGAGACAGATTTATTATACAGAATTGGCTCATACACTTTTGGAGGCTGAAAATTTCCAAGACCTGCAGTTGACAAACTGCAGACCCAGGAAAGCCAATGGTATGATTCTAATCTTAGAGTCCAAAGGCCTGAGAATCAGGAGAGCCAATGGTGTAATTTCTGTCTGAAGACCAGCAGGCTGAAGACACATGAAGAGCTGATGTTTCAGTTTGAATCCAGAAGCAGGAAAACAGAAACAAAAACAAAAACCTATTCCCAATTCAAAGACAGTCGGCCTTTGAATTGAAAGAGTTCCCTTTGACTCATTGAAAGGGCAGTATTTTTGTTCTATTCAGGCCTTTAACTGATGGGATGAGACCCACCCAAGTTTAGAGAGGGCCATCTGCTTTATTCAGACTACTGATTTAAATGTTAATCTCCTCAAGAAACATCCTCACAGACACACTTAGAATAATGTTTGATCAAATATCTGTGCACCTTATGGCCCAGTCAAGCTGACACATAAAACTAACCATCACAAATTGTTATTATTAGATTCCTGGGTCTGGGTAACAACAGAGAAGCAGAGTTGCACACACACCCTCCAATGCATCTACTTTTGATAATCACTTTGCCCAGGAGCTAGGGAAGATTGTGACGCTGGGGGAAAAAGAGGTATCAAGACCTCGCTGCTGAGCCTGTTCTTTTGGAGTTGGCCAAGAAAGCGGATAAATTAGAGCTACATATGATAACCTCATTGACAGTAGTATTTGAAATGTAAATCCTGATATTTTAGAATGAAATGGAAAAAAGAATAAAAAGGTAACATATAGCTTAGAAATTTTTACTCTTAAACTATAAGGAGGATTTTGAAAAGACAGAAAGTTTTATGAGAATGGCACTATCTCTTGAGATTTCTCTAGAAAGCAGGAGTCCCCAAGTTTTGGTGACAAGCAGCCACTTTTCATTCCCCCAAAGCTTTATGCCCACAAATGTAGTAGAGCAAGGAGGGAAAAGACCATAATAAAAACAGTGTGGAGGGGGTTACTCTTCCTTATGATTGAATTTTGGCAAATCACAGAGCTCTTTGCTGGTAGTTATAAAGATCTTGGAGCCCCACCGTGAAAAGATTAAAGACCATAGTTGGGGTTCATTGTCATTGACAGCTAACACCCTGTAAATGTTCAAAAGTAAAAATAACAGGAAGAAAAAATAAGAAAGAGCTCTATAGAAGTCACATAGAGTAATAAGATTACAGAAAATCAGAATGTCAGCACTTTCTAATGGGAAGTGAAAGACAGATAAGGAACTAACTATTTCAAGAAATTAAAAAAAAAAAGAAAGAAGGAAATTAAGAGAGGCCCCATGAAAATGATGGCTGTATTCATTGACTTAAATAACATTTTCTCTGGACCTTTGAGGGGAAAAAACATAATTATTTTTAGGTAAAGCACGTTTTGCAATTTCTTTGCCCTGGCTGCATATTTAGTACATTTTCAGGCCATCAACAGGATTACAGAGCCCAGAAAGTCCAATCAGAGGCAGGAAGGAGGCTTAGCTACTATTGGAGAATGTGATTCTATGGCTCATGCTGGCACCAATATCAGGGAGAATACCCCAAAATACCACAAGTGTAACATATCTGGGCAGCAATATCCTGTTTTTTAAAAAATTAAAGAGAAGTCAGTTAATCACCATCATTCTTGGTAGATCAAATCTGGTTACATCCATCTAAGCTGGCAACCCTCTTCCTACCACCTGGAAACCTTCCTACAGCGTGCAAATGACCCCCATCCTACCTGAGAATTTATCCCTTCATCGTCTGCCAGGTTAAAGAAAGGAGAAACAGGATCTGATTCTCAAGGTCACAAAAATGGCATCTTTTTTGTTGACCCCCTTCAGAACTGGGGCAAGGAGTAGAAAGATTGAGAGCAAAATATGTGGAATTGGGCTATAAATCAAATGAAAGAGACAAAAATTCTAAAAATGTTCTATATCTGCTTACTGTCCAGGCCATCATCAGGGAACTGAATTATGATCAGCTCAACAGGCTTCCTTTCTCAAGCTCCTTCCTCTGGAGTACCTTCTCTCCACCTCCATAACTGGCACACGCCTCTAGGGACCACCAGGACCAAGCCATAGGCCCTAAGGAAAGGAGATAATGGAAAGGGAGATTAGGAAGCTTGGCTGATTGTTTTCCAAGCCAGATTATTACATGAAACTAGATATACTATAGATTTTAACCTCAGAGAATAAGGTTTTTGTTTTGGGGGTTTGGTTTGTTGTTGTTTTTTTTTCCAAGAAGAATTAAATATTACAGAATTTGGAGGCATGATTGCACAGATACTATATGAGGAAAAAAACTTTTGTGCCACAACCGCTTAAAATTCTTTAAATTGCTAAGCCCAAAGATACTGAAACCTCACAGCAATATTGAGTAACAGATACACTAATCTTCTTTCTATCCTTTTTATAAGAAAAGAAGGTGGGACTCATAGAAATAAAGCAAAGTGGGTGACGGCAATTTAGAAGCCTGGCTGGGAGGTAAGCCTGTCCTTCTGATTTCAGAGTGTTTGTCTTTTTTTTTTTTTTTTTTTTTACTTTAAGTTCGGGGATACATGTGCAGAAAGTTCTGGGATACATGTGCAAAATATGCAGGTTTGTTATATAGATATACATGTGCCATGGTGGTTTGCTGCACCTATCAACTTATCATCTAAGTTTTAAGCCCCACATGCATTAGGTGTTTGTTCTAGTGCTCTCCCTCCCTTTGTCCCCCCAAAAGGCCTCAGTGTGTGATGTTCCCCTCCCTGTGTCCATGTGTTCTCATTGTTCAGCTCCCACTTATGAGTGAGAACATGTGGTGGTTGGTTTTCTGTTCCTGTGTTAGTTTGCTGAGAATGATGGACTCCAGCTTCATCTATGTCCCTGCAAAGGACATGAACTCATTCTTTTTATGGCTGCATAGTATTCCATGGTGTATACGTGCCATATTTTCTTTATCCAGTCTATCATTGATGAGCATTTGGGTTGGTTCCAAGTCTTTGCTATTGTAAATAGTGCTGCAATAAACATACGTGTGCATATGTCAGAATGTTTGTTTTTACCAGTGACCATAATACTTTCCTTCAGCATTCAGAAAGCAGAGAGGAAAGAGAGAAAAAAAGATAGAAAAACATAAAAAGGCTTTTTATTCTTTTTTCTGTTTTCTCTCTCTCTTTTTTTTTTCTGAATAACCTTGAAGCACCTGAGTACTCAAGTACCTGAGTTTTCTTTCCTGGCTCACTGTCATCAGACTTCCCCTAACCAATAAATTTTTTTTTCTTGGGTTTCCCCTGAATCCAAGTGTTCATTCCTTATTCTCTGCATCCCTCTTTTGATAGGTCCCATTTGTAAAGCCTAGGAAACTGGAACTGTAATGCCTCACTCCACCAAATCACATCATAATAGAATACTTAAAGAAGTCCTTGTGCTCAGAGTTCCTAGTGCTCATTATTATCTTCTTTTATTATTTTTTTTTTTTTTAGAGACAGAATCTTATTCTGTCACCCAGGCTGTAGTGCAGTGGCACAATTATAGCTCACTGTAGCCTCAAACTCCTGGGCTCAAGCAATCCACCTGCCTCAGCCTCCCAAGTAGCTGGGACTACAGGCACATGTCACCACAACCGGCTTATTATTTGCTTTAAAATTCACCAAGTTCATCAGCCAGACGAACAGGGCAAAGAAGAAACACTCACCAAGTTCAAATTCTAAATTCTAATGAATTACCTTAAGAGGGATTCTTGAAACATGAAGGGGGAAAGCAGAAGTGTTTCCCTTTCCTAATTTTATCCCACAGTTGGCAACGAGAAGAAGGGTTCAATTGTACCTAGAAACTCGTTCTGATGTAGCGCTTTATCTGCAATGGTCAACTCTAGCTGCACATTAGAATCAACTGGGGAGTTTTTAAAAAATAACGTTTATGTCCCAGCACTGGTGGTTCTAATTCAATTGGTCTATAACTGGTCTATGTTGGGACCCAAGCAGCAGTTTTTTGTGTTGTTGTTGTGGGGATGTGTGTGTGTGTGTGTGTGTGTGTGTGTGTGTGTGTGTTTTCAGACAGGGTCTCACTCTGTCACCCAGACAAGAGTGCAATGATGCAATTATAGCTCATTGCACCCTGGAACTCCCAGGCTCAAGCAATCCTCCTGCCTCAGACTCCCGAGTAGCTGGGACTACAGGTGCGCACCACTACACCCAGCTAATTTCTAACTTTTTTGTAGAGATGGGTCTCACTTTCTTGCCCAGGCTAGTCTTGAACTCCTGGGCTCAAGCAAGCCTCTGCTTCAGACTCTCAAAGTGCTGGAATTACAGGTGTGAGCCCCTGTACCCACCCCTAAGCAAGGGTATTTTTGAGAAGATTCCCCAGGTAGTTGTAATGAACAACTCAGGTGGGGAACCACTGCTAACTTCATAAATAGGGCCTCCCTGTATCCATTTGTAAAATTAGAATCCTGTGCTCATCTCTGAGGAAAGTGGCTCAGAGGTGTTTCCTGCTCTTGCATGTCACGTACATATTCTTCATAGTTAACTTAGAATGGTTCAGTGACTCATTTCACAAGTCAAAAAGCCCAAATTCCATTTTAGGTAGATCTGAACAATGACAATTGTCAGCCCCTTGCATTTGAAAAGTGCATTATATCTCACAGATCATTTTGCTGATGAAGTATCTCATTTGATCCTTACCACAGCCCTGCAATAAGCAAGTCAGATATTTTTCCCATTTTAAAGATGAGGAAATCAGTGCTTCAAGACAGGGAGTGATTTCCCAGGGTCAGACAGACGGAAGTGGTAGAATTGGGTCTAGAACCCAGGTCTCCTATCTCAGTCTGGTCTTCTTGCCATCACTCAATGCTGGCCACCACTGAGTTTTCCAACCAATTCCTATTGGCCCAGTCCTATGACCTGTCATGGTGTGCTTTCCACTCTGCTTCTCCACCGTAAGGTGCATGCGAATCGCCCAGGGATCTTGTTAAAATGCAGAAGCTGAGTCACTGGGTTTGAAGTGGGTCCCAAGATTCTGCAGTTCTAACCTGCTGTGAGTGACACTGATGCCGCTCGTCCACAAATCACACTTGGAGTAGCAAAAGGCGTAACAAAATCACAAAATGTATTCTTCAAATAATACTGAAGAAAAAAAGTAAACTGAGCTTCATCCATCTTCTGGATGCTCATGAGACAATACACATGTATGGAAGCAAACCCTCATCAGATCCTTGGCAGTTCTCCCTGGCTAGAATATGTGTTATTCTTTTGGCAGCCAGATGATCATTGTGCTCATGTCTGGAATAGGATCAACAGCTGGATTTGCAGCAGCCACTGGCTATAATTTTTCTCTCTCTCTCTCTCTGCTTTGCTTCTCTTTCTCTCAAGCCAGAAGGATAGGGTCTGTGGGGCCACTGGGCCATCTGGCCATGCAGCTGGCCTGAGCTTCTGAGTCTGAGAACACAATGGTGATTCACTTTGTGCAATCCAAGTCCTTAGATGACATCTAGGAAATAAACTGCCAGGGAATAGTTACATAGACAAAGGGTTTTTGTCTTTGAAACCTGTTAAAATTTGTCAGTGGGCCAGTCACGGTGGCTCATGCCTGTAATCCCAGCACTTTGGGAGGCCAAGGCAGGCAGATCACTTGAGGCCAGGAGTTCAAGACCAGCCTGGCCAATATGGCAAAACCCCATCTCTACTAAAAATACAAAAATTAGCCAGGTGTGGTGGTGCACTCCTGTAATTCCAGCTACTGAGGAGGCTGAGGCATGAGAATCAATTGAACCCAGAAGGTAGAGGTTACAATGAGCCTAGATCATGCCACTGTACTCCAGACTGGGCAACAGAGCAAGACCCTGTTGCAAAAACAAACAAAAAAAATATGTTAATGTATTAGCATCGATAAAGATGATCTTTTTCAGTTTGTTCTTATTCTTAAAATAACCAAATTGCTAAATATGTTTGCAGTATACAGAACATCCTAGAGAGCACAAGGGACAGGGACCCCCAAAATGGGTTTAGCTCCACTCTCACCATGGACTAGACAATTTGAGGCAAAGCATTTCATCTTTCTGTCCTTTAAAAAATGAGATGGGCCAGGCGCGGTCACTCATGCCTGAATCCCAGCACTTTGGGAGGCCGAGGAGGGTGGATCACCTGAGGTCAAGAGTTTGAGACCAGCCTGGCCAAAATGGTGAAACCCCGTCTCTACTAAAAATACAAAAACTAGCCAGGTGTGGTGGTGCATGCCTATAATCCCAGCTACTCAGGAGGCTGAGGCAGGAGAATCACTTGAACCCGGGAGGTGGAGGTCGCAGTGAGCTGAGATTGCGCCATGGCACTCCAGCCTGGGTAACAAGAAAGAAACTCCGTCTCATTAAAAAAAAAAAATGAGATGGTGGGACTCTATGCTCTGACAATCTTTCCTAAAACCAATATCCAGAGTCAGTGGTTCTACTTTTACAAAGTAGAAGACATTCTTGTGGAGAAACTTTATCTCTTTCTTCTAATACCCCTTCCCCCGCCCTCACAAATAGTCTACATTCCAACTGCTCCACAGGACATTTGATCATTGCCCACTCTACCCTGGGGCCATTCAATCCCAACCAGTCATTTATAAGAGCTGCACACTTGTATGCCATGCAATCTTCAGGAGGCACCACTGAGGACGCACAGCTATGTCCTGACACACCAGAGACCCTCTCAGTCCCATATGAGTCGGATTCACCCTTCCTTCTAATTCCTTTGACCGTCTCCCCTTGCTGCCATTTTGATGAGCACATGCGTTTATATCCATTACGGTTGTTGAGGGTTAATATTTTGAAATAGTTATTTGAAATAGTTTCTTTTCACTTCCCTGTCACCATCCCTGCCATGTTCTCATAACTTGCCTCTATTCTTCATTGGCTCATGGGAAGAATGTGTCAGAGAAAAAGGTTCAAATACCCTCACTAGTCTTTCAGCCATTTGTTTAACAAAAGTCTCCAGGATAAGGAAGTCTCTCAAAGAAACCTGAACAGAGAATAATTTCCCTCAGGCCCTAAAAAGACTCCTCCTGAGGTCAGAGGGAGAGAGAGGTAGGTCAAGGAGCAGAGAGGACCTATATCTCAATCCCTAGGGTCACCACCTAGAAGAGAGCAAGACCTCAGAGAAAGAAGTGAATTGGCTATAGGGTGCACACAGACCAACAGAACCAGAGACACCTCACCCAAGATCTCCTGGCCCCAAGCGGAGCACAGGAATAGCTGAGAGTCACCATTCCTGAAGAGTGGCGAAGAGAGAAACAATGTAAGCAGACAGGCATGAGAGGACCTGACCAGCACCCTACCCCAGTGTCTTGACATTGCACAAGATCCAGAGTGTGACACAATCCTGGGGAGACATGGGGAAACCCCAGAAAGGACTGAGGTTAAGGTTTCTTTCCACTAACCTAGCAGAATGAAGCTTGCAGTCAGAAATTCAAACCTCAAGCTGAGTTACTAAAATGAAGAAAATTGTTAAATGCATAATTCCTCCCTAAGACTCATGTCTGCTCTACATCCATAGGGTGTTGTATTGGCATTACTTGGCATGAGCAACTCCAGTTGGAATTTACTCCAAAATATGAGGGAATCCAGTGGTTGTTCACTAAGTATTCCTTGCAAGTTAGGTATCCATGAAGCACCTAGAGCAATGCATGGCATATAGCAGCCTTTCTGAACACTGCTGGCTGGTTGGTTGCTGAATGACCAAAATACTTGATGAAGCACTAAAACAACTCTCTTCCTTTATTTTAATGTGCTAGTTTGAATACAGAAAGATAGAAACTACTCAAATCAGTAAAATGTGAACTAAGAGTGGGCCCTTAATAATAACTTCTTCCAGATCTATCTCCTTGGATCACTCCAAAGATATAGCCTGAAAAAGTTCAATCCTCTTCATCAGAGAGTTTACCCTGGAAGGCAGACAGCTGCTATATGTGATTTTACAAGGACTGTAAAGGTGTTAACAGTCTTGAAGCCCTAGGACCACTGTGAAATCTGGGATGCCATGTTTTGAAGCGAGAAGTTTGCCTTGGCAGCTGTGCTGTAATCAGGCATGCCTGGGTGTTAACTGAAATTGAAAAGAGCCTTTCAACAGCCCTAGGTCTTCAATTATTTTTTCATATAATAGTTCATGTTGCTAAAAATATTCCTAAACCTCTGCCTTTTGATAATTCAGAAGGGGAGGTATTACATTGAGAAATAGCTGAATAATAACCACCTCCCTACTGGAAGTTCAGGATAAACCTAGAGAAGGCATTGGACTCCATCAGAGAAGCAGCCATATTGGATCCTGTCTGTTGCTGTGAGGTCTCTCTCCTCCCTGCTAAGACACACTTCAAATAAAATCTTCTACATCTCTTCTTGTGTGAAAGTGAGATAGTTTCACATTTCAGATTGTTAGTAGCCACTGCTTAAAAGTACTAAGTCACTACCCACCTACAAATCCTGTTTTGTCTCTTTCTCTTAAAAAATATTTTTAATGGGGCTTAAGATTTGGGATATAAAGCAAGAACACAGGAAAGAGATATGATTTCACTACTCAATTACAAATGGAAGAATTATGATATTGGAGCTTACTTCAGTGTCAATCCTCATGTCTTACGGGAATTCCTTCCTTTCTGATGTTTCAAATTCTACCTATATTTAGTAAACTGAATAGATAACTTTACTGGTTATTATATACATTAAACACAAAGCAAAAAGAGTAAAGGAGTGAGATCAATTTTTACTATGCACTCCTAGTAGAATTTCAAGGGCTCTGCAGACATTAAATGACTAATAAGAATCTCATGTTTCTATTTTTCAAAGACAGCAACTAGAAAAGGAGGAGCTGTGAACCCAAGGTTTTCTAACAAGTTAGAAACATGCAGATATATTATGGGGCGAGGATAGAAATGCTCTCAGGCTACCCAGCCTAGATACTCTTCCACAAGCTTAGTTAAGTCACTTGAAATTAAATTGTCCTGTCTCTGAAATATTCCCCTTTCCCAGAATGGTTAGAGAGTCACACAAGTCTTAGCTGTCTGTGTGAGACCTATCCCCAGTTCTGAACTTGATTTGAAAAAAAAAAAAAAAGAAAAAGAAAAAATCCTTCCATACCTTTTTCTCTTGCCCAATATGTTTATCTGACTATCCCTAGAATCACTTCCACCATGGAACCAGCCTACCTAGCTCTTCTTCTTCTTAGCCAGTTGGCAGTTCCTGTGGTTTGAATGTGTTCACGTGTTGGAAACTTAACATGCAGCAGTATTGAGAGGTAGGACCTTTAAGACATGATTAGGTCATGAGGGCTCTGTCATTAGAACAGGAGTGGGTTTGTTATCACAAGAGTGGGTTTGGTATAAAAGTGGGTTTGGGTCTTTCTTGCTCTCTTGCCCTATCTTTGTCCTTCCACCATGACAGGACACAGTAAGAAGGTCCTCACCAGATACCGGTCCTTCTATCTTGGACTTCTTAGTCTTCCGAATTGTGAGCCAATAGATTTCTGTTCATTATAAATTACTCAGTCTCAAATATTCTGCTACACCAGCATAAAACAGGCTAAGGCAATAATAGGCAAATTATTTAATCATTCTGTGCCTTAATTTTTTCATCTTACAAGTGAAGGTAATAATCGTTTCCACCTCATAATATTCTTATGAAGACAGATTAAAATTCTATTTTAAGGGTTTAAGACAGTTTGAGTGCATATCAAGCACTAAATGTTTGTAATTATTATTCCTGGAGACTCTGAAGGTCTTTTCTTATGCACACACACACATACCCCTTGCCAAATTATAGAAATGTCCCTTTTTTTGAGATAGGGTCTTTCTGTGTCACCAGGCTAATGTGCAGTGGCTCAAACATGGCTCACTGAAGTCTCGACTTCCTGGGGTTATGCCATTCTCCCACCTCAGCTTCCCAAGTAGCTGGGACTACAGGCATGTGCCATGATTCCCAGCTAATTTTTTTTTTCCCATAGCGATGGTGTTTCACTATGTTGCACAGGCTGTTCGCAAACTTCTGGCCTCCAGCTATCCTCCCATCTTGACCTCCCAAAGTGCTGAGATTATAGGCATGAGCCACCATGCTCAGCCAGAAATGTCATTTTTAATGGATATATCATGACTATTCTAGAGCCAGTAAGCTAATTACATGTATTTTGTCCATGTCTTCTTTTAGTCTGGTGAGCCCACCATCGTTTTCCCCTGAATTACTTGGACAGGGCAAACTCTGGGAGCCACCCACCCCACTTACAGTTTCAGAAAAGTTCACCTTCTTGCTCAGGCCTTGCACTAAATACAGTCCTTCAGGGCTATAATCATTTGCTTTATTCTGACCTCTTCTTGAACAGCCACAAATTACCAAGTGATCTCCCCTTGCTTATTCCTTTCAACATTCCTCACTTTACTAGCCTGTCTTGGTTCTTCTCTTACTTATCACAACATCTCATGCCTTTGCTTTTTCTCTGTGCTTCCCAGTCCCAAACCTGCCATTACTTGATGGCTATGTGGAGGTAGATGATCAGATTCTGTGCAAGCTTCTTCAGGGGAAGATGTTACTAAGAATATGGTTGTGCAACATGTTATTATTAAAGCATATTGAAGTGCTTGCTCTGTTGGCACTTTGCTACATACTGTAGGAGATACAGCAGAACATAAGGCAGAGACTTGACCTCAGGGAGTTTATAATTATTAATAATCGTCTCTAATGTACAAGCAGCCCCCACTCCACCATGTTCTAAGAAAATAGTTAGGAAATCCCAGGCAAGGAGAATAATGTTATGTGTACTGTGGTGGTAAGAAGTGGATGATAATGAAATTTTCAATTTTCTCAACCCCAGTCCAGCAAAAGCATTAAGTACCTCCAATAATAAGTGGGTCTTTGCATAAGAAAAGCCATGAAATCATATGACAGGATCATCAAATACATGTATATACACAAATCAGTTAGTGACTATTCCCTAAATCATGAATCTAAGTCCTTCTGCAAATTTGTGATAAATGGACCACATTCAGGCTATGTGTCCTTTTAAACAACTTACATCTGTTTCTTATAATTCATTAAGTGGCAAAATGCCATTCTACCCTTTCTATGCACCTATTGTTTAACTTGGCTCTGTTTTCAGCAGTCTGAATAGTGTTCTTTCAGCTGGACAATGTGTTTATTCATGTAGCTGTAGCTATTCTGCTACTAGGAGTGTGTGTTTGAAACAGACATAATGTCTGGAAGGAAAGAAAACACCCAAAAGAAAAAAACTAAACACATATCATTTTTTTCTCAATGATCTTTGCCACCTACACATATATTAAACACATCATACTCTTCAAAACATCTTTATAGAAGAAGACATCTATAGAGATTTTATAGAAGAAGACTTCAAAGAGAAGACTATCTCAAGGTTGAATGTAAGTGGATGAGCTTCAACTCTACATTGCTCAAACACTGATAGGCCTCCATGAGATGCCTCTTCCCTTATGGAAGACAGAGAAATGCCTCTGTCCATCTTACAACGCTAAAAATGGCTAAATAAACCCTGCCACTTAAATGGAGCTTCTTGGTTATAATTTTTAGTACAGCATCTGATTTAAGGCATCATTTTGTAGTGCGGATAGCCTGTGATTTTGAATGGCAGCATAGAATGCAATTGAGAAGAATCTTTTGTAAAATATTTCAACAGGGATGAAGAGAAGGGTCCTTGGGCCTACCTGATAAGGGTTCAACATGGGAAAACTGAATGGCCGCTCTTGGGAAAGGGGACTCTTTGAGTCCCAACAAGCTCTAGTGTTGAATGTTTTCATACTAATAACATGAGCGTGTTTTTTAAAGAGTATTGTGGTGACCAGATTTGCCAAGGAGATAGGAAATCTGAGTAATGAGTGAAGCTGCCTGTCAATCATAAGGTAATTTGATAGGTGAAACAGAAACAGGTCTCTTGAGAAATGGTTGGCCACAGGGTGCGACACCTCATGAAATTTCTTGCTGGTGAAACTCTCTTCCTTTGCTGAGAAGGTCTCATTTGCTGAGCTTTCACAGATGTAGAAATATGGACTCAGCAGGTTGCAAAGCCAATTGACAGTTTCAATCGTGTCACTTACAAGAAGAATTTGATAACCAATTCAGAAATGAATTGTGCTCCTTTCCTCTCTTGATTAGCATACCTCACCAAACTCATTCTGACTGTTCCAAGTGTGCCATCTCAAGTCTTACTTGTTGTGGAGCTTATATATTGAGTTCTTTCCAGAGAGCAAAGCTCTGCGGTTTGTGTGGAGTGGGGAAGGAAGGGCATCTATTACAAAATCAAATGACTTGCCTTTCATTCAGCAATAAAAATTAACATTCTAGCAAGAAAGACCTAGGAACACAGGCTGTGTTGAATAATTTTACTTGCTCATTTCAAAACTTACAGGTCAATAATTCTATTAACATTTATGTTCCTTACTAAATATATCACAGAGATACTATCACAATAAAATGAAGCTGAAAATAGATTGAGTGAGTAAGAACACCCTAATACAACTCTATTTCTTAACAAAGTTAATTAACATCCCTAAGCCTTGACCCTCTTATCTATAAATCCTGATCAGCCTGGCACTACATAGTTCTAGGACAGTTATGATGGCCAAAGAAACTACCATTTCCTTTGACTACTACATTTCAGCACTACACATGAACATGCTTTTAAAACAGAAATGTGTTCCTCAAATGGAGGATAGTGAGAAAATTCAAACCCAGGGGATTAAATAACTTGCATGAAACTGGCAATTAATTGGTGATGGGGCTGGGACACAGAGCTAGCCATTTTTATTTGCTAGCCAGATATCTTTCTTCTCCAGACCTTGTTACTTTTACAATTTCTTCTTGTGAAACCAACATAGCCACTTTAAAAGGCATGCCTTAGAAATAAGCGCTATACTCAGGCCTTTATTACCTACAAGCAATTGAAAGAGTTTAACATCAAAAAATGGAACAGCTATTCAAATGGCCATCTTCTAACTAATCAGGTACTCTTTCCACTAGAGATATTCAATGAAAACCTGTTCTATGCCAGTCATTCCTCAGTGTCTAAGCCATCACAGTGGAAAAAATGGGCAAACTGAAAAGAAAATATTTTCAAGAACCCTCAATACTGCCAGTGACAAACCCATTAACAATATACAAATTACTGATCATTGTAATTTATGTCCACGATTACATGTATGATTAACTAAAATGCAACTTGCTCAACATAGTTCATTTCCAAGACACAGGGACTTGAGATGTTCCCTCATATGAATGAGGACTGCTTAATTCTGTTTTCAGGCTCTTAACGAAAGGAGAGAGGAGGAAGGAAAGAAGAAATTGACCTTTCTAAAGGCCATTTTCCAATTCCAATCTAACTTTAGGTTTCTTTTTTCTTAAATTCACGCCTTCTAAGTTACTGAGCTGAATCAAATCGCAGCATCCAGGCCTGGTGTGCACAGTGACAAGCGTTTCCAGGGGATTGCCTTGTACTTCCCACAGATCACACCTTGCTTAGTATACCCAGATGTACCCCCTCCAAGCAACATCACACACTGCTTACTCATGCCTGGGTCTTTTGCTGATGCACTTGCACACAGTCAGGCGTTTATTACCTGGTATTTCTGTAATTTGCTTTTCTTCACAAAGCCCACTTCTCTACACTTGTTCTTGATTGGAATTCACCTTGTTCGTAACTGAAAACCTCTGCAGTTTATCATAAAGTCACTCTAAATTCTAATGATAGCCCAGTAGCCTCTCAGACCTAGAAAAAACCTTGGAGACAGTGATTCTGACCAACCCCCTTCTGCTCTAGAGGAGGAAATGGAGACCCAGAGGCATAAAAGGACATTTCCAGGAATATGTAATGTCTTGGTTAAGATTTCGGCACAAAATGGAATTCGTCTCAGATAATTTGACTGATGAAATATGAATTTAAAAAACTGCTTATAGAGGAGTGGACAGGATTAAGGCAAAACAGTGGATGCTGAGACCCCCCTCCACCCCCACCCCAGCAACCTGCACCAGCAGAAACTCCTACTTCTACAAGGTCTAAGACGAAACGGGAAAACAACCACCAAAGCCCAGTGAGGGCAGGAAGATAGGAGGGGCCGCCGGACCACTCAAGATGTAATCAAGAAAGGACACAACTACAGCCCTGGATGCTGTGTCAAAGCAGAGATGAATGGAAGAAATATCCCAACCACTCTTCTGCCCACTCTCTCATCTCCTGCTGTGTCTTCTGGGGGTGGATTTCCACAGGGCAGGGCTGGCAGGGGATGTGGCCCATTTAGGTCAGCTCCCCCAGGCATAGAACTGAGCAGGGATAGAGAATCAATTTAGAGGAGCAAAGGGAGAACAACCAACAGATATAGTGAATTCAACCACCTAGCCTCCATTTTCACCAGGATCCATCTCATTACAAAGGCTCTTATTTGCCTAACAAATATTTACTGACGGGAAAATAAAGAAAAGGTAAAAGAAATGCAGGCAAGTAGGAAAAACGTAGAACAACCCTATGCCAAGCACTGAACCAAATACTATGAGGGGTCAAAAAGAAATAATAAAAATATACTATAGTAATATACTTACCACATATATCAATATTATATAGTATTTACCCTGTGTCAGGCCCATTCTAAGCACTTCATATATAGTAACTCATTTAACCTGCAACCTCATTTTACAGATGAGGAAACTGAGGCATAGTGCATTGAGAAGGTTAGGCCCTAATCCTTTTGCTGAAAGGCCATGCTTTCACCACTACTCTACACTGCCTCTCTAAAGTAAAAAAGTCCCTTGGGGAATTCATTAGATATTTAGGGAGATAGTACCATTAATGCACAAAAACTTAATTGTCAGAGTTAAACAATCACAATTTGCATCATTACAAGACAGCATGCGAATGAGTCCGGAGTGGGGAGTTCAGCTTGGGCTGGAGCAATCCGGGAAGAGACAAAGGTGATTATTAAACAGCGCCTAATCCAGAAACAGCACCAGGCAATGGCAGACCTGCTGGGGCAGAGCCAAGAGCAGAACCCAGGACTCCTAGTTCTCCAGGGAAGGATTACTAGTTCCCTTGCCCTTGACAATTGTCTTTGCAGGGCTTCACAGAAGTGTTCTCAGGGACAGAGTTCCAATTCACAGATCTGGTACCTCATCCAACAGGATCCCAGAGGGTCACCTCGCCCAGCCTCCTTCCCTCAGCCCAGGAAATATTATACGCTCTTTTGTCAAATGAAGCAACTCTTCTGCTCTCATTTTCTAGATTCTGCGGGAAGGCCAGTGACCAGTAATTTTTAAATAACTAAACATAAGTTGGGCATGGTGGCTCACATCCGTAATCCCAGCACTTTGGGAGGCTGAGGCAGGCAGATCACTTGAGGTCAGTGATCAGTTTGAGAGCAACCTTGCCAACATGCTGAAAACCCATCTCTACCAAAAATACAAAAATTATCCTGGCGTACAAAAATTATCCTGGTGTGGTGGCACACTCCTCTAATCCCAGCTACTTGGGAGGCTGAGGCAAGAGCATCACTTGAACCCGGGAAGTGGAGGTTGCACTCCAGCCTGGGCGACAGAGCAAGACTTTGTCTCAAAAACAAACAGACAAACAAACAAACAAAAACATAGACTTGTAAATCTATGCACAGGAAAACATTCAAACAGCAGAATATAAGCAAAGTAAGACTAACCTTGTATGCTAAACATTTGTCCTTATTACAATCACTCTTGAATATAATTTAGACTCTGAGACAGATGCTTACATTTACTTTCTTAACTATCTCCCTCTTAGAAATGTGCAGTATTTAATAAAAATATTAATGGAGGTCTTTTTGTTTAAGGACCAAAGTAATTGTCTTCACATGTGTATGCATTTTGACACTGAAAGGAATAGAGATCGCATTTGGTTTTATGATGTTGCTATGTGGTTTTCAATTAGGTTTCTGTTACGTTCTACAAACACAAAAACCAGCCCGTATCTAATTTAATACCTATAAATTTCCACAGATGGCCGCGGAATACTGTAGGCCAGTGGATAAAGATTTTGCCACATGTTTTCCAATTAGTAACTTAAAATTCTGTTTCTACCACATTCTTTTTTATTAAAAATTTCCATTCACTATTTTTTTTTCCAGAGAGCGTGATTATAAAATAATTCTCTCAGTTTCACTAGACAAAAAAGACATCTGATTTGAAACAGTTTGTAGGTTAGGCAGCCAAGTTAGACAGAAATAGTTCAGCTGCAACTGAATAAAGCCAATAGTGTTAGGATGGTTGTCAAAAGTCAGATTCATCAAGACCAGTTTGATCCCAGTGTATATAATGCACCACAGAAGATGGAATTTTTTTATTTTTCTGAGACAGGGTCTCACTCTGTCACCCAGACTGGAGTGCAGTAGCACAGTCATGGCTCACTGCAGCCCCAACCTCCTGGGCTCAAGAGATCCTCCCACCTCAGCCTCCCGAGTTGCTGGCGCATGCCCCCACACCTAGCTAATTTTTGTATTTTTCATGGAGACAGGGTTTCGCCGTGTTGCCCAGGTTGGTCTTAATGTCCTGAGCTCAAGCAGTCTTCCTGCCTTGGTCTCCCAAATTGCTGGGATTACAGGCATAAGCCACTGCATGCAGCCTAGAAGATGGAAATTTCTGAGGGTATAGCAGGAGAACTTTACTTCTAGAGCAGCCACGAAATTCCTTCTACGTCTGTCTATGCTCAAAAATGCAGCTTTGTTCTCCTGCCACCTGAGCTCATGCCAATGTGCTGAAGGGTACAACATTGAGTGCAAGATTTAAGGAAAAGAGCACAGAGTTTGAAATTAGACTGACTTGAATTCAAATCCATTTCTACCACTTACTACGATGAGATCTGGGGCAAATTATTTGACAAAAATAGAAATAATATCTTCCTCTTTAAAGGTTTGGGTAGACAAATATGGTAAGCACTCTCTCATTGCCCACCGTGAGCTCAATCTCGAGAAGCGACAAGGTCATAAACAAAGGTTGATACCGCAGAGTGATAAGAGCCAAATGATTAAAGGACCAAATGAAGTGAGAGTAACCATGTATGAGGGTTTAGGAAGGCTTTACAGAAGAGGGGACATGTGAGCTGGGTCTTAGAAAAGGCAGGAAGTAGCTTAAAATCTCTAGATTCTCAATGACATCTTGAGTGCCAACTGTGATGATGATCCATGGTTCCCTAGAGAACTGCATTGAAAAGAATTTTTAGGACACAACCGGGATCAGTGACCCAGCCTATGGCAATATCTCTAGGCAACGTCTCTGTATTAGTCAGGGTTCTCTAGAGGGACAGAACGAATGGGATAGATAGATAGATAGATAGATAGATAGATAGATAGATAGATATAAAGGGGTGTTTATTAAGTATTAACCCGCATGATCAAAATGTCCCACAATAGGCCATCTACAGGCTGAGGAGCAAAGAGAGCCAGCCTGAGTTCCAAAACTGAAGAACTTCAAGTCCGATGTAGGAGGACAGGGAGCAGCCAGCACGGGAAAAAGATGTAGGCTGGGAGGCTAGGCCAGTCTCTCTTTTCACATTTTTCTGCCATGCTGGCAGCTGATTAGATTGTGCCTACCCAGATTAAGGGTGGGTCTGCCTTTCCCAGTACACTGACTCAAATGTTAATCTCCTTTGGCAACACCCTCACAGACACGCCCAGGATCAACACTTTGTATCCTTCAATCCAATCAAGTTGACACTCAGTATTAACCATCTCAGTCTCCAAGAGGTAGTCCTCCCCAGTTTATGGGGTTTAACTAGTTGTTGGCCTCAGTTTACTGGCCCAGCATTCCAATTCTCCATGATACCCTGCCTAGCCTCCCCATAAGTGTGGGATCCTATTCTCTGTACTTCCAAATGTTGGCAGGTATCCTAATGTGAACTGATTGACCCACCAGAAGGTCAACGTCTATCTGGCTTTGGGCATTTCCTGCCACATCCTTTCCTGCTGTGGCACCCTCCTGCTAAGGTAGATCTCTGTGCACAGTGACGCCTGCCTGAATGGAGCCTGAACCCGTAACAAGTCTCAGAGGCAGGCCGTAGGAGGAGCTAGGCCAGCAGGAGCTAGTCATTCAAGCAGGTCTACTTCCCCAGGCCCCTGCCCAACTAGGTCCTCTGATGCCTTCCTTTACCCACCAGCTGCTGTTAGTGAGGATCCAACAGGCCTGCCTCTGGCCAGTCTGCAGTACGACAGGGTCCAATGCCCTCTCTCTGACTCTGAATCCAAGCCTAAAACAGGAAGAAAAATAATACCAACCCCCTCTTTCGTCATGTGCTTCTGTGGAACACCAGCGCTGAGTGCTCCAGGAAGCCCACAAAGAAAATCTAATCTATTTTTCATGTGACAGCCCTTCACACCTTACACACAACTTTCATGCCATCCTTGAATCATGTCTTCTCAGGCACAAATTACAAACACTATCAACACTCGAATTGGCACAAGTGCAGTCCATGCTACGCAGCTCCGCCTAGGCCTAAAGCACTCAGGGGTTCCTTTGTGATGTTTCCTGACACCACCCCTCCATAATCAGCTTTCACCCCTGCTTGGTGCCCACACACACACCACACACACACCACACACACACCTGCCTCCACCCCCAGCGATTCAGAGTGGAATCATTACTTTTAACTTCCATTCCCAGCAGGGAAAGTCTTTTTTTGCTTTGACCCCAGATATTCCTACACTTCAACTTCTGGTAGAAATTACTTATGCATAGCTACCTCCATCACAATCTCGGCTGACCAGCTCCCTGCTTCTGCCTAGAGCCTCTCTCAATCTTCTATGTGGCCTGTGGCATTGGACCCAGCTCTATAACTTTTTTCACCGTATACCAGTTCACTTAATTTGCCATTTGGGGGCATCTTCAGGCCCTGGAGTCTGCTTTTGCCCTCTATTTTTTTTCCTCAAAGGGAGTCATTGCCTTTTCCCAGCATCCCTCAGCCTGAACTCAGAGACCCTCCCTCCTCTTCACCCCCGACGCCCCACCCTCAGCTTCTGCTCCAGGCTGGTTATTACCCTTTTAGAAACTAGCCCCATTCCAAAGTTCACAAATATGAATGCAAGGTAGCTCCCACTGACTTCCATTGTTCATTATGTCCTGTATCTCTAGCCTGTTTCAAATGGAGAATCACCCTCTTCGCAAGGAGCGTGCTGCAGGTGTCATGAAGATCAGAGCTTCTCACTGGCTGTGTTAATGATTTCCATTTTCCCCCATCTCTGAGCCAAGCATCAGTGTGAGAGAACCTATGATACCTTAGGGCCAGAAAGGCATGCAAGCCAGCAATATTGCAGCGCTGACTTCAGCGCCAGTAAATGGGAAAGCAGCTAGTTACTGCTAAAACTGTGGATTGGAGCCAGTGGTCCATCTTTGAATGTCTTCAACTTCCTGTTTTCCTCTCTGGTTACAGGAGAGAGCTGCTGCTGGTGACAATCTCAAAATAAGCACCTTCAGAAAGCTTTTTAAAATATTTGTCCAAAAAAACATTGGCTGATATATCAACACCCATTTGTAACCCCTGTAATACATGCATTACTTCTCCAATACTTCAATCCCCATTCACCTTCCATTTTGCTCTTTTCCTTTTGCCAGTAACCCCCAGAAGTCAGATATGGTCATTCGAAAAGAACATGGTCTTTGGAATTAAACATGTGTCCTAATCCTGATTCTGCAACTTACTAGCTGTTTGGCTTTGGGCAAGTAATTAAACCTTTCGGAACTTAATTTCCTCGTTTATAAAATGGAGATGATGGCAGAACCTCTTCCACAGAGTTACTGTGGGAATTGCTTTAGCTAATGTACATCCATTTGTGCAGTATTTGAGGCTTCATAAGTTGGTTTCCTTTCCCTCTTCATTCAGGACAAGGAATTCATGAACTATATCTTAGTGAATCAGCTTCCTCAATAGGAAAGGAATACAAGGCTAGTCTTCATTTACAAATCCATATTTCCTGTCCTTAACATACTGCTATGGTTTACCATAATGCCAGGGGCAAAAAGGTGCTCACAGGAGAGTAGAGACTATGTTTGAGTTGCACGCTAACTACAAAGAAGGAGACAGAGTCTCACTCTGTTGCCCAGGTGGGAGTGCAGTGGCATGATCTTGGCTCACTGCAACCTCTGCCTCCCAGGTTCAAGCAATTCTCCTGCCTCAGCCACCCGAGTAGCGGGGATTACAGGAGCCCACCACCACACCCAGGTAATTTTTTTTTTTTTTTTTTTTTTTTTTTTTAGTAGAGACAGGGTTTCACCATGTTGGCCAGGCTGGTCTCGAACTCCTGACCTCAAGAGGTCCGCCCGCCTGGGCCTCCCAAAGTGCTGGGATTACAGGCATGAGCCACCGCACCTGGCCAGAAAAACTCATTTTCAGCAAGGTGAAGAGAAAAGCTACCAGTGGGATGCATGCTGCACGGCTAACATGACAAGGTGGAAGCAGGAAGAAAATGACAAGCAGGAAGAAAAAGGTGATGATGTCCTTCAGGAAAGTGCTGCTCATGAGAAGTCATCTGTGTTATCTTCTAAAATTTGCGATCATCCCCTGAAATATATTTCTTACAATTCCTCTCAGAGGAAGCTGCTTCTTTTTGTCCAAATAGATAGTATTACTTTGTGTGATTAATACCATGTTTCTGAAACACTGTTAGTTGCTATAGTAACTTGACTGTGTGTGATTAAAAGAGCATGTATCATCTCAATGGGTTGTTCCACGACTTCCAGTGGCAATAGGAGCTTTCTCAGTGTACTGCCGGCTTTGCTGACAGACTGTTTATTGGCAGCGTTTTGCTTTGTGTTGTCCGCCTGCAGCATTTTTCTGTAGGATTGCTAAGAACAGGCTGGGTCACCTGAGATGCTTCTCCTAAGTCCTCTGGAAGGGTACAGGAGAAAGAGAAAAGATGAAGCCAACATTGGAGCAGCAACAGTGGTGATAATCACACCGAGATGTAACAGGAGTACTTGGGATGGAGATGGATGGAAAAGTGGGTTTTCTGTGGGTGGCCTGGAGTGGTAGCAGGGACGTCCTAGAAGCAGCCTGGAAAGGACAGCCCCTGGTCAGAAAGGTGCACAGTGCCACCCTCTGCAGAGCCCTGATGTGAAAACCTGGAGATCTGACTTCTTAGCCTAGTTCAAGTCCTGCCTCGCCATAGGACCTTGGACAAGGTCCCTAAAGTCTCCGAGCCTTATGTTCTTCTAAAATCTGAGGATCATTTCCAATATCCTTTGCTAATCATCTATGATGGTAGAATCCTGAGTTAGATCAGAGCTTATGAACTATGGCCTAAAGGCTCTCTGAAGAATTAAAATCCCCAGGCCCTGCCTCAGACCTTATAAGTGAGAAGTTCTGGTTCAGAGGAACTTCAATCTGCACTTTTTCCAAATGCTTCAGATGATTATTGTACGAAATAAATGCAAGAACATAGAGTGTGCCCATGAAAGCAGATTTCCAAGAAGGGTCTGAATGTCAAGTTCCTTGCAATATGCAGCAGGATGGGTTAACTTCCTCTAAGAAAATTGCTTAGAAGAGAAATAGCTACCTCTTCTGCAGGTCTCATTAGCTTCCAGTGACATAGCATCAATCCCACATGTGCCTGGAAGTGAGAACAGGAGATTGTGTTACAGTTGGAACAGTGGTCACAGTCTCAAGTTGTTCTTGCTCAGAAACTTCTGAAGAGGGGTCTCTAGTACACTTTTCTTTTCTTTTTCTTTTTCTTTTTTTTTTTTCTGAGATGGAGCCTTGCCCTGTCACCCAGGCTGGAGTACAGTGGCGTGATCTTGCTCACTGCAACCTCTGCCTCCCGGTTCAAGCGATTCTCCTGCCTCAGCCTCCCGAATAGCTGGGACTACAGGCACCTGCCACCATACCCGGCTAATTTTCATATTTTTAGTAGACACAGGGTTTCACCATGTTGGCCAGGCTGGTCTCAAACTCCTGACCTCAAGTGATTTGTCCACCTCAGCTCTTAAAGTGCTGGGATTACAGGTGTGAGCCACTGCACCCAGCCTCTAGTACACTTTTTATTCACACTGCATTAGAAGCATAAGCTTTCCTGCTGATAGCGTTGTCAGATAAAATACAGGGCATCCTGTTTTCTTGTTTTTGTGGCGTTTTTTGGTTGAATCTGGCAAACTTACCATGAGCCCCTATCCCAGCATGTAGCCAAGGAAACATAAAAGAGGAAAGAATAAATTTTCCTCCCTTTTTACCAATAGGGTGTGTCATGTTTCTGGACTGAACAGAAAAAATTGACCTGAGATGAGAAAAAATATATATATATGAAATAAAACAAGGTTTCTAAGGAGCCTGAGTCATGGCTCTAACCAGGTGCAAACAACAAGTAAGGCAATGGGAATAACTTTCCGGAGAAAGCCATGTTCTCCTTTGCTTTGAGAACTCCCAAAAGAATAACTAAATTTATAAAGTCTTGAACTTCTCAACTGGCTTTGCTCCAGTTAACAACACAGTGACATCAATGTTTCACGAGCTCAGTCCCAACTAAGTTGAATGAACTATTAACTGTGGATACGGAAGAAGGCTCAGACTGGGTATAAAAATATAGTCAATTTTAGCAACAACCAACAATTCAAAAGAGAAAAAGAATAAAAATAAGAATTCAACAAAGAAAGAAAAAGATTGGAAGTAAGACTGGATTAAGATCAAAGTAGAATGAGTGGGACAGAGTAGGCAGCTGGAACTCACAGTCCAGAGTCTTTAAGGTTTAAGCCAAAAGATGAGTAGACCTGCACAAAGTTCTGATGATCAAATGGGAAAGAGATTAAGCTGGGACTGCCTAAGAAAACACAGATGGGTTCTGTATGGAAAACGGTCCTGGATGTCCTAGTTCCCCAACTCCTCAATTCATTTATTGGAGCATCTACTGTGTGCCTAAAGTTGTGATTATCCCTGTCTTGGAGAAGTTCCTGATCTAACTAGGTAGAAAAGACATGCATGCTTGAAATTATTAGAGGTGAAACCAAGTATAGCTATGAAACAAAAGAGGAGAAATCCACGAGCTTAAAGTGTCAGCAAATCTGACGGTGGAGGCAAAATTTGGGATTAGTCTTGATGGGTGTGACAATGAAGGATTATAATATTTGGAGGTGAGAAATGAAGAAATGGGAAGTAGCAGGAATGCGAGTACCATGCTGAAGAAGAGACATGAGCAGAGGCGTGTGCTAGGAGCCATGTTGGAGGAGGAACTGACTCTGGAGCCCCTGGCCACTCTATCCGGCTCCCTTGTCATCCACAGTCTTGCCTGTGACAAGTGGTTCCAAGGAGGAGGGTTGCAACGCCCAGGCTCCCCCTGCATGGTAGGCCAAGCCCCTTTTGGGTTCATGGATTATTTGGGCTTGGAGCTGCCCCAGGACCCTGATCCCAGAAATGGAGATGATGATGAAGGTTGGAATCCCATGTGACAGTTGGTCCTCTGATTTGGGGGCAGTTCACCTCTCTGAGTACTACAGACATAGAATCTTCTCTCATAAATGACATGGGAATTAGAAGAGGCTTTCATTTGGTGCCCAGATGCACTCCCTTACCCTCATATTTGCTTTCTCCCCTTTCAGCGGAACCCCGGGTCATAGTCTTTCTTGTACAATTCTTCTGCCATAGGGGAAGCTTTTTTGAGCTAAAGGGTATTTTATTTTTATAAGATTGAGACTGAATGAAGAGGGCAAGTCTTATCTCAGTGAACAACAAATGGTAGAATTTTAGGCAATAGCAGAGGAAATATTAAGCTTATATAAAGTAGTCCATTATCTAAGGGTGTCTGAAAGGTACCTGGAGGGCATCACTTGTGTAAGGCACTCTCTGTCACTCAGATCTGCCCATCAACTATGAAAAAGAGTAATCTCTCTAAAGATGTTTAGAGGAGTGGAAATGATATACTATCCACTGAGGCTCCTGATTGGTGTTTTTCTTCATGGCTACCATCCAAAGGCCTAGAGAGCAAGAAGCACAGTCTTCCACAGAAAAGGAGCTCATTCTAGGTAATAATCATTACCTTACTTTGAAAGACCTATTCGTTTTTTTTTAACAACCCCTTTTGAAATGCTTACTATGTGCTGTCTTGTGTGTTTGTTAGCACTTGCTGGGGCAAGAAAGAGAGAAAGAGAGCAAGAGCAAGCAAGAGAATGAGCAAGGGGGAGAGACAGAGGAAGAGACACAGACAGAGTTGCCTAAGCAGTGATTCTCAAAACTTGATGGGTATAAGAAGCACTGGGAAGATTTTTGGAAATACAAACTCCTGGCCCCACCACTCAAAGATTCTGATTCAACGCATCTGGGAATAAGTGTGAATTGGTGTTTTTAGTAAGTGACCCAGTGGATTCAGTTACAGGTGGTCCCTGACCACACTGAGAATCACTGCAAAAGACAATAACAGGATGTGGAGGTCAAAAATAGGAAACCTTAAGTGGAAACCAAATGTGCTGAGACTATACATTGGTTAAGCAAGAATCACAGAGGGCTTAGTGTGCCAGGCCTAGGTGTGCCAGCTGATAGCAACATAGGACCACAGGTGTGTGTTTTCCCCACATTTGCAAAATAGTTCATTTGGAAGCCACAGGGAAAAGCTCTATATTTCAGGAAGGCAGATCAAAATGGCTGCAAGGGACGTGGTTGCCAACATTGGGGTTGCCATGACAACTGTAATGCCTGTGATAGTTGAGCTGAGAAAGCAGGCGGTAAGAAAGGGGAGGTGAAGAACCTGTGTTAAACAGCATGCCAATTGATTTATAAAGGACTGCTATGTCTGTGTTAACCCACGTTATATCCCAAATAGTGGTGAAGAAATCAAAAGGAAAGAGGATGGATACCTTCCAAGAATGACTTGCAGGTAATGGCTGGTGCAAAGCTGACTCATGAAGCATTATTTGTCCTTTTGTGGTTTTTCAGTTTGTTTCCAGTATTTCTAATATTGGAGACTCCACCAGATACTGAATGAATCAATCAAAAATTTGAACACAATATTCAAATGCAAGGATGATAAAGACAACTCCGGAAAACGACCACCACAGATTTTTATTTAATTAAAAATATTATACATGTTGTTGCATTTTCATGGAAAATATTGAGTTAAAAACACAAGCAGTGTTAATTTTCAGAAACCTTCATGCACCCCATTCTGCCACCTGCTGCCTTCTTCTGTCCATGGCATTAACCACATGTTTGTAAGAATTGGGCCCATCGAACTGGAGCTTCCTAGAAGGTCATACCTGTGGGTCTCCTGGAGTAAGCCATTGTCTTCAAGACAGTGTTCTGTCAAGTCAACTCAGATACCACCAGCTGTGGCTTCCTTGCAAACCATTGAAAGGAACTGGTGTAAAAGCCCCAAAGCACATGTCAACACCAACTCAGCACAATTCCACGCAATCAAGCACTGCTATGACCTCATCCAGTTTCCAAGCTAGTTAGCAAATGACCTTGTGTTCTACCTGGTGTATTAGTGTCCTGAGCTCCTCCACAAAACTTCCCTGGGACCCAAGGTGGAAAGACACTGCCATATAGTGTTTATATTCAAACCATTAACAAATACACAAAAACATACGTGGCTCTATGCACAATACTATCAAATTAAAATATATATATATATATATATATATATATATATATATATATATATATATATATATATGTATATATGCAATACAACCTTTAGCATCACTGGCTAAAACATAGCCATGTGAGTATTTTTGAAGCCTTGATGTAATCATACATTTGTTTAAGAAATAAAAGGCATAAAATTTAACTTGAAAAGATCATTTCGGCTATAAACGTCTCATACGTAAATATAAGGTGTGTACAATATAGTCTTCTCCCTCGCTCCCTGCCTTTTCCTTCTTTGGGCTGTGCCATTCCCTAACTTAATTCCTTGACCCACATCATAATGCTGCATCCCCATATTAATCCCAAGTGATGCTTTCACTGAAAGTGGAGCTGATGTGACAGAAACATCCCAGCTCTGTCTTTCTACTCCTTTGCTTTAAATTGTAGTACACGTAATTTGGGTTCCGCATCCAACTTTATATTAAAGAGAGATGAATTCCCCCCAAATGCACAAACAAATAAAAATAGCTGGATAGCAAAAAAGTTAGAATTGCCTCAGCTCTTGGAAATTGAAATATGGACTCTCTTCTTCATAATGGTTTCTCAATTGATGGGAATAAAATAAGGCTGAAATTGCTTTTCACATTCTGGCTCTGTTGGGGGCATTTTCACATAGACCCCTGTTGTAAGAGGGCTTCTTTTCTTTAGCTGTCAAACACAAAAAGAAACAGTAATTACTACTGAGGAATACGGAAGCCACTTCTAACCATAATAGAACTCAACACATATTGGGTCCCTAGCTGGTTAAAAATGAATGTTCACAGCATACAGAATTATAAACCTCAGGAGATTTTCTTGATTCAGCTATTAAAATTTATTTTAGATAAATAACTGTGATTTTGATGTTAAATGGCAATCATTTGCCTTGAATGGAAGATAGGAGAAAGAGACTTTGAGAAAGCTTCAGAAAGAACACCCAGAAAGCCTATGATAATTGATCAATCTTGTCTGCAAGGGAACAAGCTTGATAAGATAATAAGCTTTAGTTATCCTGTTTGAGAGCTGTATTTCTCATCCCCACTGCTGAACCTACAGCAAAGGACATCTCTGTCAGGTTGGGTAGAGGATGTTGGAATAGAGTATATCTTTGTGTATGTGTATAAGAGACAGAGAGGGAGAAAGAGAGAGAGAGAAAGAGCGAGAAGAAGGAAGAGGAAGAGAAGAAGGGAGAGAGGGAGAAGGGAGAGTTTGTAATGGCAAAGCTGGCCTTAGGCAGAGGTGTCTGAGAGGGACTGTCAAAAAGAAATCCTGACAGGAGGCCTGATTCCATAATTCTACCTCTTCTACCACCAATACCAACACCTGTGATAAATAAAAACTGGGACTTTCACTTCCTGGCTGAAGGGGAAGGCAAAACGTCCCAGTCAAGCAAACTGGATAACAGGGATAGGTGTCATGTGAGCAGCTACAGCTTCGACAAGGAAGGCACCAGAGTGGCACCCAGAGGTGACTTCCAGGTGATGGAGAGGGACATGGAGAAGGAGAATAAAGACCATCCAAGTGGTCCTCTCTAGCAGCATTCTGCCCAGCCTAATCTCATGTTTCAGGGCTGTTAGCTTAAGTACAGTTGTCATGAAGACAAAGAGCAAAACAGCTGCCCCATGTTATTGCAACGGTTACTCAAATTGAAACCCTGCTCAGAAGCACATGAACATTCAATGTCAAACAAATTCATCTAAAATATTAGTCATTCTGAAACCTCAAATGCCAATGCCTACGGTTCTAGTGCGTTCTTTACCACTGTCCTTCCTCTTCATTTATTGCCTCATCTCATCTCAAGAACACTAAACTCAACATCATCTTTTGGCCAGTTGATACCACTAAAGGTATCCCCATCAGACATGGTGCACCATCAGCACCACACTCACCATTTTGCTCAAAGAAACAGCTGTGAGGAGAAAGCTATAAAAAAACAACCCCGAACTAACTGCTGCAAGGATCCAGAGGAGGAAGTCAGAATCTGGGCACGGTTCTGGATCTGCAACAGAAAACAAAGCAGAGCCTCCCTGAGACAGTTTTAAACTCTAGGGCTCTACTCCCCAACATTGGTGAAAAAAGGACATTAGAGCTTCCAGGCCTTGAGGTCCACCCCTAAATTGCATGGGTAGCCCACCAATAGGTTTGGCTATTTGGGACTACTTCCCCAGGAGCATCATATCATATCAAAAGTACAGATCAAACGTCATGATGGTTAGCACTCCAGAGCGAGAGCCCCAACTTCCCCAAATCATTTTATTTTACAGTCAGAATGCTATTAAGGTTGCCACCCACAATAAGCAAGGCTACCATGTGGTACAGAACTCTTAAAGAGAATGTCCACAGTCCTAAAAGTAAACCTCCTGAAATTAAGGAACAAAACTGTTTTTGTGCATAGAAGACTGCAATGCAACAGGTGTCAACTCAGTGAAATGGCTTTGCTCACCAATTACATAAATCTGGGTTCCGTTGCCTATGCCCAGGTAGTATGGCGGTGGGTACATGAGCTCCACCTTGCAGATGTAGAGTCCCGTGTCCATGGCCCTCAGTCCTTGGATAGTGAGGTTCACTTGATTTCCACTGGAGGTGCCCGTGCAGATGGAATCATCTAGGAAGGTCAACTCATTCCCCATCATGTAGGTTGCCGCACAGACTTCAGTCACCTGGCTGTCAGCCTGCCGAAGCACTGTCACCCGGACCTCAGTGGCTTTGCCTGGAGATGCATACTCACACACAAAGCTGGCGATGCCTCGGCTGCTGGCCAGTACCACAGCAGGCTGGGCCACGTGCATTGCTAGCATGGAAAAGCCAAAGGGAACTCAGTGAACTCATGCTCCTTCATGGCCAAGCCCAGGCAAGCCCTTCTGCCTTCTAGCTTCATCCCCACGGCCTTTTCTCCCCCCTTCAACGAATCTATCACTTACCCCTTCCCCTCTCCACACCCCCAGCCTCCCCTCCATCTCTCAACTGTTTTCCAGCTACTCTCCATAAAGATATTTTCTTACTGAGAAATAGATTCTTCAAGATGGTTGTGGCAGGAAGAACACTGATATGACAAACAGAAGACCTGGCTCTACCATGAAATATGTGATTTGGGGCAAGTCACACTTCCCCCATGTCCTTCATTTTTTTCACATATAGTAAGAGATAATTAGATGAGATGATATGTTCTCTGGTATTCTAAGGTTATGATAGAATGATAGGAGCTATATAGCTCCGGAACTATAATGAGTGGTAGGGGAAATTCTGAAGGTTGAGGTACAGAATCTTGCTTTATCTCTCAAAGTATATGTCAAAAACTTCTGCCTACTTAGTGAGCTGGCCCTGAACCTCTGTCACCCAGGAGTAGCTGTGTCTTGATGCACTGTACCAGCCTCCGCCTTCCCTGGCATTGTTGTAGAGTGGAAGATGTTGTTAGATGAAGGAAGCCACAGAGCCGAGGGCACCAGGTCGCTTCCTCTCTAGGTTGAGGCAACCCTGCTGTTAACTCCTGTGGGCTTCCCCTGACACCACCGCTGCCTCTCTGCCCTTTATTTCTCCTTCCCTTGAACACTCCCATGCTCCTTTGTTCTCTTTTCCCACAGGATAAAGGAGACCAGCTCTCCATACAGAGAGGCTTGCATCAACTCAAAAATAGTGGCTGCATGCCAAATTACCTTCCTGTAACTAACCAGGCCCCTCTCCAGTCAGTCTGACAAGTGAAACTCAAAACTTGTGTTGCATGATGTCACTCATCTGCTCAATCCCTTTGACACTTTACTAACACTGATCGCAAAAACAAATACAATAAATAACATTCAATGAGTCCCCCATGATCCAATTCCAATCTATCACTCTGGTCTGAATTTCTAGGACACACTTTCCTGCTTATAAATCACCCTATATTAGAGACACTAGTCCCTTCCACCAAGCCACTTGCACGGGACATCTGTCCTCAGAAGAGAAAACAGTTTGGCAGCAGCCATTGTCATGTCTATTCCAGCAGCTCTAGCTAGCTAGACTACAGCTTCCTTCCCTAACCCTCACCTCTGCCTATCAGAGATGCCCTCTGAGCATCCTTAGCACTGTGATAACTCCATTGCAGTAGTTCATTACTTTCTGCTCTGTATTAAAGTTATTTGTGAGCTAATCATATCTCCTCACTCTTTTACTTGTGGTTCATGAACTCCTGTGAGCAGTGATTATAGCCCACCCAAGTGAGCACTCAATAATCTTTATTGTATTGACTCTAAGCTTAAGAAATCCTAAATGTCCTGCCCTCTCCCCAAGCAAGCTCACACTCATCACCACTAAATGCGGTCACACTCAACTTTCCAGTATTGGGAGGGTCCTGTTACTGGTTGAGATAAATTTACTTTAGGAAATTTAAATACTTCTAAGAGTGTTTATTTAATCTTTACATATTTAAAACATGTAAAAATAAGAAAACATATATGAATATTTCTTCTCCAGTAAAAATTAAATCATCAAATATCTTTTGAGTACCTACTTCATACAAACTACATGGTTTCTTAACCAAGAAGGTCTAGAGAGAGATAAGGTTGAGATTCAATGGATATACTCATCATTTTAAGCCGTGTAACAAACCTGGTGTCAGTCTCTGAAGAGCTGAAAACTGAGGATCTGCATCTGAAACCCACACGTAGGTCAGGCAACAATTAAGTATTGTATGCCAAACAGACTGGTGGCTTTCTTTCTTTCCTTTTCCTTGTCTTTTTTTTTTGGCAATTTCAAACTTTTATTTTTAAATAATTGGCTAATTAGCTAGTAGAATTGATTAAGAGAACCTTAAAACCTTGAATTAAGTAAAGAAGGCATTCTTCCCACAATTTCCCTACATTTTAAACAAGCTGGCTAATTCATTTATAAAGTATATGAATCCGAGGACCTTAAAACCTTGAATTGTATAGCAAAAAAACTCTTCCCAGGATTTGCTTAAGTCAATTTTTTTTAAAGGAACTTGTGAGCTCATCCTGAAACCCAGCTCAAATGTATTCAGGACTATGGCTATCCTTTCCCTCTTAAATCACTTCCAGTCTCATAGAAGGGTCTGAAATTGCCTGTGTCTCTCTACTAAACCAACTCACATGCATTCATGAAGCCCCTACTAAATACCTGGCGCTCTGTTCTGAGCTATCTCTTTGCCTTATTTGCTGCCGCCCAACTGCTCCCTGCTGGCCCTGGAATACAGAGCCAGCCAAGCCAGATTGGAGTTTTACCTTTAACTTCTGGCTTTGCTATAAATCACTGCCTTTGACTGCTGAAACAAATGAAACCCAGGTAGGAGAAACACCTCCTCCATCTTCATGCTCCAAAAGTCTCACTCACCTTTGCAGAAGACAGGGATGAAGAGAAGAAAAAACAGGAGAGTGCAGGGCCAGGTCCTGGTAGCCAGGTTCAGCTGAGCCTTGTGCCGCTGAAATCCAAGGCAAGCCATGGCTTTATGGGAGCGGTGTTCAGGTCTTCAGGAAGTAGAGCAAAACCTTTCAGGATCCTGAAGCTTTGAAATGTGTTTGAACCCACACAGAATCAAGGACTTTATATAGATAGCTTTGATCCCAGATATGTATTACACATGTGCACACACAGAAGGCACTTGAATAGAAAGCCTTTTTGTTTTGGTTTTACGAGAAAGGAAGCCGTGGGTTTAGCTGTTACGTCGAAAAGACAACCTCAAGCACTCAACTGAACAAAACAAGCCAATCCATGGATGGAAAATGTATTCAATTTGAAACTGAAGCTTCATGTTCACTTTGAGGATCTGGATAACTAAGTGGAGACTTGGAGAATTTCCTGGAGTACAAGGGTCCTCCTAAATCCCAATTTTATTCAATCTTCTGGGCATCCTTAACCATCCAGTCCAATTCATTTCATTGACAACTCCAAAACTACTAGGCTGCTAACTTTCTGAGCCCTTGGGCTAATGGCAGGATTTGTCTAGGCATCATTAATAAAAACTGTATTCTATCTGTGAAGCACCATCCTTCTAATGGTCCCTTGACAGCTTTACAAATAAGTTTATTTCTCCTAAATCCATTTAGCATTTGGTTAAGAGAAAAAAACTAAAATCACAAGAAATAAACTGAAAATAGGCGGAAAAGAAGCTGCCTCTGGTTTTGCAGAAGGAAAGAATTCAGGTGTTCTTAAAAGCCTTAACTCAACAGAGACAAAACAGAGTTGAAGAAGGTCCAAAGAAAAGCCAACCCAAATGATTCAAGAGATTAGAGCCGTCCATAAAAGGATAGACTTTTTTTTCTAATACAAATTTTTCAAGCAGAAAATTCAAAAGTGAAGATTAAATATAACCAGAGTCCTTAAATTTGTGACAGCTGTAGACAGGACCAATGATCTAACAAAAAGAATTTGAAACATTGAGGACCTTCCTTAAATCTGGAGAGTTTTCATACATTTTAATAAAGAAAGAAACATTCATGGGGAACCTGTAATATGCCCGGAATTCTGTGCACTTAGGATTGAATGATGACAAAACAAAAACATAGTTGATACCTTAAGGGGCTTCTAGAAGGCTGACATGCAAACAGACAGTTGTAACAGGGAATATGACATTTGCCTACTCCAGTCCGTCCATGGTTTCCCATTGTCCACACCTCAGCACAGCAGAGGAGACTCTGCAGAATACTCACCAAATGCCTCCCTCTTTGGCCTGTACCCCAGCATTCCCTCCCATTCCCCCTTCCTGCATTTGTCTTTCCTTCCACGTGCCTCTTTCAGGCCTCATCACCTTTACCCATGCTGTTCCTACTGCCTTTTTTCTCCTATTATCTTATTTTATACTCCTTCTCATCCTCCAGGACTTAGCTCAGCTGTCATCTCCTCCAGGAAGCCTCTTCTTTTTTTTTTTAAAATTTTATTATTATTATACTTTAAGTTTTAGGGTACATGTGCACAACATGCAGATTTGTTACATATGTATACATGTGCCATGTTGGTGTGATGCACAGAAGCCTTTTCTGACCTGCCTGTTTTCTATACACTGCTACACATTATAGAAACCTTCAAGCCCCAGCTCAAGCGCCAACAAGCAATAACAACCTAATGGGCACTTCCTAATGCCAGACTGGGCAACAGAGGTTTTTTAAAAAGTGAAAAACAAATGTTCCTGCCCTCAAGAGGAACACACAGCAGTGGCAGGGACAGACAGCTAAACCCATGATCATGATAGAGTGAGATCAATGCTGGAATTGAAGTATTATGTAGAGGAGCAGAAGCCAGTGGTTCAGCCTGTGGAAGTCAGAAAGGGCTTCTCAGAAGACGAAAAGCCTGAACTTATTATTGAGAACAGAGAAAAGGGTGGATATTCAGACAAGAAGAATAACATGGGCTAAAGTTGGAAACGGCATGAAGAGTTCATTATGGTCACAGGACAAAGCTTGTCTGGGGATGAGCAGAAGGTGCAAGCGGATGCTCTTAGCAGCAAGGGCCAATGAAACATAAGGAGCAAACTGGTATGACTGAGTTCACATTTGGGGGAAATTTTAGGGATGGGGAGGATGGGTTCAGGGAGAAATGTAACCAGGAAGACTGGGAAGAAGACTATTGGAATACGCCAGGCACCAGGATTTGGAAAGCTTTCTGAAGGGGGCAAAATAGTAAATATGTTATGATTTGCAAACGGTGGGGTCTCTGTTGCCACTACTCAACTCTGTCATTTTAGAATGAAAGAAGCCATATATTATATGTAAACAAATGGGTGTGTGTGCATTCCAATAAAACTTCATTTACGAAAATAGGTGAAGTCTGGATTTGGCCTGTGGGCCATGGTTTGCCAACCCCTGGTCTAAACTAAGGTAATGACAGCTGTGAAGACGAGGTCCCTATGGGACTAGTCCACAATCAGTGAGTGGAAGGAGAAGTTTAGAATGAATGACACCAGAATTATGGTTTGAGAAGTACTGTGGTGCTGCAGAAATTATTCAAATGTCAAGTTTTCTTTCTTTTCTTTTTTATTTTTTTGAGACAGAGTTTCACTCTTGTTTCCCAGGTTGGAGTGCAGTGGCGCGATCTCGGCTCACTGCAACCTCTGCCTCCTGGGTTCAAGTGATTCTCCTGCCTCAGCCTCCCAAGTAGCTGGGATTGCAGGCACCCACCACCACGCCCAGCTAATTTTTTGTATTATTTTAGTAGAGATGGGGTTTCGCCATGTTGACCAGGCTAGTCTCAAATTCCTGACCTCAGGTGATCTACCCGCCTCGGCCTCCCAAAGCGCTGGGATTACAGGCGTGAGCCACCGCGCCCAGCAAGTTTTGTTTCTTTCAAGTCCATAACAACCCTACAAGACAAGAGTTACCATTTTTCCCATTTTATAAAGAAGGAAATCAAGGCATTGAAAGTTAAGGTGACTTACCCAATCACCCGTAGGAAGTGGCAGAGCCAGGATTTGAAGCCAGTGATACCTTTATCACTATGCTAAAGCAAAGATTTTGAAGCCCAAGATAACTGGATTTGTATCCTAGCATGGGGACTTGCTTACTGTTGACCTGGGGCTCAAAGCCCAATGTCCTCCAGATAATGGCATCTAATTCTCAAGATTATTGAAAAGATTAAATGAGATAATGCATGTAACATGTATAAAAGGCCTATTGTAACAGATAGCCACTCAATAAATAGGCCTTTCTTATTATAGGGTCAATGAGAAGACAGAGGTGCAATTTACTGGAATAAATAACAGGAAGAGCAGGTGAGAAAGTGAAATGACAGCTTTCATCTGAGTATGTTGAGTTTATGGCATCCATGGAAAATAGTTGCCAATAGGATTCTGGAGCACAGGAAGAGACATTAGTTTAGGCAACTATGAAGCCACTGATGAAAATGTCACAGGCCAAGCCACAAAACGAGCATTCTTTAAACATTTGTTAAATAGGTAGGTAAATGAATGAAGACAGTTTAACATAAGAAGAGATGAGGGTTGTAATTAGAACTTTCAAAGACGTCTTACCAGATTCCTTAATTATGCTCTTATGAAACTAATTCTGTCATAGCAAGAAAATTCAAATGGTTGTAAAAAAAATGCTGGGTAAAAGAATCTTGGTGAGAAAAGATATATTCACATATACCACCCCACAGATTACTTGATAATTACAATAGGGAAAAGATAATTGATAAATCTAGCAGATACTGCTTTAACCAAGTGATCCCAACTGAAGATTACTGTGATGGAGTGTTCTGACATAGGGTACCTCCAGATACAATACACTGAGAAGGACACAACAACTTTGTGTAGTTATTGCCAAAATTGTTTTAACTGAATCTAAGCATGAAGAAATAATCAGACAAATCCATATTCTGCAAAATAACTGGCCTAGATTCTTCAAAAATGTTAACATCACAAAAGATTAAAAAGGGAAAAGCCTGGAAAACCATTCTAGATTAAAGGAGAAAATAGAGACATGATGACAGAATTTAATGTGTTATTATTGATTGAAAAAAATAATACAAAGCAGATTACTGAGAAACTGGGGGAAATTTGAGTATAGCCTATATTTCATAATAGCATTGCCTTAATGTTTAATTTCCTGAATGTGATCATCGTACTGGGGTTATGTAGAGAACCATCCTTGTTTATAGATAATACTTAGGTATTCGAGGTTTAAGTGTCAGAATGTCAGCAAGTACTCTCAGAAGGTTCAGCAAAAATATGTGTCTGTGTTAGCAGAGAAAGATAAAAAGAATTAAACAGCAGTGATGGAATTTTAACAATTGGTGAATCTAGGTGAAGAATATGTGTGTATTCATGGTACTATTCTTACAAATTCTTTGTAAATTTGAGGTTTTTCAAAAAAATTCGAAGTAAAAATTATAAGGCCAACTATTTATATTATTGATAATATGGTAGGCAATAAACGAGGGATGAGCAAACTGAAATTTAGAGAGGAAAAGTGACTTGCCGAAGGTGATTCTCCATCCCCTTTCCTCAGATCCAAGCTCCACCTGGGACAGACCCCTGTAGAAAATGTCTCATTAGTTCCCTGTCAGGGTGGCTTCTGAGGGCTTAGCATTGGAAGTTCCCAGCACATCAGAAAGCACAAGGTGGAAGTCCAGGTCTTTCTTCCCTGCCCTCTCCCAGGTTCAGGGCCATGTGTCTGGTAGTAACAGTACCTCTCCACAAGTACAGCTCTTGTTTGGTGGCCCTTGTTCTATGATGCCCATTCTTACTCTTACCTCCCCTAGGGTAAGAGTAAGAATCTTACCCTAGATTCTTAAAGAATCTTAAAGAATCTTAAAAAAAGAGTAAGAATCTTTCCATCCTAGGGGTGCTATCAGCTTCCACTGTTGCTAGTGTCTGGGTGCATTACGAACCTCCACCCCTAACCCTTCTTAATATTTCTCAAAGTAGTTCTTTCATTGAATCTTTTATTTGAACCCCCTGTTGCCTGTTGAGACCCTCATTGATCTAGTGCTACATTTGGTATGTGGCAAAAACTAGATTGAAATCTTCGTCTTCTCATTCTCATTCAGTACTGATTTTTCCCGTTATCTTATGTACAGCAATAACATGTTGTATCATATAGGTTTGTATTTATTATAGTCAATCATGTGTAATTCTGTCTGTCTTCCTCCAAATTCTATTTCCACAGCACTTACAACCTCAACACACACAAAGCACCTAGTCAAGGCCTCCTTTGTACCTAGTAGATAATAGAGAATTTCTGCATTTCAGTTTAGATCTCAAGCATTTTTATTTCTCTCGCATCTCATTTCCAGCTCTGGGGAAAGTGCTAATCACTAAGGACACAATCATAGGCCTGATAGGTACTAATGAGCCCAGCAGAGTGATTAAAAGCATGGCTGGAGTCAGACAGACATGAGTTCAAGTCCTGGCTCTGCAGCTTCTGGATATGTGATCTTGGATGACATTTTTTAACTTCTCTGATCCTCAGCTTCCTCATCTGTAAAATATGGGTAATTTACAGGAATTATCTTGTATCATTATTGCGATGATTCAATGAGCCTATACCAATAAGTTATTGAACACTGTGCCTATCATATACTATGTTCTCAGGAAAAATTAGTTTACATATTAAACACAGAGAACGCTATGGATTTTAAATTTCAGCTGTTATATAAACCCTCTTTCATTATCATTTCTACTGAATAGATGGTATTTTAGATTAAAATCAGATACTAATTATTCTAATACTCACATATTGAATTTCTGCCCTGTCAGTATTTCCATGAGTGTCTGGAACCAAACGGCTTATTATTTTTTACCTGATTGAGTCTAAAAACTCACAACTCTACACATAATCTAAGAATTATGTATTATAAGCTCTCAATTATTCAGTGGCTGAATATTCAAATGTCTAAGGGTACCACATCCTTGGATATTTTCATTTCAGGTTAGGAAGGGGAAAGTCAATTTGCTAATTATTTTTACCACTCCAATTATAAAAGAAAAAAAGGTGGGGGGTTGGTGGTAAAGGAAATGAAAATAATCGGCTAAAATTAGGACTTGGGGATTCACTGTGATTTCATTTATACTCACTATCTTCTTATATCCTAATAGCTTGAGTAAACCCCAGATTGGTTTTGTAGTACTCTTAGTGGTTACTGGGTTTGAAAGATCTCTCAAGATTTGCATAATTCATAGTGGTGCCTATGGTGAAGTATCTTCAGAATTCCAAAAGAGGTAGAGTTTAAAGAGTAACTGGGTTGTTTACTTAATTGTAAAATTCCTCAGCTTATATAGCTCATTCTGAACTGAATTCAGCTTTTCAGATTTTTGAACTTTTTCCCTAAACCTCCTCCAATTATCCTTTACCCAACTAGTATACCAAAACAATTTTAAAAAAATCAACCTTTTATTGAAAGAGTTGCACCTGGCATTGACTGTGGTACCTACTGCAAAACATCCTTTGCTTGATGGTTTCCGATGTAATGGGAAGAATGAAAAGTCTAATATTTGCATAGTGTGCAGTTTCAGGACATCCCATTACGTTGAGCCTATAATCATGCCTAATTAAGGTTATATACTCTGTGTGTTTGTGCTAATTAGCTCATCACACAGAGCTCCTTTCAAAATCGACTTCAAAGGAAAAAGAAAATCATCTACCAAAGTAAGTGACTGCTGAAGAAGAATCTATCAATCATCTCACTTCGAAAGAGAATTAAAGAGAAAGGAAATGATATGCAAAGTGACTGGAAAGAAATTTTAGCTTCATTACCATTAAAGGGTGAAAATATGGGCTGGGCAAGAACCCAGTTAAATAAATGTGGTAGATTAATTTTCAGTCCCTAGGAAACTATAAGCCAATCATAAAATCAGGTAAAAAATGGATGCTTCTGAGCTGTGGACTTTGTCAGTCCTTTAGTGGGGAAACAGAGTAGGTTCCTCCTGGCTTTTCAGTTTACATTGTGAACAGGGTTGTCAGGGAAGCAAAGTTGTATTTGCTGATTTGGATGACAATGAAATGCAGAGCCTGCTTCAGTTGAAGGGTAATCTTTGCCTGTCACAGATTTAATTATATAGAGATGAAAACAAATATTTTTGAATGAATAAATAATAAGTCGGCTGGGCATGGTGGCTCATGCCTGTAATCCCAGCACTTTGGGAGGCTGAGGCGGGCAGATCACTTGAGGTCCGGAGTTCGAGACCAGCCTGGCCAACATGGTGAAACCTCATCACTACTAAAAATAGAAAAATTAGCTGGGCGTGGGGGCGCACACCTGTAGTCCTAGCTACTCGGGAGGCTGAGGCATGAGAATGGCTTGAACCTGGGAGGCAGAGGTTGCAGTGAGCTGAGATCACACCACTGCACTCCAGCCTGGGCAACAGAGCGAGACGTCTCAAAAATAATAATAATAATAATAATAATAAGTTAACTGTGGTCACAAAGCGATTTGTACAGGGAATCTGTGTTCTAATTGCCTAAGCTCTTTATATGATTACATCTTTTGAATATCTTATCTCCACTTATGGATAATGTTCTGTTATTATATTTTGAATTTTAGACATTATCATCTCTGATTGTCTGTCAATGTCCTTAGCTTCTCACTCCTAAAAGTAAAATTAAAGTTGGATTTTGTCTTTTTTCTTAATCCCTCAGCCCTGTTGTAACACAGCCAGCCACAAATAAATTTAAGTAAGTGGCTTTATCAAAAGCCAAAAATAGATGCTTTCAAAATAGGTAAGCTTCTTATTTTACAGATCAGGAAACTGATATTGAGAAGGCAATTGACTTGCCCAGGGTCTCATATTCAGATCTTATTCTTTCATTGTCAAGGAGAAATAAACAGAAAGGGAAGGGTAAATAGTCCCATATTTGACCCACGACACCCTCCCCACAATGTACCCCACCTGAATGGTACATTCAGGAGTGTACCTGATTTCTATTTAGAACGAGCTGAGATTACCCAGTACCATTTCCATTTTACAAAAGAAGAAACTTCACAAATCACTAATATTTTCTTGTCTTAGTGCAAGGAGAAGGAAATCTTGGACATGGACTACAAATCATCTTTAATGCTGAATGAACCACCCACCTACACCCCAAAACTTGCTAGCTATCTATAAAGAGTAACATTGGAAGTGCCAAACATTTGATGGAACCCATTTCTTCCATGATATTTGTGGCTGATATAATCTCAGCCTCGAGCATTTATTTCAGTTTCTTGGTTACAGAGACATTGCTTTCATATTTTGAGCTGTGTTATTTTGGGCCCTGCTGCGACTGCCACATTTCAATGATGCCAGGCCCTGACCCTCTTCATACTTCCAGTTCAGAGGAAATGGTTAAGCCCAAACCTTGAGCACAGAAAATATAGAAAAAGAGTACCTATACTGTTTACAGTGTGAGTGATAGCAGCTGTGATGCTGGAAAAGGGTGTGTTAGGTGACAAGAAATACAGGGTGTTTGCACAGTCTGTGGCAGGCACTGACTCCTAGAGCTAGAAGAAATGTTAGTGAGTTCTGCTGTCTCATTTTAAAGAGAGAATATGAAGGCCCAGGAAGGTGAAATGATTTACCCAAATCACCCACACAGTCTGCTGGTGGCAGAACCAAGATGAGAGTCCAAGGGCCCTTGACTCTAATGTGATTTTCTTCTCACTGCCTTTACCATCATTCACCATCTTCCCCAGAACCTCTTGAACTGGCATGGCTTCTGGCTCTAGTTTTCTGCCCAGTTTGCAACTTCAAACCCAGCCCCACCAAACTTCCTGCTAGGTCTTGGGTACCCACAAACACAAATCAGCAAATCATTTAAGTAAAAAAACATATACATATGGTCTCATAGCAGCATTAATCACAACAGCCAAAGTGGAAACATCCCAAGTGTCCATCAACTGATGAATGGATAAGCAAAATGTACTCTATCTACACCACGGAATATTATTCAGCCATAAAAAGGAATGAAGGTGCATGCTACAACATGGGTAAACTTTGAAAACATTATGCTGAGTGAAATAAGCCAGACACAAAAGGACACGTATTGTACGATTCCACTTATATGAAATATCTAGAATAAGCAAGTCTGTAGAGCCAGAAAGCAGATTATTGATTGCTAGGGAATGTGAGAGGGGAAAATGGGGAATGACTGCTTGGCGGTATGAGATTTCCTTTTCGGGTAATGAAAACGCTCTGGAGCAGCATAGTGGTAACTGTCACATGATGCTGTGAATATACGAAATGCCACTGAATTGTACACTTTGAAACGGTTAAAATCGTCGATTTTATGTTATATGCACTTTACAACACACACGCAAAAATACGGTCATATTGACAGATTCTATAGGCATTCACCGTCTCAGAAAGCACACCATTGGTCTTACAGTATTATTGGCCATGTTTTACTCTCCTCTGAATGTAATCTGGCCAAATCTGAATCCACGTTCCACTTCTTTCCAAGTGTCAAAAGAATGAACTGGTGGACACATCCTCCATGGGCTGAGGCAAGGAAGAAAGATTCTGGTTATTTCTCATAATCTGCAATTCTGATCCCACATCACACTGAACCATCACCAGCCAGAATCTGAGATATGGATCACTGGCTCTGCCCTCTGCTGGGCACAATTTTCTAACAGGTTACTCAGCTGTGGACTAACTAAATGAGATGGAGGGAAGCCATGTTAGAAAACTTTGGCCCAATGAACTGTATTATTCCGGTGTGCTTTAGGAGAATATGATTTAGAAGGAGCTGGTTACATTAAGTAGCTTTCCTTAGTAGACCCATTTCACAGATTATGTTCTAAGAGGAAAATCTCTGGCCCAACACTTCAGCCATAAGGAAGAAACTAAATAATTGTATTTACATGGTCACGTCAGAACCTGTTGAGGGTAATAAGAGTAATGCACTGTAATTAAAACCGAAGCTCTTTGGTTTTTGTCTGGCACACGCATAGAGCTCAGTTTCTGTATGCACCTAATAGGACCATGTCATGGCAATGACATTGTCTGCTTAGAAATCCATTGCTTATATTTTTGTTATTTCTCAACATTATTTAGATTCAGTCTGATCACATAAAGTTCTTGCCACATGCAAAGTTTGAACTTTGTAGTTCTGGACATTTCTGTTCCATCGGTTAAGAAATGCTGACAAGTAGAAAACACCAGAAACATGTGTTTCCTGTGCTCTTAAAATATAAGCAGGTCAAGAAGCTTCCATCAAATGCATCTCCTGCATTTCATCCTTTGGATAAAATAGACAATTGTGAGCATGAGAACAAGTAAGTTTATTTGGAATTTTAAGCTCACAAAAAAAAGCTAAAGGAAGTTATGATGTTTAAAAATTAAATGTTTGCCACTGGAATTTATTATCCTGATTTATAGGATAAATTCAGTAAGCAAGTTTATGATCATGTTGCCAAATAAATGCAATTCTTTTTCTCATCATTTGTAATCACTATTTCCGTTTGAGAAAATAAATCACTTCCAAATTATCTGAATCTCCCTCCAAATAACCAGGCTTTTTTTTTTAGTTTAACATCATAAAATGTCTATGTAAGTGAATGCCATTTGTATAACCTGATTTTACTCACTGATTTCACTATCTCCTGTAGCAAAGAAAAACTGAAAAAAATAAGTGAAATCCTTAAGATTTTTATTTTAAGAGAATGAGAGTAAAGAAGAAAATGAGAAGAATAAGAGAAATGACAAACAAATGAAACAAAGGAAGAAAGACAAAACAGAAACTTTAAATGAAGGATAATTTGCATGTATTCAAAGAAGCATCGATTCTGACCCATCTGACAGAATTAATCAGCAATAAGAGAACATTGGTTTTTATTGTGGGTGGAACTTTCCTAAAATTCCCAAAACCTCTTGATATCACAAAACCCCAAAAAAGTGCTCTGCTAGATGTTTTTATACAAAGAATGTACAGATAATGTCACTCTAGTACTAAATTTAGCAAATAAAATTGATTGATTGATAAGATTCATTGAATCTATTTTAGAGCCTTTAACTCAAATTTCTTCAGCATAAATGGTTTTTTGAAGTCGCAAACCTAAAAGGAAATTCTTACTTAGATTTAATCATGTTTCTGTTGACACTGAGTCAGATAACAACTTTTTAGAAATTTATAGCAGTTTGAGATGTTACCAAGATTCAATGCCTCAAATCGTGTCGTTCCTGCAGAGAGACCTCAATTTGAAGCTTTAAAGTTTGAAAACTCATCACAAAATGTACAAATTATTTCTTTAAAATATTTTCAATAAATTCTGTGTTAATCGATCCTACCCACTGTTTTCCAGCAAACATTTAGCCAAGCTAAAGGACATAAGAGGAAGATAAGAATTTCTCATGCTCTCTAATTCCAATTAATCACACTGGATTTAGTCATAGCATATGAAAAGTAAGAAAGGACACCTGTAAAATGCATAAAGTAGTTACCCAAGATTTAGGAGGTTTTAGTTATAGGCCTGGCTCTGATGCTGCCTAAATGTGAATTATTTCAGTTATATAATTGCATCAGAGTTTTTCTCACCTGAGAGATAAGAAGGCACTATTAGGAAGGATCTCTTACTTTCAACTCTCAACAATTTTTAATTAAAAGTGTATTTTCCCTTCATGATATATAAATTTTAAAATCAGATTAGAAAATCATATTTAGAGTATGATCTGCTTTGTAAAATTAAACCAAAAATATACGTAGAATTATATATAGTAACATCTTAGTGATGCTTACATAATTTTTACATAAAATTTTTATTTTCTTATTTTACCTATCTGTATTTTCCATTTTTATGAATGTATATGTGTTACTTTGTGGTTAGAAAAAAAGATATTACAAACAACAAAAATTAAGTCCTTTTAATGTTTACATAACACTAAGTATATGTCAGGTCATCAGAACTTTGGCATTCCGGTTTTTGGAGAAGTTGAAAGGAGATAAGAGATGGATTTAGCTTCTTCTCTTTCATGCAGAGATTTGAAATCCAAGATTAGTCTATATGAGAACTCTAGTTTCTAGAATATACATCAAAGAAGCAATTTCTCTAGCACAATGTATTATACCATCGGCTTCTCCACTTTTTTTACTCCATCATCATCACAATAACCGTAAAGCACTTCTTGTGTTAACTTTCCTGAAATGCTATAAAAGATACTGTACACATTAAGAAACACATTCTTTTCCCCAAAGATAAATTACATTATTGGATATGGTCCATCCGACATGCAAATAAGTGGATTATGTGACCTATATAAGAGTGACACTTTAGTGGAGCAAAATTTTTTTAAGCTTTTGAAACCACAACCAAGGTATTAAAGACATCCATCATAGGTAAATTTTAGAAAGAGGTAAATTTGTTTAATATTTACCTGAGCTATCTGGGCCCAAACTCATTGAGACCTTGAATATGGGAATCAGAACTTTAAGGTTCATCTCTTACTGGTTGTGACCCTCAAAGGCAGAGAGCTAAGCCTGGCTCCACATCAACTGCTGACTTTGCATTTTCTGAGTGCATGTCCTCAGTTTCTAACTTTACAGAAATCATACAAGATACACCAAGCATGTCAGGCAGACTACCTTCAGTTTACAGTGGACTTCAGATGTCAAGGGTTAAAACTGTCAGAATCAGGTATCAGATAATTCCCAGAAATTCCACATTCAGTATAATAAATTAGACATGACCTTGAGCATACCATGGACAGAAAATTAAGGGACCAATCTTATGCAATTTTAGAATAATTCTCTGGCTGATTCCTCTCTGTCAGAATAATATTCCTACTTAAAGATACGTATAGTCCAAGGCTCCCGACCATGCCAGCCTCTTCTCTGGCAGAAGGAGGCAAAAGAAGGAAAAGAGGCTCATCTTTCTTTAGCACGTGGAGCCCTTTTATTTACCTAAGTTTAATACAATAGTATAATATTTAAGGAGACATCTCCACCAGTAACAAGGAGAATCCCAGGGAAATGTAAGCATGGCTGGCTCCCCACAGCTCATCATAGCTTCAAGAAACTCTCAGTAATGAAAGGTCAATTGTTTCATCTTTACAGGAAGGTGAATATAAAACTGCCAGTCCAAGTGACTGTAACCCTTCAAATATGTCAGTTTAGAAGGCTATAATTTTCCAGTGATGCTGTCCTTGTTCAGAACATCTCTGGGATACCTCTTGGAATTATTCTCACTTTTATAGGGGAGAAAAAATGCAGTGTGTTATTACTTTGTGATCGTGTCTTCGTTTTGCTACAAAGTGGAAAACACCTGGTTTGGTCACCAACTGTCCTTAGTTAATGAGAGAATTGTTGGGGGAAAAATCAAATTCACATTCAAACAATAAATAAGCGCTGCCTTTCAAGATATTGCAAAGATTGTGCTACAGGTCTTTGAATACCAGAAACATTTTCAGTTATGGCAGTGTACCACTAGAAAAAGAAATGAGCTATTACATTTTGAGAATTGAGGAGAAGGCATGTTCCTGCCTTACAACCGTACAAGGCAAGTAGAGATGGAGAGGAAGGAGATTTCCTCCTTACCTACCACTTGTGCAGGACTGCAGCCGAGTATCAGGCCCCCCTGGGGGATCAGAGCAGGTGTGATGACAAACTTTTACCAGGCATAATTCGAATAACCGCACTAGAACCTAAAGAAAAGATAACGCATACAGGCAGGCATATAGAGCACAAGAAGGAAACCAGGCAGGCAGCTGGATACGTCTTCATTGGGAAGGTGGGCCCACAGATGGGTGAGCCCCAGCTCCCAGGATAGAAAGATAAGAGTTTGGGTCAGGGCTTCTGGCCTCAGCGAAAAGAACTGGTCAGAGCAAGGCAGCCAAGAGAGCCAAAGCAGAAACTCAGTCCTCTCAGATCCAAGCAAAAGGGACCGTGGAAAAGCTGGGCCTTACCTGACTATGGAGGCAGTCCAGTGGCCATTTCCAAGACCAGGAGCCATGTGAGAGCTCAGCGATGTGAAATGCACTGAATCCAAGTCTTAGATAATGACTAGGGCTAAGGCTCTTTCAACGAAGTACTGAGACGTAAAACCTTTATAACTTCAATTAGGACTGAGGTGAAACAGAGCCCAGAGTGAGGTGAGACAGATGGGGGAGCTGAGATATTAGGAACACAGATGAAAGAAATTGATCAAGATAGAGATAAAAGACATAAATAAAGTCTGCTTAGATGCCCAAGCATCTAAGGAGCATCAGAGGGAGGCTCAAGGTCTCTCTCCGAAGAGACAAAAACTAATTTAAATTCTGATACGATTATTTTACTCTATTGGCAAACCTCACATGAAAAATTCCATGTTTCCTTTCCTTTCTGAGTTTATTGTCCTTCAAAAGATGCTATTGTATTCCATGGATTGCTGGGATTTGCCAGTTACTTTTTTTCTTTTTTTAATTCAACTATCCAAGGTTAGTAGGGTTGAAACTAGACCGTGGTTTTCAAACAGCAGACGAATTGAGACCAGACTACATTCTAAACTCCCCCACCTTCTGGTTTCATTACGCTCTTGAAACCCAAGTCAATTTTATAAAAAGAGTTGATAAAACTGGTCTTAATTCTTAGCAAACCTGACCCAGTTAGAACTTGAAGCTGGAGTGAATTCAGTTTTAATTTGGGGTGCAGTGCTGACAGTAGAAGTGAAACTAAATTTGTGCAAATGTGTAAGAACTGAAGAGGAGGAAAAAATTATTATTAAATGATAAATATATTAACCCAGATCT